>NC_000002.12:9706969-10010000 GCF_000001405.40 Homo sapiens | reverse complement strand
CGGCTTCTGGTCTCTAGGGCAGGTGCAGACCAGCGTGGGGAGGGAGGGCCGTGGAAAGAGGAGGCCCCATGGTGGTGCCTCCCTCCTCCTGCTTGGAAAGGCTCCTCCAGGCCCCAGCCCTTGCTGTCCCAACAGGAGGGCATTCTGGGGCCATGCCAGGGTGCGATGGCTGAAGGGGAGGAGTTGGCTGGACAGGGGTCTGGTGGCTGTGGGGCCTCCCCATGGGGCCCCTGCTAACCGTCCGGCCCTCCTCACCCATGGGCAGGGGCTCATAGAGGAGAGAGGCAGAGGCAGGAAGGAGAGCAGCGGACTGTGCTCATCCCTCAGCTAGGCCTGTCCCCTCCAGGCTGCGGCCAGGACCGCACAGCCCCCACCGAACACAGGTGCGGGACGTCCGCCAGGCTTCTAGATTGTTTCCAGATTGCTGCTGAGTTTGTTTCAACAGCAGATGCGGAAGCCCGGCTGCTGCCACCGCATCCCAGTGCCCTTCCAAAGCCACCTGCTGCGGACAGAAGCAGTTTCATACACAGAGGATTCCAGAACAACCAGAGGCGAGCCCTGGACAGGGAGAGCAGGAGGGGCTCTGCGCACGGGCTTGGCTGGCAGTCGGTAGGTGTTCACCAGGGCAAGGGCAAGGGGGGCACTCTTGCCGGGGAGCTGTGCAGGCAGAGGTGGGCAAGGGCAGAGCCGTGTCCACAGGGACCCACTGGGAGCTGCCATCTCACACAGAGACAGGGTCCTGCCAACTCTGGATGCAGGCAGACTGGAGCTGGGGGAAGCCAGGAGAAGGAGATGGAGACAGATGTTTGCAGGTAGAGAGAGATCCAGGTCATCTTTTCATGAAAAAACCCAGCTTCATTGAGATATAATTCATATACAATGAACTGCACCTACTTCAAGTGTACCATTTGGTAAGTTCTCCCATCTACACTCCTGAAACTGTCCTCACATCAGATACCGAACATCTCCATCATCACCCTCAAAGGGTTCTTCAAGCCCCATTAGATACTCCCTCTCTCCCGCCCCGCCCCCATCCCAGGCAGCCTCCCATCTTTCTGTCGCCATAGATCAGTTTGCATTTTCTAGAGCTGTAGATGAATGGGTCACGTGGAATGTGTTCTTTTGGTCCGGCTTCTTGAGTTCCGCAGTTATTTTGAGATTCGTGTCTCTGTGTGGTCGTGGTTTGTTCCTCTCTTGCTGAGTGGTATCCACTGTATTCTTCAGCTCCTGCGGGAGCCTTGAAAACCAAAAGCCACAATCACATCAACACCCAGCAGCCTGGAAGCGCCGGGAGTGGCAGATCGGGGTTGGAGCTCCTTCGAAGGCTTAATCCTGAGAACTGTCGTTATTTCGCCGTCTGGCGGTTCCCTGGAGAACCCTACTTGCAAGCCTGCCCTCATTTGACCTGCCTGGGAGCTCCCCCCGTAAGAAAAGCCTTTTTCTCAAGGGGATTTGTCAAAAATGATGTGGAAGAAATTGCCTAATTTCATGGCTGAGGAGGCACATGGCCGTTGGAGCAGACACTGGGCTCACCAAAAGGCTTAGGAGGAAAAACTGGGCGGTGAAAAGTGCAGAGGTGCGTTCAGAGGCTCCAACGTGTTCCCGGGCTCCTAGGAGGCCGTGCACGTTCCCAGGCACCCGGGAGGCTGTGCACATTCCTGGGCTGTGGAAGTGCTCAGCAAGGACCTGGGGCAGCTGAGATCTCACCTCTGGGTGACCTTGACGCTCTGAGCAGCAGAAAGTGCAGGCTAGGGCAGAGATGCTGCTGGTCTGGCTGAGTGTTTAAGGTACCCCCATCACCCCACAGAGCCCTTGGCAAGGACTGGGAAGCTCTGGCGTCGAAGGCCATCTCTGTCCAATCATTAGCCACCCACCGCACTGCTGAATGGAGTTTGCAGGGTCCACACACAACACAGAAAGCAGACTCCAGAATTAGTCCAGAGAAGTCACTAACCAAACAAAACTGCAGCCACAAAACCTGGGTAAAGGGAGAATCTGATTTCCACAGTAGCCACATTATGTTACCTAAAATGTCCAGTTATTAACAAAAACTTACCAGACATGCAAATAAACAAAAAATTATGGCCCATGCACAGGGGAGAAATCAACAGAAACCTCCTGAAATATCCCAGAGACTGGATTTATTAGACAGAGACGTTAAATCTGTTGTTTAAAACATGCTAAATAAACTAAAGGAAAGCATGTCTAAAGAATTAAAATATGAGGACGATGATCTCACTGCATAGCACCTCTGCGTCTGCAGGCCAGAGCCACCCCACCCTCCAAAAGTTGCCTGCAAACAGCTACCAGATTAGAAATCGGTCTGAGGAGGCACTAGGAGCCCCCTCAAGTCCAAGGGAGCTGGAATGAAAGCAGCAGTCAGCCTGGCCTCCGAGGAGGCGGTGGCTTCAGGCAGAGGGGGCAGTCCTCAGGCACTGTTGAGCTGGGCACACCCTGCTTTAAGGATAGATCCAAAAGAACAGAAATGACAAAGAGCCCGGCGCAGTGGCTCACATTTGTAATCGCAGTCACTCAGAAGGCCGAGGCAGGAGGATTGCTTGAGGCTAAGAGTTTGAGACCAGCCTGAACAACGTAGTGAGAACCTGTCTCTCCAAAATAATAATAATAATAATAATAATAATAGTAATAATAAGCTAGGCTTGATCCTGTAGTCTTAGCTACTTGGGAGGTTGAGGCGGGAGATCTCCTGAGCTCAGGAGTTCATCAAGGCTGCTGTGAGCTATGGCCACGCCACTGTACTCCAGCCTGGGTGACAGAGCGGAAAAAAAAAAGGGGGGAGTTGGGTATTGGGTGTGGGATGGAACCTGGAAAGGCACAGCCTTTGTACACCGTGCAGGGCTCTGGGGACAGTCGAGAGATTGCCACTCTGTCTGCTGCTGTGACGAGTCACTGCCCACAGCCCTGGGGATGACGATCCTGCCTGGTCAGCCCTGCCCTGTCTGCCTGAAGGTGCCGGAGCAGCCTGAGGGCGGGGTTCTCCTCTTGTTTGGTCTCTCCCTCAGGGGATGCTTCCAGAGGGGCTACTGGTCTCAGGAGCAGCCTGGCAGCCTGGCAGCCTCACCCCCAGCCTGCATGGCCCGCAGGACATTTGCTTTCTCTTATCAAGACCAGCCCTGTGAACAGAGCCAAGTGCTTCGTGTGGGCGCCTGGCAACTGAGCCACCCTGCTGGCTGCCACGCTCTCCCTGTGCTCCGTCTGCAGTGACAGGGGAGGGACTCCACCAACCCACACAGGCCCGATGGTGAGAGGTGACAACCTGCTAGCAGCCCTCGCTGGCTCTCGGCGCCTCCTCGGCCTCGACGTCCGCTCTGGCCGCTCGAGGAGCCCTTCGGCCCGCCGCTGAGCTATGAGGGCCCCTCTCTGGGGCTGGCCGAGGCCGGAGCCGGCTCCCTCTGCTCCCGGGGAAGTGTGAAAAGAGAGGCGCGGGCGGGAGCCAGGGGTGCGCGCGGCGCTCCTGGGCCGGCGCGGGTTCCGGGTGGACGCGGGCCCGCGGGCCCCAGCACTAGGCGTGCCCGGCTGGCGCCTGCTGGGCTTGATTGGAGGCTGGGTCCCGTGCGTGGACCGCCGTTCCCTCTTCACGGGGTCGTTGGCCACGATGGCGGGTCTCCGTCTTTCTCGCTTCCCCTCTTTTCCTCTTGGTTGTCGGGGACGAGCTCCCTCTGGGCTGCCGGAGTACCTGGGCTAGGTGCCGCAGAGTCCCCGGCGAGTGACAGTAAGAGGTGAAGCGGGCTGGGCTGCCGGGACAGGTGAGGACTTGGAGAACTTTTCTGTCTAGCTAAAGGATTGTAAACACACCAATCAGCGATCTGTGTCTAGCTAAAGGTTTGTAAACGCACCAATCAGCACTCTGTCAAAACGGACCAATCAGCTCTCTGTAAAATGGACAGATCAGCGCTCTGTAAAATGGACCAATCAGGTCTCTGTAAAATGGACCAATCAGCAGGATGTGGGTGGAGCCAAATAAGGGAATGAAAGCAGGCCACCGGAGCCTCGGAGAGGCAACCGTTTGGGGTACTCTTCCACACTGTGGCAGCTTTGTTCTTTTGCTCTTTGCAGTAAGTTTTGCTGTTGCTTACTCTTTGGGTCTGCACTGCCTTTATGAACTGTAACACTGACCATGGAGGTCTGCAGCTTCACTCCTCAAGCCAGCAAGACCAGGAGCCCACTGGGAGGAGGAATGAACAACTCTGGACACGCCACCCTTAAGAGCTGTAACACTCACCGCGACGGTCTGCAGCTTCACTCCTGAAGTCAGCGAGACCACAAACCCACCAGAAGGAAGAAAATCCGGACACATCTGAACATCTGAGGGAACTCCGCACACACCATCTTTAAGAACTGTAACACTCACCACGAGGGCCCGTGGCTTCATTCTTGAAGTCAGCAAGACCAAGAACCCACCAATTCTGGACACAACAGGACACACACATGGGAGGGGGAGGCCAGAGGGAAACCTAGCTGGCTTGGGGTGGGAATTTGAATCCCTGAGCCCATCTTCTTCTTTCACCACTTTGTCCGGTGACATTAGGACCAACCAACCAATGCCATTATATTTCTTAGTTTACAAGAAAATGTTTGAAGTTCTCATGCACAGAATCACTTAGCTTCTTGCTTTTTACAAGTGGTTGATTAGGAGTATTCAATACAGATTTTGTGTATCACTATAAACAGTTCACAGCATGGACTACTGGTGTTCTCTTTACTAACTGAAATGGTGTCATTAGCACCTTTAAATCTAATCCATTTAGAGAGCCAGTTCCGGAAACCTCAGAACCAGTTTGGAAAACTTCCGTTCTTCTGAAGCCATTTTTGGAACCACATCTGTGCTAGGTTCTCCAGGGAAACAGAACCAATATGTTTTATTTACTATGGGGACTGGCTCATATGATTCTGGAGGCCTAGAAGTCCCTCCCTCTCAAGATGTGCTGTCAGCAAGCTGCAGAACCAGGAAAGCTGGTGGTGTCAGAGTCTGAAGGCCTGAGAACTGGGTGGGGAGTGGGACAGACTAAGGGGCCTTTAGTCTCTGGGTTGGTGTGGTCCCCACAGGTGAGCCTTTCGTGGAGAAGGGTGGAGAGGGGATCTGGAAGGGCCAATAGAAGATACTCAGCACTAAGAGACCTTTGGACTCAGACCAGAACTTACACCATTCATTCATTCAGTCGGTGAAAATGTATTGACCACTGTATCAACCAGGATTGTGACACAAAAACAGATGGCACACTCAAAAGAGGATAATTCAAGAAGGGCTTCTTTAAGGGACTATTTCCCAAGATGGGAATGGAGGGGAACCTGCAGGGCTAGTGTCCTACCCTCCAGCAGGCAGCAGCTAATTCCTGAGGGGATAAGGACGTGGTTGCGAGGACATGGAGGGAAAGTTCTACAGAGGAGGCACAGTGGGCTTCAGGAACACCCTGCTTGAGAGGCCTGTGAGAGGTGGGGAATCAATACCTGACCTCGCTCTCCTTCCATCTCTCCCCAACCCACAGGGGTTGGTGTGGGCCCCACAGGCGAGCCTCCCGGGGAGAGAAGTGGAGAGAGGACCTGGAGGGCCAGTAGAAGGTATGCACACAAGTATCTACAAGGCACCAGGCATTTTTTGAGCATTTGGGATTTGTCAGCAAACAAGTCAGACAAAAAACCTTGCTCTGGTGGAGGGAACATTCTAGCAAAGGAAGGCAAATGACAAGCAGTAAGTACAATAATCAAGTAAAATAGATACCAGGTTAGAGAGTGATAAATGCGATGGGAAAAAATACAGCAGGTGAAGGAGGTTGGAGAGTAGGGGGTGGAGGGCCCACGCAGCACTTGTCCTTCACCCTGGAGGGGATCTGTTACATGCCCCAGATTGCTGGTCCCCTAGAAATGTTACTGAGGCAGCCTCTGCATTTTTGCAGGGATTGTTTTCTACTGTTTGACATTCACGTAACCTCCTAACGCTGTCTGGGGAAGATGCTACCCCCTGCTCTCCCCGTCTTTCCTGCACTCTCAGCAATGGGATGGGCTGACTGATGCCCTGTGGGCTGGAAAGCTGACCACAGTTGCTGCAGACCAGACCCCCTCACATAGTGAGTGCTGGGCTGAGGAATCCAGGAGAGCCCGAGGGGGGACACTGAAGGTGTATCGTTGGCCCTGCCAGCTGCAAGTGAACTGCTTCTGATGAATTTTAATAGGGAGAAAGAAGTATTTGCTAAGAATGGCAATCCTGATGCTCAGCCTTCAACTCATCTTGTTATTAATACCATCAATATCCCATGAGGCTCATAAAACGAGTCTTTCTTCTTGGAAACATGACCAAGATTGGGCAAACGTCTCCAACATGACTTTCAGCAACGGAAAACTAAGAGTCAAAGGCATTTATTACCGGAATGCCGACATTTGCTCTCGACATCGCGTAACCTCAGCAGGCCTAACTCTGCAGGACCTTCAGCTATGGTGTAATTTGAGGTCAGTGGCCAGAGGACAGATCCCGTCTACATTATGAGTGAAGCGGAGAGCTACTGCAGGGTTCTGAGCAGAGTCCTAATTTATATTTTAGAAGAATCATCATGGCTCCTAGATTAGGAATAAAACGAAGGGGCCCAGGGATGGAAACGATGAGTCCAGTTGGGTTACTGCAAAGATCCAGGCCAGAAATCCAGGCACAGTGGCACACACCTGAGTCCCAGATAATTCCACCTACTGGTCCTGCTCTGTGGCCTACTGGTCCGAGTCCAGCCCCGACTGATTTCTGGGCCTGTAATGTCTAAAAACGCTCCCTGCTGATGTTTTGCAAGTGACTGTGTTACTTGAAGGCAGTTCCTAGGATAAACTAGTCGCTTTATCATTACAGAATCATTCACTGAGCATCAACTATGTAACCAGCATTGGGTTGGGTGCCAGAGATCCAAAGCTAAGACACCAAAACCTGCTCTCCAGGAAACGAGAGGCTGAGAAGAGGGCCAGCAGGTGTCTGTCAGTACTTGGAGCCGTGAGAGCAGGGAGTGGGTGCTGGGCTGAGGAACCAGAGGTAATGGCCCTGGGGACGCCCGGGAAGAGATGAGTTTTGAGGCAAAGGTAAGTCCCGGGAAGCCAGGGGGTGAAGGAGACCCATGGTGTGAGGAAGGGCTCCCATAGAAAGGATGCGCTGGCAGGGTCCCCAGGCTTCCTGTGTGGAGCTGGACTCTGGAAGCACTGAGTGAACGGGAACCCAGGCTGCAGGAGAGTCTCCACTTTGGCCCGAGGGTTACTGTGAAAAGTGCAGATGTCCCAGGAGCCCTATCAGGGAGTTTACGTCATTAATCTGATCTTGTATCCATTAAAAATATATCCTAGTGTCTATCATATTTAGGCCCTGGATTACCCTGGAATATGTTCAGGACGCCTGTTTTAGAGATTCTAATGATTTAAATATTGGTAAATTTTTAAACTAAGTATTTTCTGTTAGGCTTTTAAACACTAAGAATACTAAGATTTTAGGTATGAAAGCATTTACCTTCAGCTTTAGTGGTTAAATTTTGGTAAGAATTGGAAAATCATTCAGGGATCCCTGACTTAACAATTACGTGGATCATTTCAGGCATCAGTAAGGAAAAGTTAACATGAAGAAAACAACCTAAGCGCACACATTAAGAAATAAGCAGAAAGTGCTAGCAATGAGATGCTTTTCAGCTCTCACGTTTTACTGAGCAGTGCAAAGTCAAATTGAAAAACAGGAAATGACATATTACGAAATAGACATATAAAATTTAATTCCTTTGGTTTAAAATACATCTTCAATGATACAATTAAAAATAACACGCAAGACAAAATCAACTTCATAAAAAATACAAAAGTTATATGACCCATATCCCATATCTTATCTTAGAAAACCAGCAATTTAGTTCCCATACTTCATTAGAATACTTTAACCTAAGACTGTAACTACCAGTCCATTTACACGAATGACCTAGTCTAGTTCCCTGAACCTAAAGATACCCGTGACTTTGTTATAAAATTACATATTTTAGTATTTTTATATACTTAAATGTGTACAAAATGTTCCCCTGCCATAGTAACATATTTTTGTGAATTCATGAATGTTTTCTAGAATTGTTAACATACAAGATAATCAAAGCACGAAGGCTCTGATGCGTGATAAAATAATCATTTCTCAAAACAGGAAGATGAGAACTGCATTTCGAGTTGTATCACTTGGTACGCAATACTTGCAATCTGTGTGCTGTAATTACAGTGTTTCTTCACTCTAAGTGCATCTGACTGATACTAGCATAACAAAAGACGTGATTGCAGTAGTGTTTTTCTTTTACTTCATTTGTTAAACAGTGCAGAAATCCAAATAACAACATTCTCAACAGCAAACAGAATCTCTGTCATTTGAGAAGGTTTTGCTATGCTACAGAATGCCTGTGTTTGGAAAAACAGAGAAAAAGGTTTTTAGCGGGTTCCACTAAGCACAGTATTCTATCTGCTTGGTATACACGATCAAAAAATAACTTAACCTTTGTCTAGGGAAAGTCTTTAAGGTAGCTCTTACTGCATATCTTCACTATATGTACACAGACACCATATTTATATATTATATATTTATATAAGACATGTATGTACACATTTACAGACCTTCAAAAATATATTGCACTTATATACAATGCAGCTTTATCTTAACTGATTTCATACTGTAACCCATTAAAATTCTTCATGAGAAAGGCAGTTGATATGTCCGAGAAAGTCGCAAAGGAAGATTTCAGTAACATGCCCTGTTTAGTAAACATCTGGTGGAGAGTGAGAGGGTAAGGGAGAGAGGGCTCCCCCCGTACTCTTCAGGTGCGCTCCCGCTAACGTGAGGCAGTGGAGTTGTACTGAATTCAGGCAAGGGCACGAAATCCTTAAAGCCAAGCCTATCGCCTTTTCTGACTTCTGCTAGCGAGCAGGCCCACGACACTGTAGGCACAAGGCAGAGATCCCAATATTTTGATAAATAACGTAGCAGATGTCCTAAAGCTTCCCAGAGACTCTGTTAACTCTTGGAATAAAGTTTTCACTTTAAATCCTGTATATATCAGGAAATTCAAACATAATGGTATATGGATTTCTCTTTCATCTGAAAAACACCAATGCAATAGATTAAATGCTACCACCAAGCCAGATGCAGCCCCGCCTCCAACCTGCAAGGAACCCATTCCCTCGACATAGACCTGTGCTGGCGACATGGCTGACTGGGGTTACCTGCAGTTGCCAAACCGTAAGATCTAGAAACACCTGCACTGAACTCCTGGGGAGCTGTGGCCCGCAGGCCTTTAGATCTCCGTCAGGGTGAGCTTGTAAGACCCCCCGGCTTCTTCAATCTGCAGCTGGAAGGTGTCCTCATTGGAGTAATGCTTCACAATGTTGTCGTCCATGTTCACCAGGATCCTGGATGGGGGGGGACAAGACCAACCAACTTCACTGCCACTTGGTCCTGGAGTCAGACCTAGATTGACCTGTTAGCTCTCCCACTTACTAGTTGCAGCATGTGAGGCAAATTATTTAAATCTCCTTAAGCCTCAACTTCCTCATCTATAAAATGGGGATAATAATAGTACCCATCTTATAGGATTGCTGAGAGAATTGAGTTAGGAGGAAATCAGGTGATATATTTATATCATAGCATTTGGAAAATGAAATATACTGGCTTATTTATGATTATTATTTCCAGCATGTATTTCATAGTTGTCACTTGGTAAATGGTACTTGGCTCATACCTGTGATGCCAGCACTTTGGGACGCTGAGGCAGGAGAATCACTTGAGCCCAAGAGTTTGAGACCAGCCTGGATAACATAGCAAGATCCCATTTCTACAGAAAAATTTTAAAAACTAGCTGGACATGGTGGTACATGCCTGTAGTCCCTGCTACTTGGGAAGCTGAGGTGAAAGGATGGCCTGAGCCCAGGAGTTCAAGGCTACAGTGAGCTCTGATTGCACCACTGTACTCCAGCCTGGGCGATAGAGTGAAACCATCTCTAAATGAATAAAGCAAAAGCACATCAATAACACTAACTTACATGATGTGAAGTCACAGCCCCCTGACAAATTACACACTCCAGCAAGTGAGCCTCAAAGTTTAAATGAACTACTATTATCAAACAAAAAATAAAGAATACAAAAACAAGAAAATAAACAAAAATAAATTAACTACTATTAAGTCCAACTCTTTCCACTAGAACCATCTAGAAATTTCCCATTAGAATTTGTTTTAAAACTAAGCCAAAAAATTCTTATGCTAGCCACTGCTTATCCATGCCAAACATCATAGACAGACAAAAAAGAACTAAAAATACTAATTTCTAGACAAAGCAGCAACGTGACATAACTTGGAAATAGGATCCTGAGCAGGAGGGTAGAGCAGGGCATGGGCTGCAGAGGCAGGGAATACCAACCATGGCCCCGAAAAGCCTCTTGAACTCTGAGCCTCAGCCGCCTGTCTATAAATATAAACAAGCCCTGAGACCAGCTCAGAAAGAAGACGTGAAGACCAAGCGCAGCACCGTGGGACGTGCCCAACCCAGTGCCCGGCTCCAACGGGCTCGACACACGGAGGTGCTGCCCTGGCCATCCTCAGTGGCGCTGGCCACACACCCTGGAGTGTGGAGCCATGGCACTGCTGCCAGGCATGTGGAGGGCAAAGAAGGTGACTTGGAGAAACAATACACAAAGATCTCCTCAAGGCAGATCAATTTTATCTAAGTAATTTCGTATATAATTTAGAAAAGCCACATTCCAGCACCCAGGTTTCTTTGGCTGCTTCTGGACTGGGCACGATGCACACGTGTCACACTGGCACAGGGTGTGTGTCACTGGCACAGGAGGGTGTCACTAGCATGCACGGTGTGTTACATGGTGCTGGGGGGTGTCAACAGCACTGGGGGGTGCGTCACACTAGCACTGCGGGGGGCATCAGCACTTTCCGAGGTACACAGGACGCAGTGGCTGCTTACCCCTTTTTACACTTCTTGAATATTTTCCCAATCTTGTCATGGGGAACATCGTATTTGTCTGAGATCTAAAAGAGGAAAGAAAAATAATTACAAAACCCTGTATCAAGGCTTTAGAAACCAAACAACAAATATATATATATGTATATATATGTGTACATATATATACGTATATATATGTGTACATATATATACGTATATATATATGTGTACATATATATACGTATATATATGTGTGTACATATATATACGTATATATGTGTGTACATATATATACGTATATATGTGTGTACATATATACGTATATATGTGTGTACATATATATGTATATATATGTGTGTACATATATATGTATATATATGTGTACATATATATGTATATGTATATGTGTACATATATATGTATATGTGTACATATATATGTATATATATATGTGTACATATATATGTACATATGTATATATATACATGTACACACATATATACATATGTATATATACGTATATATATGTATATATATACGTATATATATGTATATATACGTATATATATGTATATATATACGTATATATATGTATATATATACACACACACACACACACACACACATGCATAGTCACTCGACTTTTTGTTTTTCAAAAACGCAGACACAAAGACATGGAAAAGCCCCAGCTCGTGTGCTGGGGGCCTCCAGCTCTCCTCAGCCCGGCTGCCCCTCACTGTAATGAGCTTCTGGGGAGCTGTGGCTGTCTTCCTTTCGGGACATAGAGGCTATTTTTAATATTTTTAAAGAGAATGGGTGAATTGCTCCAAGGACAAACAGCTGATTCACTCTAGATCAAACGTTACACTTGTCATCCAGACCATCCTCAGGCTGGCATCACCAGCTTCACCTCAAGCCACAGAGCAAAGCTCAAGGTGGCACTGAGAAACAGAGCCTCAGGTGGCAAACGTGCAGATCCTGCCAACCTTCCAAACACGTGTTTCAGACCAGACCCCAGCTCCAAGTTCTCACCACACAAACCCTTTTTCTTTTCTGTACGAGTGGATGATAATACTTTGTGTTCTGACATGTAAGACCTGTCATGAGTTCCTCGTGAGCCATGAACAGTTATGCTGGCCCAGTAATTCTGCATCCTCTTTACTCTCCTCTTTCCCTGTAATCAGAATTTGCATGTTTTTTGTTTGTTTGTTTTTTGTTGTTTTTTTTTTTTTGAGACGGAGTCTTGCTATGCCAGGCTGGAGTACAGTGGCGGGATCTCAGCTCACTACAACCTCCACCTCCCTGGTTCAAGTGATTCTCCTGCCTCAGCCTCCCGAGTAGCTGGGATTACAGGCGCCTGCCACCAAGCCTGGCTAATTTTTTGTATTTTTAGTAGAGACAGGGTTTCTCCATGTTGGCCAGGCTGGTCTCGAACTCCTGACCTCAGGTGATCCTCCTGCCTCTGCCTCCCAAAGTGCTGGGATTACAGGTGTGAGCCACCGCACCTGGCCAGTTTGCATGATTCTTAAGACATGATGAAGGGTCATCAAAAGGCAAGAAAAGAGAAACCCAGGGGACATCCTAGGAGGCAGGAAGTGACAGTGGGAACGGCGCTGCCTGTGCTGTGGGCAGGCAGGGATGCACTGAGTGACACCCGTGGACTTGGGGCGCCTGGCTGAGAGACCGCACAGCAGCTCCCCAAACCCACGCCCCATCTCCCTGCTTTATTAATCTTCATGGCACTCATCAGTACCTGAAAAATGACCTCAACTTCTTTGCTTATTTTGGTGTCTGTGTCTTCCTAACTACAAAATAAACTCCATTCAGCACTGTGTCACTGACGCGCATAACTCCAGTGCCCGCCACAGTGCCTGGCATGAAGCAAGCCCTTTATCAAGATGTGTTAAATGAATTCAACACACTACAGTCATCAGAGGGAGCTGGGGGAGATGCTTTTAGCCCAATTATGGACACACTTTGAGCTTAAAGATCTCTACGGTCTCTAGGAGACAGGCTGGTAAATATCTGCACTCAGTGCTGATGACATGCGTTTTTCCAGTGCACAGCTGGAACGGGAAATTAACACAGCAGCCTTCCATGTTTCCTCTCTTACTGATATCCCCACAGGGAGCATGGGGTCAGTTTATTCCAGCCTCGTGCTGAGATCCTCGTAAGATGGACTTACGGCCATCACTGGTTACACGTCTACTTTCTCTGCAATAGGCTGTAGTGAGGTCTTGATGCAAGTTCAGTAATTTCCTAGGATTGGGAGTTTTAAAGGTAGACTGAGGAGCCACTGTTTTTATGTATGAAGTTTTTAAGATTGTACTTGATTAAAAATCACTTTTGTTAGCTTCTAAGTGGCTTGCTAAATGGCAATCTCCCTTTAACCACGTATATAAAAATTAAACATTTCATAGGCCATCACAGATGCATTCACTTCAGTGGAACAGGTGTGACTGAGTGACTGTGTGAGTTAAGACCCCTGGGTGAGGATAAAATGTGGGACGCACGACGACTCGAGAAAGGTGTCAGGGATTCCAGAAGGTCTGACAAAGGATTTGGATCATCTGATAAAGTGTTTCAATGAAATCCTATGTACTTGTCCTTTCATTTTGTACAGGGGATTACAGAGTTGATCCTACTTACAGCTTCCATCAAGCCCTTCAAAGATGGGGTTTTGAGCATCAGGGCATCAAAGACTTCTTCTGACTCCTTTCGAACGTAGAGCAGCACTAATCAATCCCCAACCAGGAATAAGGAAGGGAAAAGAGAGGAAAAAAAGGATACAGTTCACATGAGCAAAAGAGGAAAACAGACCACGGTACCAGCTAAAATAAAAACCACATTCACATCAAGGATGACAAGCATCAGCCAATATCAATTCTGTCTTAAGGAACACAGGTTTCAGCTTCTCTGAACTTTGCTCTAAGTCCTAGCTCAAGCTAGATGTCAGTCTGATGGAAGAATTCCCAAGCAAGTGAAACTGGGAAAAATGTGCTTGAACCATTTATGCTTTTGATAGATTCTGAACTCACTTCTGATTTAAAACTCCCACTAAGAAATGGAAACGAACACACCTCTCTTTGGTTCTTCTATCCGGGCCAGCTTGGTAGAAGGAGGGACAGCAAAGTCATCTTCTGTGCCGTACGGCCCCCTTTTCAAGACAGAGCTGCAGTGATCCAAAATATGCCGTTAGTGATTCAACTTAACCAGCTGCATCAACATTAAGGTGTTTTAGAGCCTGTCATGGAACTAGATTTAAAATGACTTTCATTCTTTATCTGGTCCAGCTTCCTTATTTGTGGATGAAAAATCAGGCTAAAGGAAGATCCTGACTCCAGGGCTCATGGATATTTACAGGCAGACATGGGACCACACTCAGGTTCCCTGCAGGTATCTGCACTCTCATCAGATAAAGCTGCCTTCTCGAAGATGAGGCGCTTTGGTTTTTTTTTTTTTTTGTGAGACAGGGTCTCATTCTGTTGCTCAGGCTGGAGTGCAGTGGTGCAATCATGGATCACGGCTCACTGCAGCCTCAACCGCCCAGGCCCAAGCAATCCTTCCACCTCAGCCTCCCAAGTGGCGCACACCACCACACCCAACTAATTTTTTTATTTTTGTAGAGATGGGTTCTCCCTATGTTGCCCAGGATGTTCTCAAATTCCTGGGCTCAAGCGATCTTCCTACCTTGGCCTCCCAAAGTGCTGGAATTATAGGCATGATCCACCACGCCTGGCTGTCTGGTGCTTCTTTTCAGGAAACACTCTATGGAGGAGGCAGGATCTGAGATAACCTTGTACAGGCAGTGACAAAGGAGATGATGTTTCAAAACACTGAGGAAGTGTGAGCAGGAAAATGCAGGGCCAGCCTGGCTCAAACAGAATGGCCCACAGGAAGCCATATCTAGAAATTTCGGGAAGCCGACTCTACCGTGAATGTCCTGATCATTCAGCTCTAAGGAATTAAATTTTACATGGCAGAGAAGAGGGAATAGTTGAAAGGTCTGTGAGACTGAGTGTGGTACCCAAAGTGTGTTGGTACCCAAAGTGTGTGGTCAAGACTGGAGGGGACCCCAGGACCTTCAAGCAGAAAAACCAGGGGAAGGAGGCTGGTATAATCCGAGCACAGGATTCCACAGGTTTAAAATATGGTGGTATCATGGAAGCCAAAAGGTGAGAACAGACCAAGGAGAGTCTGAGGAGAGAAAAACTCAGATCGAACGAACGCCTGGCTACCAGGGGCACCTGGCATGGAGGGTCCAGCAGGTGGTGT
Organism: Homo sapiens; assembly: GCF_000001405.40. Classification (NCBI taxonomy): domain Eukaryota; kingdom Metazoa; phylum Chordata; class Mammalia; order Primates; family Hominidae; genus Homo; species Homo sapiens. The sequence goes on along the minus strand of NC_000002.12, from coordinate 9,994,775 downwards.
CACGGCAAGCAAGAGAAGAGGTAGATAACTGAAAGTGAAGGGAGGGAGTGCTGGATTTGGAGCAGAATGGCCACTTCAGGAGCAGGGGCTGAGCCTCCGAGACTCTGCCACCTCAGTTCCTAACACACAGCAGCCGTCTAGTGAAAGTGCCGGCAGGACTCAAGCCTGAAACACTAAGAATCAAAGGGGCAGTGCAGGCCTCGCCTTCAAAGAGAGGCACGATGGGTAACGTGTGGGGCATGAATGTCCCCAGTATGACGGTTTAAGCCCTGGGAATGGATGGAAGATGAGGGAAGAGGGATGCTGAGGAATGAACTTCCCATGGAAATCTTGGCTCTCTCCATCAGGATGCACCTTTCTGAGGGCAGATAACAGAAAGAGGGAGGCTGAGGCGGGAGGATTGCCTGAGACCAGGATCTCTACAATAATAATAATAATAATAATAATAATAATAATAATAATAATTAGATGGGTGTGGTGGCATGTGCCTGTAGTCCCACCTACTCAGGAGTCTGAGGCAGGAGGATCACTTAAGCCCAGAAGCTCAAGGCTGCAGTGAGCTGTGACTGCACCCCTGCACTCCTACATGGGCCTCAGAGCAAGACCCTGTCTCTAAAAGTAAAATGAAATAAAAACAAAAAGAATCTTTGCCTTGTTGAAAAAGTCCCAGAGCCATCAAGAAGGTTCTGATAGCCCAAAGAGGGGTAGCGTCAGCCCCCCTCCACTAGGCAGCATGAGTAGGGGGCTGCCCGGCACAGGAAGGCAGAGCCCAATTCTGGGACAACCTGAGCATCAAAGTAAATGACTAATGAATCACAGCTTATTGAATAAAACAGGAAACTATGAGTTCATACTGATAGCAATAAATGAACGAGTAAACTGAAAGTTTGATGGGGAATGAGATATTTACAAAGCTACAATGCACCTCCCCAGACAACACTTACTATAAAAGGAGCCACTTTGCAGTGGAGAAGCTGGCAGATACCAGCTTAATCAAGTGACCAAAGAACACCATTAGTAACAGATAAACTGACATCAAGCGCCATCTGCTAGGACACACGGAGAACCCAGCCTGGCCTCTATGACATCCCTGCCAGGCCTGGAATCTAACCATGAGAGAGCAGCAGACACACGCAAACTAAGAAGAGTCTACAAAACAGCTGGTTGTAATCTTCAAAAATATTTGGTCAGAAAAGTTAAGGAGTGGCTTAGTTCTAGACTGAAGAAGATCAACAAACATGACAAACAACTACAATGTGTGATCCTGAACTGGATCCTTTTTTGCTATAAAGGACATTATTGGTGCTAATGAAGCAATGTTAATATTCTAATCTTGACTGTGACACAGGAGGATGTCCTTGTTGGTAGGAAATATATACCACGATATTCAGGAGTGATGGGCCATCAGGCTGGCAACTTATCCTTGATGGCTCAGGGAAAAATGAGTTCTTTGTACTGTACTTGCAGTTTTTCTACAAGTTTGAAATCATTTCCATTATTAAAACAAAACAAAACAAAACATAAATCTTACCCTTCACCCTCCAATTCTTCAGAGGCAATGGGAAGGACCTAAGACCAAAGGAATAGATTGCTTTTCAAATGTATGCTCAAAATGTTTGGCCATAAATGAATTATTCCTAAAATGGAAATAATTTTGAATTTCACCAATCTAATATAAAATCCTTTAGCCTTAGTTTTCAATAACAGATTCTTACAGATGTCTTGAACTCCTTTAACTCAGTGGTTGGGCCAAATCTGGTCTAAAGCCAGTTCATGTAAATAAAGTCTTTACTGAAACAAAGCCACGCTCATTCATTCACATGCTGCTTATGGCCATGTGTGCACTAGTTCGGCAGCACTGAGCAGCACAGTGGAGACCACGGGGCCCCAAAAGCTGAAAACCTTTACGGCCCAGCCCTTCACAAAAACAGTGTGCTAACCCCTGCTCACCTCCAGCTTCCCATTAGAAACTAAATGTACTGGCCATGGCCCCAAGAACTCTGACGAATCTTTAGTCCTTATAAATCTGTCCACAAAGTGCATGAAAGACTGTCTTTTTGATATTTATTTGCACTCAGCATAAAACCATGCTTCATTCTACTGAAGTTTCTATCCCTTGTAAGCCTTTGCCACAAAACAGGGCGTGACCATTTTTTAAAATTTAGTTTTAGTTGCCAAGACATGGCCATTGGTAACTACACGTGGCAAGGACGGCTCAGTAACTGGAACTGTGAGAAAAGCCTTCGGATGTTCTTATGTTATAAGAGCTCCTTAACCTAGGTATTGCCCCAAGTTAAGTTTAAAAAGATGACAGGCTCAAACTCCAAATTATGCTACTATTCTAGAATCTTTTAAATGAGCTAGGATATGTAGGTATGAAGAACGAACGAATGAATGAATGAATACAAACAGAATAAAGCTGACAGGCTGCACTGCACCTTGAAATCAGCGATGCTTACCATTTTTATTGCACGGGCATCATGTCACCCCAGCAGAATATTCCAAAGAGCTGACTAACTGGTCAAACCTCACTCAATTTTGGCTTCTGTTTCCCATGAATAATGCCAAAGAATTTCCTTTTGCCATGCCTTCCTTCCTGGTAACCTCCCCTGGGATCCTGGTTACCTACATGAGTGCCCCGCTGCAAGTTGGCAAAGTGCACGTCAGGAATGAAGAGGACAGGCTGAGTATCGAGATCAATGAAGGGTTTGAAAACTGTGATATCCATTCGCTTGTGAGAGGGAAGCAGTGGCACTTTAACATCAGAAACTGAAAAAAAAAAAAATTAAAAAAGAGGAAGCCAAGGTCAAAGGATTACATACAGACTGGATGCAGGCCACAGAGTGCTCGCCTCTGAGTAAGATACTCCAAGTGTAGCACTCTGTAAGATACAACAGGGCACGCTGCCTGCCTAAGAATCCCAGTTTATGTAAAGGAATTTGTTGTGTGTATTTCCACTAAAATCAACTGAATGTCTTATCAAATCAAAAGGGAAAAGGTATCTTCAAACACACACAGACGCATATCCACAGAAGATTTGCGACAGAGGCAGAGCGTATTTAGTTTTCATTGGAAAGGCTAAAATGTATAATTGTGTAAACATAATTTGGAAGAAATTTCACCTCAGCTGTCCTCATTAAATAATTTACATTCCAACACTCATGGACCCATTGACTTCAGAACATATCAAGAAACTCGACAATGAGGTGAAGTGTAAGCATGCCCATCCAATTTTTAATTTAGTAAGTTAGAGACTCCATCTTCCCCAATGATCTGGCTGGCCCTGAAGTACTCAGTAATGAGGTCTCCTAGTTAGTCAGCTGCTCTCTGAAGTGTCACTGGGAGTTTGTACTTTGATACCAGTAGGAGAATCCTGACTAAGGTGTTGCAGGGCAAATGTCTGCTGAGCCAGACAGACCATTCAAAAGAGCTGCCAGAAGCCCATGTACTACAGATGGAACCCTACAGGCACAGAACAGCACTTTCTTCATTTTAGATACAAGATTTTGTGAATATGAATACTGGTCACAATTAAAAAAAAAAGAAAACAAAGCCTTCCTGGTGAAATGTCCAAACAGAAGCCCTATAGATTCTGCAAATATTAAAATACTATACTTTAGATACAAAATATGATCTTACTTGGAGTTAAGACATCTTGAATTCTCAAGACCATTATTATTACTTTAAAAAATCTAGATAAGTCCCAATTTTAACAGTGATTCATGCAGAACGTGTTGTCATTTTTCAAGACTGGAAACAGAAGTCTGAACTAGAACTGAGAGCCAAAAACGCTGAGGTCGGGAAAACCCAGGGATCTATCCTGTAGTCCCCAGGAAAACCCCTCCCGCTGAGCTGGCATCTGCTGCTGATCTGAGGAAGAGGCAGTGCCACACTGCAGAACAGGAAGAACACCCACTGTCTTCTGCGTGCAAACTCCAGCCACCATTCTCAATGGAAAAGGTCTGAAGCTTGCCGGGAACATTTCTACTTACAGGCATTCACCTGGGAGCTGGGGTCAGGACACTTGCCTTTTCTTTTGCTTTGCTTTCGTTCTTCATCCCTGATTTTCCGCTCAGCTCCCTGTAGGTTAAGAGAAGACAAGATATGATTCTGTTTTCCAATCTTCTTTAAAATATTTAACTCTTATCCTGACCAATGGAAGAAGAAGCCTTTCTCCCTTCTCTGGACAGGAACCCCATTACTTACTATATTCATGAGGCTTATCATAGTAGTTTCTTCTAAAAAGATTAGTCTTAAAATTATTTTTAATTCTATGAAATCACAGGGAACAACATTTATTTGAAAAACAAATAAAGCAAAATTCCGGCCGGAAGCGGTAGCTCATGCCTGTAATCCCAGCACTTTGGGAGGCCGAGGTGGGTGGATCATTTGAGGTCAGGAGTTCGAGACCAGCCTGGCCAACATGGTGAAACCCCACCTCTACTAAAAATACAAAAATTAGCCAGGCGTGGTAGCGGGCACCTGTAGTCCCAGCTACTTGGGAGGCTGAGGCAGGAGAACTGCTTGAACCCCTGAGAGGTGGAGGTTGCAGTGAGCTGAGATCACACCACTGCACTCCAGCCTGGGTGACAAAGCGAAACTCTGTCTCAAAAAAAAAAAGCAAAATTTCTCCTTATAATGGATGTGGTCGTGTTAAATGAAAGCTGAGAAAATCTGTGAGTATACCACATGCCTGCAAAGACACAAGGGTATTTTCCCTTTGTCCAGTAGGAAAAGGAAATGAAAGAAAAAACCCAAGTTGGCCCTACTCTTGAGTATACTCTCCTATATGGCCAAGGTTATCACTGAAGGCTGTGATTCAGTCCAAGGGCCTGGTATCAACCATGTGGCAGATCTAACCAAGCAGAATTCACAAAGTGAAGATGGAACTAGAAATATGCATCATCACTTAAAAGAGAACAAGTGGGCTGGGCGCGGTGGCTCACGCTTGTAATCCCAGCATTTTGGGAGGCCGAGGTGGGTGGATCCCTTGAGGCCAGGAGTTCACGACCAGCCTGGCCAACATGGGAAACCCTGTCTCCATTAAAAATACAAAAAATTTAGCCGGGCGTGGTGATGCATGCCTGTAATCCCAGCTACTCGGGAGGCTGAGGCAGGAGAATCAGTTGAACCTGGGAGGTAGAGATTGCGGTGAGCTGGGATCGCACCACTGTACTCCAGTCTGGGTGACAGAGTGAGACTCCCTCAAAGAAAAAAGAGAAAAAGTGTACTCAGAGTCCTAGAAAAAGACACTCGTGTACTCTGTATATCAACTGCTCAAAGACCGATAGTACCATGCAGCTGAACCCACAACAACAAAGTTCAAAAGAACCATATTAGTAACAAACACGGCCCAAAATCAGGCAATGAAGCATATTTAAAAACATTACATTTAATCATTTTGCTTGACTTATTGGAATTAATTTCTGGATGGTACAGATTTCTTTACATAGTGCTCCAGTTAAGGATGAACTGGTAGCTTATTTTTCTGTTAAATAAATTTGCTGAGAGCAAAAAGAGGCAATAAAAATCCCACTGATCTTATTAGCATTATTATATAATAAGGACCACATTTTAAAAACAGAATATAAAACCACCTTCTGCCTTTTCTAGAAGGTGGTAGCATACTAACATAGTAAATATACAACCTGCTTATAAAAATTGCTATGTAACATTGACACAACAGTCCCTCCCTGACACAGAAAAACAGGTAAATATCCCCAATCTCCTAGCCATTATTGTATGAAGTTGGTCTGGGTCTCTCTGTCCCTTCTAACAAGTCTAACCATAACTTCATTCTGATGATAAACACCACCCTCCTCCAAAAGGTGGAGGGTGCAGTCCTATTACAAAATAGGACTGTCCCTCCTTATTTATCTGTGTATCTATAAAGAATAAGGTATTTCTGTTTCTACATAACATGGAGTAACACAGATCAGATTTACCCTCCACCCTGAAACAACAACAAAAACCAGACGAAATGCAGAAACAAGAACGAGAAGGCCCTGACCAGCAGGCAACTAAAGAACAGTGATCCCTGGGAGACAGGAACCCGCGGCAAGTCCTCAAACCATGCTGGCTGCTGCCTTCAGAGTTCCCAGGCCATGGCATGGGAATTCTCATGTATTCTCAGTCCAGGTGCCCAGGTTTGAGGAGACAGAGCTGGAAGTCCACAGAGACCAAGGCAGCAGGACAAAGTACCAAAGAGGAAAGAGCTCCGAGATCTTCAGTGAGCCCCACTCCAGTACGTGGCCGGGTACCAACAGGTACACAGGTACCAGGAAGCTGCCCAAGGCTGGGGGTCAGGGTTGGGAACTGACATCCGAAAAGATTAGAGAAACAGTGCCCGAAACTCACACAGAGCCAGAAACAGTACCTGTTCCCACCATATGGGATGGACTGGAAATCCCTGTCATGAGGATTATTACAAGGAAGTAATGTGAGAAAACTTGTAATGAGCAGGGCACTTGGTAGAATATTCAGAAAAATCCTGCTCAGGAGCGCGGGATGATTAGCCTTACACTGAGCACAGCTCCAGATCCGCCTAGCAAATCATAGACATAAGATCTTAACGAGCAGATGGTTTCCGAGCAACTTAACCAGATTTCAGGACAAAATTCAAGGAGATTCACAATAATACAAAAATGTCGAGCACCCAGGAAGGTGAAAATCACCAAAATGCCACACAAAGAGTAAACATCATCCAAAAAATCCAAAAAAGGCCTCAGGCTCATTCACTGTGCTCAGCCACTGTGCTTTGTGTACCTGATGCAAAAGCCAGGGTGACAGACCAGGCCTCTGACAGCAAACATACTTCCAGTTACCTAGCCCCTCTAAAAATCTCAATAAAAGACAAGCTCCCTTAATAGGATGAAAAGAACTGCCCCCGTCCCCTGCCAAAAATAGGTCCAATATTTTTGAGTAGGAAAAACTCAAGATCTTGCTGTCTTAGTTCAATGGAATGTCCACTCATCCACGGTTGCTCCCCAGTTTCGAGCCAGCACAAACTTTCCCCTCAAGACTCGACGCACCTTCCAGACTCTCCCTGCATTGAATCCAGCTCAGCCCCTGGCTCTGCACTGGGCAAAAGTAAGCCTCTCTTCTCCAGATAAAAAAAGAGCCACACCAGGGAAAACAGGTCATGCAGAGATCCCTCTGGGCCCTGCACTTTTTCTTCTTGCCTCCCTGTGGCTGTAGAGAAGAATCCGCACCTCTCCTTCCCCATGCTTATTGAAGGGCCTTTGGGGAAGAGGGCTGTGAAGGCACAGCACTTTGTGATTCAGCCACTCGGACACAGCTAAGGAAGAGCTCCCGTGCAGGGGTGACTGCCTACACTTCCAGCAGCTGGGCTCAGAGGGTCCTGTGTGCACCTCCTTTACTTATCAGACATGCCCAACAAAACGTACTTATCAACCCTTCTAATCTATCAGTTAAAACGTAATTTCAAAAATCTCTACATAATGTGTCTTTGCAAGGCCAAAACAATAATTAAAAGCTATTTTAGGCCAGGCATGGTGGCTCACACCTGTAATCCCAGCACTTTGGGAAGCCAAAGTGGGCGCATCACATGAGGCCAGGAATTCAAGACCAGCCTGGCCAACCTGGCGAAACCCTGTTTCTATACAAAAATTAGCCAGGTGTGGTGGGTGTGCATCTGTAATCCCAGCTACTGGAGAGGCTGAGGCACAAGAATCATTTGAACCCGGGAAGCAGAGGCTGCAGTGAGCCGAGACTGCGCCACTGCACTCCAGCATGGGCGACAGCACCAGACTCTGTCTCAAAAAAAAAAAAAAGCTGTTTTACATTTTGGGAAGCCAAGATGGGAGGATCACTTGAGGACCGGAGTTCAAGACCAGCATGGGAAACATGGCAGGACCCCCATCTCCACAAGAAAATTAAAAATTAGCTGGGTGTGATGGGATGTGCCTGTAGTCCCAACTACTCAGGAGACTGAGTTTGGGGGATCGCTTGAGCCCAGGAGGTTGAGGCTACAGTGAGCAGTGATTGCACCACTAAATTCCAGCCTGGATGACAGAGTGAGACCTCATCTCTGATAAAGGCTGGGCGCGGTGGCTCACACCTGTAATCCTAGCACTGTGGGAGGCTGAGGTGGGCAGATTACCTGAGCTCAGGAGTTGGAGACCAGCCTGGGGAACATGGCGAAACCCTGTCTCTACTAAAAATACAAAAAACTAGCCGGCCGTGGTGGTGTGCACCTGTAATCCCAGCTACTGGGAAGGCTGGGGCACAAGAATTGCTTGAACCCAGAAGGCAGAATTGCAGTGAGCCGAGATTGCACCACTTCACTCCAGCCTGGGAGACAGAGGGAGACTCTGTCTCAACAATAAATAAATAAATAAATAAAAATAATTTTAAAAGTTATTCTATATTAGCAGCTATATTCTCATTTTGACATTAAATATTAAAGAGACCCTGGTCTTTTTCCATGAGTGTGTCTCAAACACTTGTTCCAAGCATCCCTGCCGATCTTACCTTGTCACAGAAGACCTTGATCTGGCAGTAGGCCCGGTGCACAGGCTTGTTGCTGCGGTTGTTGTAACTATAGGTATCAACTTGAATGTTAAGAGGCAACCCCTTCACTCCCTTCTGGGAAGAGAAATCTGTGCTTAAGCAGTTCACAGAGATGAAAACCTGCCAAGGGAAGAGAAGGTTCCATAAGCAACAGGCACCAAGTCAAACCTAGCACAGCTCATGAAAATATTAACATCACTGAAATTACTCAAGTCTATTTTAAATGAGAAGCTCAGCTTCTCATTTTTTAAAAAAGGGTTTTTAAAAAGAGGTGATCAGGGGTTTATTTTAAAACTGCTTTTGGTCATAGAAATAGCAGACCTTAAAGAGGAGGAAGAGTCGGCAGCTCTGAACCTCTGCTTATGTTCCCTTCCAGAATCCCTATTTAATATCAGCTAGGACAGGGGAAGAGGCTGGTTAGCTTTCCTGATGTCATTTTCCAAAGTTACCAATAGCATAGCTCCCTCTGCAGCTGTTCTGTAACTTAGTAAAAACTTCCTAGGAATCCACCTATATTTGCGTTGACACCACCTCTTAGGATAACCTGTAGTACTCTGTGTCCTCATATTTTAGAACTTATGACATCAGTGTTCCTCTAATCCACAATTTTTATAAGATTCCAATAAAGTTCTCTCTCAATCTTTGCCCATGCAGACTAAACAGTCCTCATTTCTTTCCAGTTTGTTCTTATTAACCTTTTGGTTATCAAATCACATTGGGCCCAGTGTTCAAGGGATGATTTGTAATTTACAATTATTTCCATACTCCTTTCTAGGTATGGAAATATCAGTGCAAGGGTCTTTTATTTAAACATAACTGGATTCTTTACATGCCCAGATTAAACCTAAGACAAAAGTGGTAACGTTTGTTAATAGGCTGAGAACTTAACGATCACTAAACACCCAGGAATGTGTTCCTCATTCAAGAAGTTCCACACAGATGTGGTCAAAACTCCCTAGAATAACCCGGGAAGATGTTATGCTGGTGGGTCTATTTCCATGAGAGAAACGAAGAATCCAATTCCTTAAGCAACAGTTCTACTATTCAATCATGAAATTACTTCAGAGAAACTGTCTAAACCAGACTTTGAGCTTCTCAACCCACAGTTTCAAAAGTCTGCTTTCCTATCAGTGCCCAAGCCACCACTTCCCACAGGAGCAATTTTTTTTTTTTTTTTTGAGACAGTCTGGCTCTGTCACCCAGGCTGGAGTGTGGTGGTGTGATCTCAGCTCACTGCAACCTTTGCCTTCTGGATTCAAGCCATGCTCCCACCTCAGCCTTCCAACTAGCTGGGATCACAGGTGTGCGCCACCACGCCCAGGTAATTTTTGTATTTTTTTTTTTTTTAGAGACAGGGTTCCACTATGTTGCCCAGGCTGGTCTCCAACTCCTGAGCTCAAGCAATCCTACCATCTTGGCCTCCCAAAGTGCTGGGATTACAGGCAGGAGCTACCACACTCAGCCCACAAGAACAATATTTAAAGATGACTTCCAAGTGCAGTAGGTTAGCACCGGCTACACTCACTCCAGCTGCTAGCATGTGCCTGAGCAATGCACTAAGCCGGCGAGAACCCATCCAGGGGGATCCCCCACCTTCGAAATGGAAGGCAGGAGATGTCACACCCTTCTCTCCTGGGCTCCAAATCAGTTATCTCCCGCACATTTTCTCAAAAGTTAAAATAAGCTGAGTCACATTATGAATATGACATTGGAAGCTGCTACTTAAGAGGAACCCAGTGTACAGCAAATAAACATGTGCCATTTCCCCACTATTTTTATCACTGTGGATTTTAAAAATGTTTTTGAGCTCCCTTTCAACTAGTTTTAGAATTTACTGCGGATGCATGTGCACCACATAGTGGACATTATTGGAATTACAGTTTTTAAAACTAAGACTGGCCCATTTCAGACCCTTCAACCCCGTGAGCTGACAGGGGAAGATTCCTTCTAGCCCCTGGGTCAACAGCCAAGAATGGGTCCACCACAAGCAGCACTGGGTGTCACTGGCTGAACTAGGGCAGATGGGGAAAAATTTAAGTTATAATGGGGTTGGGGGGCAGCTATAGTAACTTTTTTTTTTTGAGATGAAGTTTTGCTCTTGTTGCCCAGGCTGGAGTGCAATGGCGCAATCTCGGCTCACAGCAACCCTGCAACCTCCGCCTCCCGGGTTCAAGCGATTCTCCTGCCCCAGCCTCCTGGGTAGCCAGGATTACAGGCTTGCACCACCACACCTGGCTAATTTTGTATTTTTAGTAGAGACAGGGTTTCACTATATTGGCCAGGCTGGTCTCGAACTCCTGACCTCATGATCCGCCCACCTCGGCCTCCCAAAGTGCTCAGATTACAGGTGTGAGTCACCACTCCCGGCCACATTTTTTTTTTTAAACACTTCAAGTACAATCTCTAAATCCACAAATCAGAGGTAAGGAGAGTCTGTGGAATGCATTCAGGTTTAAAAAAAAAAAAAGTCCATGCAAACAACTAAGCAAAGTAACCAAACCACCATATATTTTTCAATTTACAACCAATGGAAAATCCGAATTTTTTCTGTCATTCTAGGCCACGTGGCTCAATTCCTAGTTCAAAAACAGCTGCCTGGGAAAGTTCGACTTCATCCTCACGATTCCAGGAAGTGATATTCCCTTTACAAGAAGATTTCACAGTAATCCAACCCGAAACCTAACCTCCCCTTGCTTCCCAGTTTCAAGTTTCTATTCAAAAAAGAAATGAGCAGGGGCCAAATCCCAGGATCGGGGCAAACATGGAGCTTTGGCACAGCTTTGCCCATGCTGGTGTGCATTCATGATGATTTGCAGTCTCTTACTGATATACATTTCTCTCTTATTCTAAAAAATCAATTCTTCCCAAACTTGGCAGTTTTCTAAATGTATTAAAGAAAGTTGACAATGGTCCTAATTCAGCATTAAAAAAAAAATGCTACCTTGCCTAGATAAATACACAAACATCCCAGGAGAAGGTGACAAAGCTGTGAAACGTAAGCACTGCAGGCCAGGAACATGAGAGACAAGAACAGTGGGCCGAAGATGCCAAAGAGAAGATGGGGCCGGTGCTCACGATGCCCCTGCTCTTAGGAAAGGATCCCAGGTAAGAACACAGATGATCAAGGGGATATGCTGGTGTGGAGGGGACATACGTGCCGGGTTTAACCCTCAACCAAAGTCTACAAGGGGAGCCACATGCACAGCCGCTTAGGTCTGAACATCAAAGCATTTGAGCTGGCCCCTAACTAAGCACTGCGACCCAGTGCAAGGGTCCTTACCTGTCAAAGGGCAGGGTGAGTTCGTGGATCTCTAGATGACTACCTCTGGACGTCTATGATTATATACTTATATTGACAAAGGATGAATCCTATATCCATACTGTTTTTACTGGTGACAATAATTTTGTGTAATACATTTACCTATCAACTTTTTATAAGTCATATTAGTTTAAAAATACCAAGTAAGTTGCCAGTTAAAGTCATCACAATAACTACTTATGTAAAACTTAAGAATCTCATACGGCAATGGCTCTCAAAGTGTGATGCCAGGAGCATCAGCACGAGGGAACTTGTTGGAAATGAAGATCCTGGTGCCCACCCCAGACTCACTGAATCCGAAAACTCAGGGAGAGTGAAGCGGGAGGTTAACAAGCTCTCCAGCTAATTCTATGCACACTAAAGTTTCAGAATCCTGTCTGTACAACAGTGCCTCACAACTCTGACTGAATTAGAATCGCCTGGCAGGACTTTAAAACATACGGATGTCAGATGTCCTGGCTACACCCCAGAGATTCTGATTTCATTGTCCTGGAATGGGTTTGAGATGCTGGGACTGTTTTTTTTGGTGCTTCCTACCAAATTCGAGTAATTCGAGTGATTGGCCAAGATAGAAACCACTGCGGTAACGTGATTAGTCTTCTAGCTGCTTATACACTGTGATCCACAAAAGGTCTACCTTGGCTCCAAAACTCTGAGATTATTAAAGCAAGTTCCAATACATGGTTTCCTTTCCTTAAAGAGTTAAGATATTTTTATATGTATTTATATGTATGCCAGCAAGTTTTTAACATTAAACAAAATTTTTACAGAGGCATAGCCCTATCAAATAAGAATATTCATGTAATCAAAAGAAAGATCTAGGTTAAAGCCATTTTGTTCAACCCTGCTATTCAATAAGGTCATGCAAATCCTCAAATACTCAAGAGTTCTTAAGATATTAACCACAAAAATAAACAAGTACACACACATTAAACTCTCCCGCTTATTTTTATTACTCATGTTATGTTTGATTTCATAGGGATTTGCATTTGTGGATGAACTTGTGTGTTCAGCTGAAGGCTGAAGTTGTAACTCTGAACCACAGGACAAAGCATGATGTGATGTCTTCCTCACTAAATGGCAATGTCCTTGAGAAGACCCTGTCTTAATCATCTCTGTGTCTCACGCCTGGCTCATAACATATGCTTATTGCATGCTTTTAATAAAAGGAGGAAAATGCATACTGGGTAGTAAGTAAGTATAGCTAAGAATAAATAAAATGTAGATATATAAAATATCTTTTCATACCCTTATCTAAATCAGAAGCGACTATTTTTCTGTAAAGGGCCCGACATTATTTTCACATCCGTAGGTCATATGCAACTACTCGACTCTGCAGTAATAGTGTAAAAGCAGCCACGGATATGAGTGTGGTCGTGTTTCGATAAAACTTGATTTATATAAGCAGGCACCTAGCTGGCCCGCGCCTCAGAGCTGTCGTCTGCTGACCAGTGATCTAAACCATCCTCTAAGTTGCTTGGACATTAATTTATCCTTACATCATCACGATGGAGTAAATAGGGAGGAGGTGTATTTCCCTGTTTGTAATTGAGTATTTCCACTTTCCGCATAAGCGACTTCCTGGCAAGACATCCAGTGTGTGCTGTGCCCATGTGTCACTCGCCTGTGGAAACACACTGTCCCTATCAGCCCAGCCCACACTCATGGAGGGGACCAGGTAAGTTCTGAGGGAGAAGTGCAGCTTCCGGGGAGCTTTATGGTCAGGAGGGTGGCCTTCTTTAGTCTGCAACTGAACAGTTTTGTTTAATGTTAAAAAGCTGCTGGCATACACATATGGCGAGTGTAGAAACACAAGCCAGAGCTCTCCCTTGGGTCCAGTGGGAGCAACAAGATGGGCACACTTTGTTCCTCAGTTTTAACACTTCCCATGGATTCTACCTAATGGGCAGCCCCGAGTGAGCAAGACCACAGGGCTGTTCACCCAAATCCAGGTAAAACCAGGCTCGGACCATTCCTATCCTGCAGACAAATTATCACTGTGATTACAGAAAACACTCCACTATCTTTACAGAGGATGGGAAAGAGGTAAAAAGTAAGATGAATGAGCACACATCCAACTCCTCCTCTATAAAACATACAGGAATGCACGCACACTTAAAAAGCCCCATTTCAGAATCGGAGTAGGCTGAATGATTTACAACCTTCCTTCTCTAGAAAGATGTGAAGATCTCTGACATAAAACTTTAAGAATTCAAAAGATGACCTTTTCTGTTTTCATACTTCCTTCCCAATTATTTTGAGAGAAAACATTTGTATTCAAATAATTAGAACATTAATCTCAAAAGATGAGCAACTACTATTCCCACCCAAATTATTGGAAGAGAAAAAAACTAACCACAAACATAAACTGCTGAACAGGCCAAGGTGCTCTACAAGATTCCTTTTTAAATGTCTAGCCCATTTTTCTAAGGACAGTTCCTCATTCCTGACCAAGAATTTATGCACTTAGAATGTTTCAAAATATTTAATTCTTTTTTTTTTTTTGGTTTTCAAACCTCAGTTTGAAAATGAGAGGAAAACAAAATAAAATGATTTACATAATCAAAGGATTAACTGATACAGACTTTTATTCTAAATGCTCACAAGCACAGAAACCAACAAGAAATCAGATCTTGAACGAATTTATAATGATTCTTCCAGGAAGCACCGCGGCAGCCACATAAGCGCTGTTCACACCTGGCTGCGTCTGCCAAGTTAGTCCTCAAAGAGAAAACAAGGAGGAAAAAGACAAAAAAAAAACAAACCACCAAACCCAGTGTGCTCAAAACACAGATCACCATCAGAGGTTCATTTCACAGCAGGTATAGGGAAAGTAACTGAGAATCAATTTTATAAAACCCCCAACACACCCACTCCTTTCGAGCTTTTATCAACACCACAAACCAAGACACAATTCCAGTAAAGCTTGCTAACTGTCTAGTCTAAAGAGAGTAGTCAGGAACGTGAACTTTAACAAGTGAATTTAATTTGTGGAGAGAAATTATAGAAATATTTTTAAATCTCCTAATTCACAGAAAAGAATGCATGAACAAAGCACTTGGAGTCCATGAGTCAAAAGTTACAAAAACATCAAGTGGTGAAGTTAGGAGCTAAGGGATGCAAATGTTTAATACATATCAGGGTATTTTTCATGAACTAGCAAAAAGGCTGTTGCTCTTTAAAAATTACCACAATGACAGTAATACTCATTCTGTATTATCATTCACCTATAAGAAAATAATCCAACATCCAAATATTAGTCTTAATTTTTTTTTCCACTGAGAAATTTAGGTAGAATTTTACATGGTTTTGTAACGTTGCTGCTATAATGCTGAAAATAATTTCCATAAGACTTTCATAATATAGTTTGCTCAACTGAGTAGAATAAAACAATTTCAAAATTTGAGCACTGGCCAGGCAGTGGCTCACACCTGTATGTGGGAGGATTGCTTGAGTCCAGGAGTTTGAGACCACCCTGGGCAACATAGCGAGACCCTGTCTCTAAAACAGAAAATAAAATAAATTAGCTGGGCATGGTGGTGTGCACCTGTAGTCCCAGCTACTTGGGAGGCCAAGGCGGGAGTATGGCTTGAGCCTAGGAGGTAGAGGCTGCAGTGAGCTGTGTCATGCCACTGCACTCCAGCCTGGGCAACAGAGTGAGACCCTGTCTTTAGAGTAAAAAAAAAAAAAAGATTGAACATTTAGATCCATTAAGACTAATATGAAGCAACTTTATGACAGTTTGGATAAGGTTTCCTTTTTTTTTTTTTTTTGAGAGAGAGTCTTGCCCAGGCTGGAATGCAGTGGCGCGATCTCGGCTCACTGCAACCTCCACCTCCCGGGTTCAAGCGATTCTCGTGCCTCAGCCTCCTGAGTAGCTAGGATTACAGGCGCGCACCACTACATCTGGCTAATTTTTGAATTTTGTTTTTTGAGAGGGAGTTTTGCACTTGTTGCCTAGGCTGGAGTGCAATGGCGCGATCTCAGCTCACTGAAACCTCCGCCTCCCGGGTTGAAGTGATTCTCCTGCCTCAGCCTCCCATGTAGCTGGGATTACAGGTGCCCGTCACCACACATGGCTAATCTTTGTATTTTTAGTAGAGACGGGGCGTCACCATGTTGGCCAGGCTGGTCTCAAACTCCTGACCTCAGGTGATCCATCTGCCTCGGCCTCCCAAAGTGCTGGGATTACAGGCATGAGCCACCATGCCCGGCTGGTTTCCTTTTTAAAGACCTGATTTTCAAACTAAAATAGAGTAAGTTCATAAGACCAAGTGAGATGTCACAGGTGCTCATCGAGGCAGCATCATCTCAGTGCTTGGGAAAATGAAAGAGCCTAGCTAGGAAAAACCACTAATAGCCTTCAATGGTTCTCTGCAGTGTGAAGGCAGGAATCCAAATTCTCAAGGCCTTCCAAAATCCAGCTCCAAATGTCCATTCTCGTTCACATCTCCTTTACAGGCACTTCCAAACTCTGGGGATCTTCATTTTCTCTGCCCCTGAATTTTAAAATACCCTTTCCTCCATCGTCTACTGACATACATTTCCCTTATGGATAAAGATCCAGCACCAACGGATACACCCTTTCTCATCACCATCCCCTCATCTGCCCAAAGGGAATCCCTCACACTCTCAGCTGTGTCCACTGCACTCTATGTACAGCTCCCTTTTACCACTTACCAAGTTGGACTAAGTAGCTTTTTCCTTCCCTCAAACTCCCTGTGAGGACAGATGATATGGTTTGGCTGTGTCCCCACCCAAA
The DNA here is from genome assembly GCF_000001405.40 of Homo sapiens. Taxonomy (NCBI): domain Eukaryota; kingdom Metazoa; phylum Chordata; class Mammalia; order Primates; family Hominidae; genus Homo; species Homo sapiens. The sequence continues at coordinate 9,978,162 of NC_000002.12, read as the reverse complement.
TCTCATCTTGAATTGTAGCTCCCATAACTCCCACGTGTTGAGGGAGGGACCCTGTGGGAGATAACTGAATCATGGGGGCGATTTCCCCCATACTGTTCTCGTGGTAGTGAATAAGTCCCATGAGATCTGATGGTTTTATAAGGGGTTTCCCCTTTTGCTTGGCTCTCATTCTCTCTCGCCGGCCGCCATGGAGGACGTGGCTTTCGCCTTCCGCCATGATTTTGAGGCCTCCCCAGCCACATGGAACTGTGAGTCCATTAAATCTCTTTTTATTTATAAATTACCCAGTCTCGGGTATGTCTTTATCAGCAGCATGAAAATGGACTAATACACCAGACTATGAGATTCTTTAGGGAAATGGCCACTTCTCTATACTCTCATTGCCTCGGTCAAGGTCATCACCTGGATCAAGGACACGGAGGGCGGAGTGAGAACCTTAACATTCACCTCTGTTTAACTCCTGTCCCTGTAACACTGCAGTTAGTAAGTTCCCTAGGTCCCTTGAAGGCAGGGATGTTGTTCATTTTAAAAATTTATTCCAGCTGGATGTGGTGGCTCATGCCTGTTAATCCCAGCACTTTGGGAGGCCGAGGCGGGCGGATCACTTGAGGCCAGGAATTTGAGACCAGCCTGGCCAACATGGTGAAACCCTGTCTCTAACAAAAATATAAAAACTTAGCTGAGTGAGGTGGCGCATGCCTGTAATCCCAGTTAGTCGGGAGGCTGAGGCACGAGAATTGCTTGATCCCCGGAGGCGGAGGTTGCAGTGAGCTGAGATCATGCCACTGCACTCCAGCCTGAGTGACAGAGCAAGACTTCGTCTGAAAAAAAAAATTTCTTCCAGTGTTTATTATTATCTGTTATTAAATGGTACTGAATTAAATACTAGTAATGAGAGACAGAAAAACGATGGGCATACAAAATCTACATACTGTCTCCAAATCTTATTTCAACAAGTTTCAAATCCTCATAAAACTTATAAATACATAACAGTGCCCCCACCAAATAAACACAAACAATAAAAAGAGCTAATATAAAGTTACAGAAATTAAACATTTTCTTCCAACCTCTAGTAGAGGACCCCCTAAACAATAAAATGGCTACAAATCAGGCAATGAAATGAAAAAGAGACAGATTGCTTAATATTAGGCAATTGCCAAATATTAGTGTCACTTCAGAATCTTAATAATGTATTCCTAAACATTTGCAGTAGCTTACCACAGTCTATGTGAAAAAGACAACATTCCTTAGCATTCAAGCTATTTATGTGACTCCAATCCACCTTTCCAGCCATACTTTGTACCCCACCTGTAACAGTATTTCCCAAATGTGAATACTACACACATCCTCTTTAAAAGGCAAAAGTTGCTTCACCCCTAAAAATATACCCAGATCTGAGTCTGAGAAATGCCACTCTATTCAAATGACTGCAAAACGTCTGATCACCCAGCACCCCAAGACCTCATGTGGCCTTTATCTGGCCTCAACCCCAAACCTAAGCGCACACCCTGGCACTGACGTCTCCTGGCAGCATTTGACTCTGGTGGCATGCAGGATACGCTTCTGACTAAAAAGTCTCATCACTGACTTGAAAACACATTACACAGCCTCAAAGAACCTCCAACCCCAAGACCCTTGGGGTCACAACATTACACAGCCTCAACGAACCTCCAACCCCAAGACCCTTGGTCCACAGACCCCATGGATTGGAGACAAGCTCCTTGCGAGGGCACCCCAGGGCCTTCCTCTGCAGTCCCCACCACTCCTGGCTCAGAAGACATCAAAGGTCACAGCTCATTCTGGGTTCTGCATGCCAGCCTGGTTCCCACTATCCTTTAGGAACCCCCACCACCACCCCCGCCGAGGGTCACTTGAGAAGTGTGACGAATCTTCCTATTCCAAGTGAGGTTCCCTTCCTTCGTGTCACCTGCAACCCTACGCTTACTAGAGTGCAATCCTCCCACTGAGTTCTGAGTTTTGGGTCATGGATTACTCATCTTTCCATTCCAAGAGCATCTTGGCAGTGCCTGGCCAATAAGAAATACACGTTTCCTGGACGAATGACTCACTTTCCTGAACTCCAGCCAAATAAAACTACATGCTGCTGTGGTATTTGTGCTACTTTTATACCATTCTTTGACCCTCAAAAACACCTATGAAATTGGTACTATTTTGGACCCATTTTACAGATGAGGAAACCAAGACTTAGAGGTTAGGTAACTTGTCCAAATCCACAAGTTATTTGTGTTTATTATTTTTTGTTTTTTTGTTTTTTGAGACAGAGTTTTTTTTCTTGTTGCCCAGGCTGGAATGCAATGGTGCAATCTCGGCTCACTGCAACCTCCAACTCCTGGGTTCAAGCGATTTTCCTGCCTCAGTCTCCCAAGTAGCTGAGATTACAGGCACGCATCACCACACTCAGATAATTTTTTTTTTTTTTTGTATTTACTAGAGACGGAGTTTCACCACGTTGGTCAGGCTGGTCTCGAACTCCTGATCTCAGGTGATACACCCGTCTCGGCCTCCCAAAGCGCTGGGATTACCGGCAAGAGCCACCGCGCCCGGCCTGTGTTTATATCTTTCTTTTAAGCTGACTTGAACTCCTAGGTCATCTGGGTAGAATCCAAAATGCCAAGCAGTATTTTACACATACTGAACAGTAAATATTTGCTGAATACTTAAGTTGACTATTTATATCCCCTGAATCATTTCAGAAAAGATTATGGTATTTAGAGACTGCCTGAGATACACTGAGATATACAAGGTAAGTGCCAGGGTAGAGATAAACCCACCTCACAGGCTATGACCTGGTTTTCTATTGTGTGTATTCACTTTTAGTTTTCAATTGCTATCTCCAGTGACTATCTTTCTGTTACAGAAGCTGCAGGTACCTAACAATTTTTATTTGACAAATACAGGTTTATCCCTTCAATGGTGCATTTACAGATGTGGTAATGTCTGTGACTTCAGACTCCTCTGTGACTTAGGGCTGCAGAAGACAAGTCTGCAGCTGTTGCTTCTGTACTACACAGGCCTTAGAAGGTGAAAGCACCTCCTCGGACTAAGCTGTTCCAGCTGCCCCTTTTCCACTTACATTCACAACAGCGACTCTATGAGGGGAAAGATAAGGAAAAAGAAATACGACCCAATCAAACATCTTTTGCAAAAATATTCTGCAGCTCCAGCAAAGACTTTGGGGATTCCCTCAGCTGAAAGTCCACTTCCCTGGAAATCTTAAGAGCATGTTTTTACCCTCACTTACAATATGGACCAGAATACACAGTGTAATCTCCTCTGAGGTCAGGCTTTATGCTTCAGTCATTTTCTTATTCCTCTGCAGTGCTTACATAGAGAAGTGCAACGAACAATTCGCTCAATGAATGAATGTATAGTTCGGGAAGCTGACTCCCTGCAACATGACTTCCTAAGCCAGTTCTTCCACAGGGTAGCAACAGAGTGATCACCTTGCATAGAATTTCCTGGATGTTAGAAAACAGTCAAATTGGTCAATAATGAGACAGAGAAAATAAAAACTTTGAGGAAGTGTTTTGCTTTTGTGAATCAGAGGGTGATCCACAGCAGGCTTCTGGAAGCACCAGCCCGTAGAGCTGAGTGCCTGCTGGCCCACATCAGTATCGCCTGCTGTCATGTGTGTATTATCACGCCCAACTCAAAAGCTTCAAGTGAGTTCCAACTGCCTGGTAAATATATCAAGAAAATATCTGCTAGAAGGAAGAAAAGAAAAAAGTAATGTAGGTGGATTTAACTGTGGAAGATGCTTCAGAAAGTTGGTCACCGAAAAAAGTTTTACATTCCCAAAATGCACTTATCCTCACTGCCTACCCTAAAAACATTCACCTTTCACGAGAATATCACAAAGCACGTAGTCTCTGGCTTTCAATATCTTTGAACTCAAGAGACAGTGTCAAGCTGTGATTGAGCCTCAGGCTTTGAAGATATAGATGGCAAAAGACACACAGTTAAACAGGTGACAAAGCCAAGGCCAGGACCCAAGTCTCCTGACTCCAACCTCAAGGCTCTTTTCTCAAAACCACACTGCCACAGTGACGGATAGAGAGCCAGAGAAGCACCTTGTGGAAAAATTGTTTGGTGAAGTAGATGAACTTAGAGAAAAGGGCGAACCCCAAACGGTTCTGAGCAGGTTGTTTTTTGGTCATGAGGCATGAAATTAAAGGTCTCTACATTTCGAACCAAATAGCTAGGCTGTTCCAAACTTCCTGTTTGACTTCACATAAGTCATGAGTCCAGCTGGTGATGTGGCTCCATGAGACAGTAGCAGCGGTCGTGGACACAGGCCCAGTTGCCTCTGGGAGTCTTTATCATTTTAACCCATCTTAGTATTTATTTAAATTCAACTTAGTCAAATTCCGACATATCATTTCAGAAAGTAACCTATCTACTAAATTGAATGTAGAAACCCTAGGGAAATTTCTAATTTAATTCTCTAAATCAGTCAAAAAGATTGCTCTAAGACAGTTCATAGAAATCTAACAATCAAAATTAAAATGTGAGGTCCATAATGTAGTTTATTCTAACTCCGAATCCAACAGCACTAAAGAGAATGAAATCACCATTTTCTAAGACATTTATATACAGTTATAGAATTCAACTGAAGTCAGTAGAGTGGGAAATAGTTTAAACTAACAAATCAAAGTTGAATTAGCCAGGAACATTTTACTAAGTAATGATACAGCAGACACTTAATCATCATAGCATTCCTTCCCCAACCCAAAATAAACAAACAAACACTGATGACCTTCCTTCTCTCTGGGCTTTGTGGTCCCCTGCTAGTCCTCCATGTGTGCGGGCTCCATTAATTCGTGAGGCCCAAGAAGGTACTGGGGACTGAGTCACAGACTCAGAAGCAGAACCCATTCCCACTGAGAGAACCCCAACACGCCTGCTCTGATGGTGGGAGGAGACCAGCCTCTCCCAGGGCAGAATGCTACCCCCCAAGAAATAAAAGACTTTCAGCGGCAGCCAGCATTTGTGTTATTTCTCAGGCTATCCAATCACCATCAAGGGAAAAGAAAAAGAATTGGCAGGAGGCGGGCAGGGAGGACAGAGATGTGGGAATAGAGAGGCACTAACTTGAAATCTTCCCACATCTATGTGGGGCGTTTCCCTGAAGAAAAACAAAGACGAGTCAGCAGCCTGGCTGTTGCCTCAGCACCACCTTCCCACACCGCCCACATGTGGGCTTGGTTTCTGTGGAGTGCAGGGAGCCAGGGAAAAAGTCACAGAGATAAAAAGACAGACAGAAAAAAAAACCACTCTGGAGGTACCTGCACACGGTTCTCCCCTGTGTCACGGTCCTGTAAGCAGGAGCTGGTGAACCTAAGGACACTTGGCATATACAGTGATTTGGCACCTGTTGTTCCAAACAAGTACAATGTTTGCTCTGAAATATGCAGAACTGGATGCAGGTGTGACACAAGGCACACAGGCCACATTCCATCCTCACCAGGCACGGAACACGGCAGGCAGGCCCATGGGCCAGAAAGGAAGATCTGGCGGGCAGGCTGCCTTCCAATCAGAAGTTCTCTTTCATTTACAAGGAAAAGCTAAAAGCAAAATCCCTAAGTTAATGTAGGGAGTGCCCTGTATTTACTAAAGGATTGAGGGTCTTGTGGGCAGAAGAGCTCCACATAAAAGAAATCTGAACTCCAAGCCCCCATGCCGCCTTGAAATTGCTATGCTGGGTAAGTTCAGTTACTACTAATAATGGCAGGTCACAGTCCAGCTCTCTGCTTTAGTTTCCGAGTAGCAAAACTGGTCGAAAAGACAGTTTGAGAAAGCTACCACCGACAGAATTTCCAGGAAGGACCTAGGAGAAGGAGGGTTAAGGTGACAAGCTGTCAAAAAAGAAAGTTCTATAGAGGAGTCAATTGTTTCTTGACAGTGACAGGGTGGAGGAAGGGGAAAAATTTGACCAAAAAAAAAAAAAAAGAAAAAGGAATTCAAGTGACAGCCCAGATGCAGGCTACATAGACATGGGTGCTTGAAACCTGTTTCACAAAACGCAAGTTTCACTACCAAACTAAAGCTTTCTTCAGCTGCCAAGTCCCTCCCTGGTCCAGAGACAGCTTCCACTTGGCCCTTACCCTCCGGCCTGCGCGATGACAAATGTACGCTTCTGTTACCTGTGGATTCCAAGTTCTGCCATGGTTCGATGTACTTATTTTACATCTGCATGGAACATGTTTTCAAGCCAAAGTCCAACAGACTTAGCTTTAAAAAAAAATTAGAAGTTTCTAGGAGAAATCATCCTCACAATCACCCCCAGAACAGCAGCTTCGTCAAAGCAAAATGTCCAATTGCTAAATAAAGACTTTATTCTGTATCAGCTAATTAAAGGCATTCTCTACAAATTTCCAATCAAGGAAGTTTTCTTGTTATTTCCAATACCGGTCAAGCTACAACTCTAAAGACTATTCATTCCCTATAAAGGAATGTGACTATCTCGATTCTGGTACAAAAACATTTCATTGTTTATTTTAATAGCTATGTATTGCTAAACTGCATAAGAAAAAATCCCTGGGATCAAACGAATCTCAATTCAGATGCCTCCACAGCTATACCTTGAGTTTTCCTTGGGGTCTTAAGGATAGAAATGCATGAATAATCCATCTCAGTCTAGTTAGCTTCGTAATCTGCCGAGACACTAAAAGCCTCTTCTCCTTCATTTTAAAAGTAACAGTGCTTCCTGACATCTTTTTCTATTTAGGCCAGGGAGTATGCCCTTTAGTTTTAAATCTCCTGCCTACATTTGCAATCGCAAGTAGGATGTTTGACTCACTTCTCTCCCCGCTCCTTCCTCCCATCACACTGGAAATTTAAAGTTGTGAAACAAACCAAACCTGTCCCTGCCTAATGGAACCACACGTGGCAACACCTTATTTTAATGGCAGACTTGACGGGTGCTTCACTAGAATGGAATTCTGATAAATGCAAGCAATATGTTCAGTCCAAACAAACTGAAAATTATTCTCATAATGAATTCCAAATATTATGCTTAGACAAAACAACAAACTTATTAAACTCATAAACCTGCATCCCACAAGCAGAAAGACTTACATTCAGGTTACCAGGATGGTTACACCCCTCTTTTACAGAATGGACTCTACAAGCCTCAATAATCCCTCACCAAGAACTCCATCAGCTTTTGCTGAGACAAGGAGACAAAACAGAGAGATACCGGTTTCCCATCCAAACACAGGCTCCCTCATGGAAAAGCTTCTTGGTACTTAGCTGGGCTCCAAATTCTACTTTAATCCTCTTTCCTTTGTAACATGAGCCTTTCCATGACATAAACCATTTGGCTCTAAAGGACAATCCTTCCAAAGGCCTCGGAGTTCCTTCTTATAGCTGATAGATTATAATGAAAAGCACAGCGTCCTCTGTTCTGACAGGGTTTTCTTCCCCCAGGGAACAAGGCGCTCTGATTTTGTCCTGTCTCTGACTGCCCCTTCCCCTTCTCCACAGGCTGAGACAGCACACTGAAGGGAAAAAATGGACGGGGACTGAACTGGGAAGAGACAAAAGTATGTTGAAATTGGCTCTGGCACACCCAGAGATAAGATCACGCCATCAAGAAAAAGACGAAGTTCCATCTCTCTGCGAGCAACCTGCTCACAAACTGGGACAAAGAGCTTCCTTCCGAAGGTTTGATAAAGACTTTCCAAAGCAACCAAGTTCCAAAAACAGTTCTTCAGGAGAAATGCCCAAATCTCCAGGGTGTTTTAGCGTGGAATGCACAACACAGTAAAACCAAGTCAGACTCTACATCTATCTACTTCTCTGACGCCACTTACTCCAGCAGGAGCTTGGCACGTGTCTGGCAGAAAGTTCTTGCTGTTAACTATTTTTAAAATTAAATGTGTGAATGAAAGCTACAACATAATTCACCTTACAGTGTAAGGATTTAGATGTTACCACTGGAAAAACCTCTTATTTTATATTCCCAGGATTCATTACATCCTTTAAAAGTGTGCTTACTGGCTGGGCACGGTGGCTCATGCCTGTAATCCCAGCACTTTGGGAGGCCGAGGCAGGTGGATCACGAGGTCAGGAGATCGAGACCATCCTGGCTAACACGGTGAAACCCCGTCTCTACTAAAAATACAAAAAAATTAGCCGGGCATGGTGGCGGACGCCTGTAGTCCCAGCTACTCGGGAGGCTGAGACAGGAGAATGGCGTGAACCTGGGAGGCGGAGCTTGCAGTGAGTCAAGATAGCGCCACTGCAGTCCAGCCTGGGCGAAAGAGTGAGACTCCATCTCAAAAAAAAAAAAAAAAAAGTGTGCTAACTATTCATGAAGGTCATACCTATGCACAGATGATCAGAGAAATCCTGCAATTTCCTTTGACCGCAGCTGTTTTCCCATCTGCCATACTGGGTAGCTGACTCTCTCAAAGGTGTCCCTACACCACCCCCAGACATCCCCTCCTTTAGTGCCTACTGGCTCACAGGCCTCCCTCAGAGCTGGCTGGTTTTCACTGGATTCCAATACAGCAGCTTTTTAGTTTATAATTTCTCCTCTGTGCTTAAATGTTACTCATCCAACTCAAACGTTATAATATAATCCAACATAAATTATTTCTTACTAGCAAAGGTGTTCTTATTTATATTAGTGAGTCCATAATGTTGCTCTATTAATAGTAATACCTACATTTTTAAGTAATCTTCCCTGTCAAGAATGTTTTCTATCCATTTCAAGGTCTAGAGTTTAGCTTCCTCAGAAGGCCTCATTTGGATGTCCAAGCACCAAGCACGTAATAGCATGGAGTACTGGGTGCTTTTTATGGGTGCTGGGCAGGCAGCCATGCCCCACTAACTATGGACATAGGTGAGGCACCTTAGCACAGCACCTAGCATATAACAGGCATTCAAAGAAGTTAATTCTCTCTCCCTAACTTCTTTTTCCTCTGTTTATTTTAGATCTTCAGGCTTCGAGAGGCCCTTGCTTCTTATCACTCAGCAAATCTCAATGCTGTTGTAGACTCTTAAGATTTACAACTCAGGCAAGAAATTACACTCTAGGCCAAGATGCGCAGTCCATTCAGTTCAGCCTATTCTAAACTCGCTTGTTTTGGAAATACTGAAATTGTTGCAGAACAAATAGCCCCAATTTATAAATTGCGTTCCCAAAGTTCATTTTTAAAGTGGGATAAAAACATTTTTCCTAAGAAAACATGATGTCATATTTAAGATCTCAGGCTGTCCCCACAAATGGGGACACTTATGCCACTATCTACCTGGCCTGCGGAACTAGTGGCAGGAGCCTAGATCCAGCCCACGCCTTGTCCACAGCAGGCTCTCGGATATGTGCTGGGCTCAGTTCTGAATTCCTGCAAAGCTGCATCGCTGGCTCCAGAGAAAATGTTGATCCAGCTGAGTCTATGTGTATCTTTCTCCCATCTCGCTGTATGCACCCCTCCCCTCAGCTCCTAGGCCTCTCTTCTGCAGGAGACCAGTGCCCTCATCTTGTCCTGCAAATCCTAAACTTCAGCATCTTACCAAAGCTCCATCTTTTAATGCTTCAAAGGCAATTGCTTCTTCTCTCTGCAAAAATTACCTCAAGCAGCTAATCTCAGCTGTGCATCAGGAAGAATACTGATTATTTCACAATGAAATGTGAACGCCTCATGGCCTTTAACCTGTCCAGAGACCTCTGACTCTTAACTACCCAAACAAATCTAATTTTGTGGAAGGACAATAAAAGGAATGAAATACGTCTACACAGCAGACAAATCCCACTAAGGGCCTGTTTCTGAGACATTTCTGCTTTTCAAAAAGCAACTTCCTTCTCTTCCACCACTTTGAAAACGAACAAATTTTCACAAGTTCCAAAACTTCCGAAAGTTTCCATGACAATGGCAGACATATGTTTATGGTGATGAATGGAGTGCACACAGGGCCAGTGTAAGATAGGTCCTAGCTTCGTCAGTGTTTTTCCCAAAGTGGAATGTAAGCCAAAGCATTCACAATTCAACCCAAAACATCCTCAAACTATCATCATTTCCAAACGGAGAAGCAGAAGCTACAGGTAAGATTCAGATGTTGACAGATTTTCAGTTTTACTCATCCTGGCATGGCCAAAAGGGTACATTAGAGATCACTAAAAGGGGAGGGGAGGAAATGCCACATAGCTCCAATAAACCCTTATGTTTGTGAGGGAGAAAGAACTGGAAATCATATTAACAAATACCACATAAATATGTACAATTATTATGTGCCAAGTATAAATCTTACAATTAAAAAAAGAAATCAACAAATGCATCCTAAATGAGAACAAGAAAGTGGGCAAAGAAAGTAGATATTTTCAGAAAACAGTAAAAAAAAAAACCAACTATACAGGATTCTGCATGTACACTTGTTCACTCTTGCTGCCCTGAGGCATTAATTACTTTAAGAATAAAAACAGAAAACATCAAGTTGGCCAGGGAAAGCAAAAAACCTCGATACTTAATTAGAACACATGCTTGAAGTTGCTGCCTGATATCAGCTTCAAAAAGACAGCAGCCTCATTAAGAAATGGCACAACACCCTTCTGGCGGCAGGCAAAGGCTTAAAATCACGTCAGTGCTGGGGGTCTGAAAGGGGAAATGAAACTGAGTTTACCTACATCAATTAGCAATGCTATTAAGGCTACTTAAGCCACTCCTCCAACAATATTTCTAATACAAATATGCTGCAGGCCTTCAGAATAAAACAAGCCATTATCCCTACCCGTCATCTTGGCTTTCATTACTCCCACCCCAAAGAGTGACACATCAAACAAACAAAGCGCCCTGCCCATGCGCTGGGCCTTTCGGCCAAGATCTCCAAGCCTATGACAAGCGCTTATTAATCCTGACCACACCCAACGAAGAAGAGCTGGCCACTCTAACCTCGTGACTCTCCTGGGGGATCAAGGGGAAAGGACTGAGCTAGTGAACTGAGGGACTAACCCAAGGTCATGGATAAGTTGGAAAAGGGAACTCAGGACTTATGGGCTCTTTATCGCCTCCTCCACAATTTCTCAGTGAGGCCCCAATGGCAAACAGCAAGTAACACTCCAGTTTGCTTTAAGAATAAAAGCATCCTGGGGCACAAGGCCAATACTTTTCATAGGCTGTTCGTAGTAGCCAGTGGACTGAGTCCTATTATGATATTTAATTTCAAAACAACTGTAACAACAATTATATAAAATGGAAAGTTTCTCTATTTATTGCTTAGCCAAGCAACAAACTCCGGACTATGCAGCCACCTGACAATTGTATGTGACTGAGGTGGTTGGCAGGAAAACCCTTCTAAAGCCACAATCACCTAAAGCTTCCTCACTGCCTGGTGGGCCCAACTGCCTAGAGTCTGCAGCCTGAAAGGCACATGTTTGTCTTGGACATGATGACAACGATAAGAAAGAAAAGCAATTATAATACAAGCAGAACATGGCTCTCAAGACCCAGTCACATGATTTTCAAAAGCATTCTGGGGCAGGATAAAATGAAACCCTAATAGTCAGCACCTAATACAGTGTCTTATTCTAAAAGTTACTAAAATTCTTATTGAATAAATAAAAGAAAAAGTAAAAAACAGAGACTGAGAAAGGACAAGAAGATGAACATCACTTCTTTCTACCAGGTCTCTGAGAGAATGCTATACCTAATATTGTAAGGAAAACTAAAGATCAGTCTTCTGTTAACAACTGTCTGAAAAATCACCTATGTTTCTATTGAGTTTTTTTTTTCTTTTTTTTGGGGGGGACAGGGTCTCACTCTGTTGCCTAGGCTGGAGTGCAGTGGCGTGATCTCAGCTCACTGTAACCCCCGTCTCCCGGGTTCAAGCGATTCTCCTGCCTCAACCTCCAGAGTAGCTGGGATTAGAAGCGTGTGCCACCACGCCTGGCTACTTTTTGTATTTTTAGTAGAGACAGGGTTTCACCATGTTGGCCAGGCTGGTCTCAAACTCCTGGCCTCAAGTGACCCACCCGCCGCAGCCTCCCAAAGTGCTGGGATTACAAGTGTGAGCCACCACTTCTGGCCTCTATTCAGTTTCTTGAGCTCCCAGTTTTTAAAGTAATCCAAAGAAAGAAAGAAATACAGGAACTCTAATAATTGAGTGGAGAAGGATCACACTCACAGGGAAGAAGGCAGGGGCAAGGCAGAAAGGACTTAGGAATATGCTGAATTTTTCTTCAAGGGCACAAAAATTCCCATTAGAGTCGCCCACAAGGAGTAACTCTAGCCAATTAGAGTTACTCCAACTGAACTGGAGGCAACTCTTCAATGGGAAAAGCCCAAGACAGAAGAATCTTAACACAGAGTCATATTTACAAGGTGATGATATGAAACAGAGTACTACTAATAATCACTTATATTTAAGAGCCTTTCTCAAAGCCACTCCAACAGTTTGATGGGCATTGTTTCATTACTCCTTACACCTCCTTCAATAGAGGGAGGAGACAGATATCACCTCCACTGTGCAAATGAGGAAATGAGGCAAAGCAAATGAGGAGTCAGACTCAAGGCTGAACAGGCAGGAGTGGCAGAGTGCAACTTAATCTCAATGTTTCACACACTGGACTCTGTGCAAAGGATGGCAACAAAAATGATCTGTTTTGGAGGAGGGGAGAATAAAAAGGGAAGAGGATAGTTTCATAACACCTGAGAATGAAACACATAAAACTGTGAAAAAAAAAAAAATCAGTTGTCAAATCATTAAACTCCTCCCATTTCTCAAATGGCTGGACATAAGGCGCCCAGACCTCACCACCCACCTTTGCTTCATCGTTGATGTCCCATGTGAAGGAAATGGCGTTATACGCAATCTCCTCGATGTTACTGATAGTGTTGAAGCTTTCTTTATAGTCAGCTACAGGAAGCGGTGGAAGAGAAAATGAAAACTCATGAGTCTTAGTTTCAACATGGGATCCCAGCAGTTCAAAATAAGATCTAGTTTTTAGCATTATCACCTCTGGACAATTTAAATTAACATTTTGTTCGATTAGAAGAAGTTCAAAATACGAAGAAAAAGAATCACAGAGTTTTTGTAATAGAGGCAAGCTTAGACATATTTAATTCAATCTCATTATGTCACAATTAGGAAATTTAAGTCTAAAAAGTTTAAATAACAGTCCCAAGGTCACAAAACTACTCTGTAGAACCAAGATTAGAACTGAGTTCTCATTCTCCTGAAAAGGAAACAAGAGCATTACAAAAGGTAAAGAAAAAAAGTAACACTAATATTAAACAGCCATCTGTGATACAGACAATGGTTTTACATGAAAATTACATACATGGCAAGAACAGAGGTCTGTGTAACGCTACTTCAGTAAATACAGATTTGCACAGGTTTGCCACTACAGCCCACAGAGAGGTTAGTTACACGGTTTAGCACGTGACTAGGGAAGACTGTTAGGCAACTGCACAGCAGCAATATCTTTCTTTTACTTGTTTTTTTCTCTACCTCCATCATCTCCAAATAATAATCAGAATCTTTTAAAGAAGATATTACCCCTTAAAGCAATTGCAGACTGAACAGTGGGGACATTCTCAGGTTAGCCAGCTACATGGCTTCTGGCCCTAGTGTCCTGTGGAAAGCCACCACGTGGGCACATGTCCCATTACTGCATGGGAGCAATGGTGAGAGCACTGGTTCCAGGAGGCCGAGGACAGTGTTTGGAACAGATCAGTAGCTGGCATAAAAATTCAAATGCTTTCGGCAGGAAGCTGATCACTGCCAAAAATAATTGGATTTAGAAAACTGGATGGCTGCACCTCTGGGAATAAAAGCGGGCTCTTGAGCTGCTTACCTATGTCAATGCATCTTTGTTTAGCGGTGTGCTGCCGGGAGTGCCAGTACTTCCAATGCCTTAACTGATCTTCTCTGCTTTTGTCTTCAGCAAAAACCACCATGATCACACTCTGTGAAAGAGAATGCATTACAACATAAAGACACTAAAGGGTGAGTATGTTTTGGAAAACGTATTTAGTACTATATTTTACAGTGAAGGCTTAAAGCTGCAATTTCAGGCGGTCATTCAGAGCTGCTTCAGACCTGGAAATGTTAGGCTCTGACTAGCTTTCCTAGAGAACAGGACTAAGAGCAGAACTTACTCGAACTTTGCTGATGGGATGATGGATTCCTTCACTGCTGCTCACCTCCTTCAAGGTGATGGGATAGAACTGGCCTTTGTTCAGGTACGTCATGGTACTGTCTCCTGGCTTCTGTCGAAGTGATTTTGAAGCTTCTAGGGTATATTCAAAGTTGTTCCTAAAGGACAAAAAAAGTCACAGGTCTCTAAATCTACTCTCGTGGAAGCTTGCTATACATCATATTATAAATAGCATTTGCTATCTTTTTCACTTAAAGAAAATCTGAAACAAAAGTACTCAGCAGCTAAAAATTCTCAAGTCTCTCAGAGGTGGAAGTACAAATTGCCGATTAAAAATTCTATGATGTGATGGATGTCAGTAATCGGACATCCTGAGTTTGAGGGCTCGAGATATTAAAGATACTGATAGGTGGAAAGGACTTTGGAAGGAACTTCTCACAAGACATGCTGCCAATCTGATATTTATCCAGCAGAGGTTTCAGACAGGTGGCTGGTGTTCCTCTGACTAAATTCCTTTTGGCCTATATAGCATTTTTTTGTTGTTCCTACTTGTAATTTAAATGTCTTTAATAGGCAGGCACTCCACAATTCTCGACATTACCTATTACCTAACACTACCACTCATATATGCCCCTAAAGTTGTTTAAGAACCTTCCCAGGCCACGGCTCAGCAGATTACACCTATTTTTGTAACTAAAGTTTTATTAGCACATAGCCACATCATTTGTTTACACATTACCTATGGCTGCTTTTGCACAATGGCAGACCGGGGTAGTTGCAAAAATATACAGAGGTTGTATGGCCCACAAAGCCTGAAATATTTACTCTCTGAGTCTTTACAGAAAAAGTTAGCTGACCCCTATCCTAAACCCTAAAGGTATTTCCATTTGGGACTCCTGCATCTTGAGGCAGATCTATAAGGGAAGTCTCAATTCCCATAAAATCTTAGACACTTTTAAAACTGTAAAATATAACACATGTAAAAAACACATAAAACAAAATATGAGTTCCTAATTAACTTGGAAAATATTCATACTCCCAGAGTGAGATACAATTTTGTGAGGTCAAAAGAAAGTTGTCAGCTCAGAAAAAAGTTGACTTCATTTATTTTATCATTAGTGAGGCTGATTTTAAAAAAAAAAAGCTTTTATCACTTGATATTACTCCTAAATTCTCACCTAATTATATATATTTGGCAACAGAAAGGACCTCAGAGACCTAATTTAATCCCCTCATCTCTCCTATTAGATTCCATTCTACTACCATCACATAAAGAATCCAAAAGAAAGAAAAAGCACCAACACCAAGAATTAAGGAAACTTGAAACATAGTTCAAAGAGTTCAAAATTAAAAGCACTGAAGCAGATGTCCTCTACCCAAGACTGTACCACAGTAAAAGTAGTAAGATAAGGGGAAAGCCTGCTAAAGCCACCTTTGATTTATCAAGTTAACAAGAAAGGAATAAGTTATAAAAGCTGCAAATTAAAAATCAAATTAAAAGACATCTATTACCCAGAAACACTGTCAAAAACATAGTCCTCTGAATTCATGCCAGGCATCCGCAGACTGAGATCCGAGGGGAAGAAAACCTGAAATATCAATGTGATAAGCCACAACTATTTAACTGGTTATCATGCTTACTAAAGACCAAGCTCTGGTACCGCATAAAAGTATGTGGCTTACAGCAACCCACTATCCTTTCCATATTTATTTTTGAGTAAAAATTTTGATTCTACAAATACTTAAAAAATTAAAACAGAGAAAATATCCACTTTTATATGCCACTCAAGTAAATTACAACAAGCTGTGTAGGTACTCCCACTAAGTGCTTCTGACTCACGACCCCCTTTTCTGTCTTTCACACACATCCCAACTCTGTTCAAACACTAGGACCTGCAACCAAAATTTCATGACTTTTAAAAGTCACCCTATCATTATACCAAGTTAAGACACAGCATCAAGTTCACACCACAGCTGAAGAGATGTGGTGCATTTTCTCAGGAAAGGCTAACATTCTGCCCCTAACTCCATACGCAGAGATGGATGCTCTTTACCCCACCAAGTCACTAAGTATGGTTTCTAACACCTTTAGTCCCTAACTTTTAGCTGAGTGAGGTATTCATCACCATAAAACCCCCAGAACTATTTGGAATTAATTTGTAAACCTCACACAATGCATTTGTGCTCTCCCTGACTACATTACCAACCAAGAAACACCAAGCAAAGATATAATAACTCATTTTATATGAGCTCCAGGGAGCTTGTTTGGCACTGGGAGAAGTGCTGAAAACAGACTAGGAGAATCTACCTGTGGTCAACAGAAGATTATGTATGGGGTTCTCTTTCTCCAGCAAATCCCTTAGCTGAAATCATAATTGTTAACTCAGCTGCTGGTAAGATTAGCCTTGCATCCTTGATAATAACTTCTGGTTGTATAGGTTTAGTTTACAAATTATACCCATGGGCCTTTTCTCTTAAAAAAAAAATCTTTTATTCCTAATCCATTCATTTCAGGCTGAGTTTCATGCTTACATAACAAGGAAAAGGTGGAACCCAATACTTATACAAACACGCAGGCGTCTTAGGAAGATGTTTTTGTTTCCTTACCTCCTGAACGCCTTCCTTGAAGGTCTCTGAGAAGGTCGAGTCTGGAGTTCGCCTTTGAGCATTTGGGGCTTGAGCACCAGAGCTGAACTGGTCAGTATTGAGATTCCGATCGAAAACCACCACCCGCTCAGTGGGCTCAGGATGATACACTGCTGGGGGGATTCCCACAGCGAAGCCATGTGGCTGGGTTTCTGTCTTGATGGAGTGGGTAGGCATCGTTGCTATGGAGACAGTGACTGTCGTATCTGGAGCTGTCAGATGGCCTCTCTTATCAATGCCCAGCTGGTTGCCATGGGGAAGGACAATGTTAAATGGCACATTTTTCAGTACTTGCACTCTGTTTTCTCCAGCAGAGATGAGGGGCTGCTCTGTCACAATTGGTATGCTGTTTCTTTAAGAAAAGAAAACTGCTTTCAAACGCGATGCTGATGTAGTTCTTTGACAATTTTTATTTTCCTAATGGCATTGGGCTGTTGGGTCCTGTGCAATAACACTTGACAGAATAAACAGAAAACATCAAAACTACCCATTACTAGATAAAGGGAAAAAGGCTTTCTGGTTATCGGTCAAATAAAATCCAAACCTATTAAGTAAAATTTCATTCGAAATACTAAGGGCTCAGAGCTCTCCTCTAACAAGCTTTACTTTCCATAATCCTAAAAACAATTACTGTGTTTTACTAGAAACCTGAAGCTATGCGATCTGATCAACTGGGGTTACAGCATAGACGCCAGGGTCAAATTGCCTGGGTTCAAGTTCTGTGTCACCTGAGCAAGTTACTTCATCTCTTAGTAACTGAATCCTCATCTGCAAAATGGGGACAATAATGGCATCCATTCTCATCAGGTTGAGATGAGATGATACACTAAAAGGTGTATAATAATGCCTGACACACAGTCTTCAAGAAGTATGAGCTATTATTACTTGGTCACCACTTTTCCTACCACCTATGCCATTTGGCTTTCTCCTTTTTTTTTTTTTAATTTTTTATTTTTTTGAGACAGAGTCTTGCCCTTATGGCCCAGGCTGGTGTGCAATGGCGTGATCTAGGCTCACTGCAACCTCCGCCTCCCGGGTTCAAGCGATTCTCCCACCTCAGCCTCCCGAGTAGCTGGGATTACAGGCGCACGCCACCACACTTGGCTAATTTTTGTATTTTTAGTAGAGACTGGGTTTTACCATGTTGGCCAGGCTGGTCTCGAACTCCTGACCTCAGGTGATCCACCTGCCTCAGCCTCCCAAAGCGCTGCGATTACAGGCATGAGCCACTGTGCCGGGCCTGGCTTTCTCTTTCACCCAAGAAAACCTATTGTTACATTGCATCAGTAGACACATCTGCTTTTTATAAAATTAAATTTTGGTTTGATAAATAATTTGAGCAATACAAGATGATTTCCAGTGGGTAAAATGAATGAATTTTCAAAGCCCCCAGAAATCATATAGGCTGAAGCTTCAAGAAACAGGCAAATTGAGAATTCTGTACATTTCAAGATCAATAAAACTGTTTGAACCCTGAACCATAAATTCACTCCCAGGAATTTATCCTAAAACGGAAAAAGTCTAGAAAGTTGTTCCTTAAGACTTCTTAATAGTGAAAACTAGATATAGCAGCAATTGTAAGGATATTTACAGTTTGCTTCAGAATGTTCCAGCAAAAATAAATAAAATAAAAACATGAATTAATCTCAAAGTTGAAGAAGAGGGAAGAACAAATCAAACAAGAGGAATTGTGTTGATAACTGTTGAGGCTGGTCATGGATACATGTGGGCTTATACTGTTTTTCTATTTTTATTATGTTTGAAAATGCCCATAATGAAAAGTAAAAGATAAAAGCCACAAGTCCTCTTCCAAAGGATAATTATGAAGATTAAAATACAGAGAAAATGTTTATGAAACAAACTAAGTAGAAGAAAGTACACTACCAAATCCTATCTGTGAACACAACTACGCTACATAAAATTTGCATACACATCAAAACAATGAATAAAGCAATCATCACGATAATGGGATACTGGGTGATGATCATTCTTCCTTTAAATATGTTTCATTCCTTGATTGATAATAAAACACAAGACAATTTAAAAGGTGTCTTTTTAAAGTTTTTCATGGCTAGCCAAACGTTAATTAAATTTTCTGAAAGTTTTAATCTAAAATATTTCACAAATAATTTCAACAGGAATTTGAATACAATTTAACTTGCTTTATTCAATTTTACTCAGGCAGTTGTTCAAGAGTCACTGGTGCTTAATTTTTTTAATAGACCACTGCCACACATCCTTCTAAAGAAAACCTCAAAAACAAATAAGCAAATACTGAAGTTATTACTAAAACTATCCCTTTGGAGGAGGAGAATGTTAGTGCTTTCATCCTAGAAAAGGCAACTACTACGCCCAAAGAAAAAAGGAAATTTCAGAGCAACAGAGGCAAATCAGTGATGAAATCTGAATTTAGATAGTAAGAGTCCAACTTACCTATCTCTTTCACTAGTGGTTGTTCATTTAAACAAACTCCCATTTTGCTGTTACAGAAACGTGGCATTTCCCCCTGCACTCTTTATGCTGTTAGGCACTGAATGTTACCTTTTGCTGTGATCTGGCTCAGGGTGCTCCACCTCTGGCTTTGCTGTTGATGACCTTCTCTCTCTTGGAACCTGATATTAGCACACATGAAAAGAATTTAGCTCTTATCCAGTGAAGTGCAGTTTACCCAAAGATACAGCCTTTTATTTTTCAGTAAATTCAATCATTCATTTATCTACTGGTTGCCTAGCAAACACCAGGCTATGGGGACACACAAATTATAATATCTGCCCTCAACGAGCTTAAAATCTAGTCACCCATCTGGTTGATATGTAAAAAGCAACTGTTATTGAGTTGCCAAATAAACTCAGGGCATGATAAATTTATTTTGTCATGGAGTTTGGGTCTCATCTCTTAAAAAAAAAATACCTCCGCTGGCCACAGCTGGTGGCTCATGTCTGTAATCCCAGCCACTTTGGGAGGCCAAGGTGGGAGGATTGTTTGAGCCCAGGAGTTCAAGACCAGCCTGGGCAACACAGTGAAACTCATTTCTACAAAAAAAATTTTAAAATTAGCCAGGCGTGGTAGCATGTGCCTGTAGTCTCAGCTACACAAGAGAGACTGCGGTGAGAAGATCGCTTCAGCCCGGAGGCAGAGGTTACAGTGAGCAGAGATTGCGCCACTGCACTCTGGCCTGGGCGATAGAGCAAGACCCTTCCTGACTCAAAAAAAAAAAAAAAAAGAAAAAAAGAAATACCTCTGCCCTGGTTTTACTCGTTTATCTACACAACATTAGAGAAGAAGCTACTGAAAACACAACGGAGCTCTTCCAACTTTCTCAGTGCTCTTTCCTACCACCCTCCATTCAGATCAAATGCAAAAGCAGAAGGAACAGCCATGTTAACCCTTCATTTCTTCTAAGATCCAAATGAGGGCTTCATATGATCACTGTCTTTAGATACGCTGGGATTCATACGTCCATCACCCAAAGGACAAGTCTAACTCAGTGTTCTATTCCTTTTTTGGTTCTTTTCTTTGCAAGGGAAGTGAAAAGTAGGCAAATGTTAGTGAGTGTCCTGTAGAAATAACTCAACTGAGATTTAACCCCATTGCGCACTCCAAAATGGCTAAGGTGCTTAAAAATGGCTTTCAGCGTGAAAATTCTATTCCTGCATCCTTGTTTTCACCATTAAAGACAAAACACTGCTGGCCAGGCGCGGTGGCTCACGCCTGTAATCCCAGCACTTTGGGAGGCCGAGGCGGGTGGATCACAAGGTCAAGAGATCGAGACCATCCTGGCCAACATGTTAAAACCCCGTCTCTACTAAAAACACAAAAAATTAGCTGGGCATGGTGGCACACGCCTGCAGTCCTAGCTACTCGGGAGGCTGAGGCAGGAGAATTGCTTGAACCCAGGAGGCAGAGGCTGCAGTAAGTTGAGACTGCGCCACTGCACTCCAGCCTGGGCGACAGAGCGAGACTCTGTATCAAAAAAAAAAAAAATACTGCTTCATGTATTAACAATATGCTTTTCAAGCTTTATCAAAATTATTATGTAATAATGACTGATGCTTATACAGCCAAAGACCTGAAACAAATAATTCAGTTTATTTGAAAAAGAAAATAGGCCAGGCACAGTGGCTCACGTCCGTAATCCTAATACTTTGGGAGGCTAAGGCAGGAAGATTACCTGAGGCCAGGAATTTGAGACCAGCCTGGGCAACATAGTGAGACTCCTCTCTACAAAAAATTTTAAAATTAGCCAGGCATGACCTATAATCCTAGTTACTCAGGAAGCTGAGGCAGGAGAATCAGTCAACCCCAGGAGGTTGAGGTTGCAGTGAGCTATGACTGCACCACCACACTTCAGCGTGGGCAAGAGCGAGACTCTGCTTCTATTAAAAAAAAAAAAAAGAAGAAGAAGAAGAAGAAAATAAATTTACACCTATCACAAGAAGTCTGACAAGTAAGTACCACTAAAATTGTCACCCTTCATGGACAGACATGAGGATTTACATGCTTCTGAGACGCAGGAGTAGTACACCTAGTGTTATCACACGGGCCTTTCTGGCACAAAACTTGTACCAACGAGTTTCTCCCATTCTCAAAAGTTTCAGTTAAAAATATGTAACTTCATAATTAATGTTTTAGGAACTTAATTTATAGTAAGTCAATAAAACAAGCTATAAGAACAGATATATAATAATTTCCACTTCAAAGGAACTCTTCATGGCTATGTTTCCCTGGTAAGAGTTTCTTCTAGCATCATTAGTTATTACACAAGTTTCTGCTCATATTCAAAGAAAAAAGAGCTTACCTCAATCCCTCAGCCCCAACTTAGTTAGACGCATGGCCTCATACTAGGAAATAATCACCCCATTTTTTTTTTTTGAGATAGGGTCTGTCTCTGTCACCCAGGCTGGAGTGTAGTGATATGGCATGATCTCAGCTCACTGCAGCCTCCAACTCCCAGGCTTAAGTGATCCTCCCACCTCAGCCTCCTAAGTAGCTGAGACTATAGGCATGTGTACTAACCGGCTAATTTCTGTATTTTTTTATTTATTTATTTTTGGTAGAGACAGGGCCTCATCATGTTGCTCAGGCTAATCACCCTAATTTTAATAATAAAACTATCTCCTAGGCTTCTTTCACCTCTGTATTTCTTGTATTAAGGAAAGAATACAGTGCCAGAATGTAGCCAATGGCTAGCAACTGGCGATTCTGGGTAAAGGTATTCAGGAATTAATTATCCTCTTATTTTAAGTTTTATGCAGGTTTGAAAGTTTTTAAAACAAAAAGATAGCAAAAATAAACTGTAAAAAATATACACTACATTCATGAGAAGACACTGTCATTAAGAAGCTTCTGGTAATCCCAAACAGATCCTGTTTTTATACAGGTACTGATGACAACACAATGATTACACAGGTTAGTCACACAGAGTGACAATGAGACAAAGGCCCTGTGGCAAAGCTGTGCTTCAACTCAGTCTGCTGTTTTAAGTAGCACCCTAAAGACGTAGCCACCCCCAAATGTGTGTTTCTGGTCAGAAGGAAGAATGGAGAGGTGAATCCAGAAGGAGAGCGGTATGCACGCTGCATTAGAAAGACAGTGGCCTCGGCCATGGACCAGACTAGGGCCCCAGATGCACACATCCTAGCTGTGACCTCTGAGTGAGAAGTCGCACGCAGGCTGGTAACATGTCTAGCATAATAGTGGCAGCTAGTGTTATCAGGACAATGATGATGAGACAAATCAGTAGTGTCACTTCCAGATAATGAAAATCATGTAAAATTCCATGCAGAGTATAGATTATATTTAATTAAGAGTACTCCAAATCTCTAGAAACAGGCAACAAAACATATCCTGATCTTGGAACTGGACAGTCCTAGACTACAGAATATGATTTCAAAGGCTCTGTAGTATCATTTAGGGAAAGGAAATCATCCTGACTACCCAGGAACAAAGGTGAAAAGGTAAATGACCCCTGCCCACTTTCCATGGCACTAAGAACCACCTTCAGTGAGATGCTCAAACCCAAGAAGGCACATCTAGCATCTTCTTTTACGGTAGCTTCACCTTCTGGATAGAGCCACAGCAGCTGACCGCTTTGCATGTTTTAAAAACAACCCTTTGATTCTACAATCACAGATTTTTAGCTTCGAATCACAGTAAGTCAAAGTACTCATTAAACTATTTATAGTCACTACAGAAGCAACTTGCATGGCATTCTACCAGCAAATGTCTGTTTCTATGCTGCTGAATCAAGTGCATTGGAGACTGCTGTTAAGGGTTTTAAAGGCAGGCAAACCCACCTTGTAGTAGTCATAGAGCAGGC
This sequence comes from Homo sapiens, assembly GCF_000001405.40. Taxonomy (NCBI): domain Eukaryota; kingdom Metazoa; phylum Chordata; class Mammalia; order Primates; family Hominidae; genus Homo; species Homo sapiens. Next base: position 9,955,078 of record NC_000002.12, on the reverse strand, counting down.
CCAGCGCAGCGGCGCTGTCTTCATCTCCATTGATGCTCATCATCGCTTTGGTCGCTGCAGTGAGAGGGTTTTCCAGGAAGGATTTCCAGGCCTCATCCTCACTAGTGTAGGACCGCCGCTGTGGATAAAGTGCTTCATTCTGAAGAACCAACACTGGCCGTTTGCTTCAGAGAAATTAAAAAAAAAACAAAAACACACACTTTTCTACTGCAAGGTATCATAAGCTACCAATTCCTTGACATTCCTATAAAATAGCCTATTGTTTCATCAATGACCCTAGGAAGTCAAATTAAGACAAGACCAGAAGACAAACCACGTAAGTGCAGACCAATGGGTCCCACAGTAAGACATAAAGTATCTAGGCAGCCAGAGAACTGGCAGTTCACCTACACGTGGAACCCAGGGTATACTATTTGGCAAAAAAGCGAAACAAAACCATCCCCGAGAAAATGCCAGGCTATTCAAATACTTTCCATAAACAAACACAAGGACACAGTAAAGAAAAGAGAATACTTGTTCTCTTCCAACACACAATCAGGACTGTCCCCTCTTGAGAAGAGCGTGTGCCGTTCATCACACTGCTACATGTTATTCCCTCTTTCTACTGTGGCTGCCATGCCTTAAAAATTCCTACCTGAACACAGTGGGGAGGGGAGAAGCAGCAGAAAGAAAAAGGGATCCTTCACGCAATCCTCCAGGGTATATGAGAAAGCCAGAATATTCTACTGATTACCAGCAGATTGAGCATGGAATGTGGCCAAAGGGGACTGTAAATCAATAAAGAGGCATAATTTTCTGGCATGGGAGTTAACTGTTTATCTTAGAGATAAACACTTAAGGATATCCAACAATAAATGAAGCCACTGAACAAAAAGTTTTAAAAAAAATAGGTGGGAAAATCTGGCTTTTAAAAAATCTTTGCTAGTTTTCCACATTGCACAAGAACTGTTTCATTTTAACACTGTAGTTTGGTGGGAAAAATCCAAAAAAATCAATGGCGATCTTAGTGAAACCTTACAGAAGATTTAATTTAAAAGATTAAAGCAAACATTACTAATTCCAAAAACTTGAAATGTAAACAGTCTCAACAACTGTTCGGTTGGTACTATTTAATAAGTCAATAAAGAGAAAAAATGGAACACTGACTCTAGCAAAACAAAGCAGTTTATTTTCAAGGAGAAAAATAAATTTTAAATGTTTGGAACTCCTCTGAATTATTACAATTCTAACAAGCAAATTGAAGGACTGGCTCTCATTGCAACACACAAATGAAATATGTAAATGGCCTAAAGGTGACCTGCCTATTTTAAAAGTGAATGTAGAAAGACTGATTATCTTTTCAAGTAATCAACAAAGGTTAGCGTTTGGGAGTCACCCAGGGCCTTTAAGAACAGATACAGATTTAGAAAAAGGAGAACATCTTCAAAAAAGGGGAAAAAAATCCAACAATGTATCCTCAGTCAAAATGAAGTGTTATTTGAAAGCCAATGTTTTTACTCACGTTTTGGCATAAACGTTACATTTGGTAAGAAAGTCTTGAGGTGGTATACTATTTTAACACAAAACAAACATAAAAGACTGTTCAAAGCCAGCAGATCATTTGTCTAAAAATGGAGAAGATTGCTTACACAAATCTCAACTTTAAAGAAAATAAAGAAATATACAAAGTGGCATTCCCTGAGCCATCAGGACCAGAGTACAACAGCTACTGAACGGCTGGTGCCATGGACTGATTGACTGATGTACTGCTAAGCTATAATTAATAGCGTAATAGCTACTTCCAGAAGACTATGACAGCACTTGGCTGTTCAATTCCCTTAATGCTAGTTTTCAACTTCCCTTCTTCTCCCACCCACATCCCAAATTTGTACAAGCAATAGAAAACAGAGAAAGAAATGGCTTTATGTTTGGAATCACCCTGAAGGTGTTTCATATTTCCAAAGCCTGCCTAAGGCCAAAATGTTAGCTTTGGAAAATTTGCCTTATCTAAACTATACGTCAAGAAATAAACACAAAACCAGTTGCCTTTCTTAGTCCACTTCCTCATGACAGTCAGGAAGTAGGCTTCAGTCGCCGAAGGCTCATCATCACTTTCAGGTGAGCCTTAAACTCCGCGTCTGCGATCTCTCAGACTTCTGAAATATGTTTCAGGCAATAATTTAACTGCATATTCTACAACATAAGAGTAATCCATTTAAGATACTCCATACAAAATATCTATCTCATCCAGAAAAAGAACACACTGACAAAAACCGATCCTTCACAAATAACTAAGAAACTGGGAGGGGTACCTATCTGCCTTAAACTTCCTGATCTGAAATATACTGACTGGCCTGGTGCGATTTCCCTGTTTTTTCTTTAGTAAGTTTTTAAAATTTTTAGGACAATTTTATATTTTCAGAAAAGCTGCAAAGAAAATACAGAAAACTCCCTCGCCCAGTTAATCCCCCATGCCTTATTACACTACCACCTCACATTTGTCGAAATACGCTTTTAAATCACACACTCTAAAAAGCATATTAGCTTGTACAGTACTTTCTCGTTTAACACCCGGATTTCAAAGTTTCATCCTCTTGATTCTCTCGAGCACTAAAAACACGGTAATCTGTAATTACCATCAATGATGCAAGTGGCAAAATAACTCCTACAGCCGTTTTCCCACTCATGCCGCCAGCCAGGGAAAAGAAAACGCCCGGACATCGGGGCACTTCAACCTTTCCCTACATTTCTGTTTTGGAGGTTCCAGCAGGTCGCCGAGTGACGAGCCTGAGACCACAGATTACCTGGAGAAGTCCACCTGTCCCGACGCGGCGCGAGCCCCACCAGGCTCCCGAGGCCGACCGGGCAGGAGAGGGGGGCGGGGAGGCCCGGGGGCGTTGGCTGCGCCCCGACCTCGCGCCGCACCCGACCGCGCCGGGGGCCCGGACCCCAAGGTGCGCGCCCGAGGGGACCCAACCTGGCCGCGGAGGAGGGGAGGAGGGTGGCCCCTCCGGTGTCGAGTTTCCCCGAGGACAGGGTCTCTCCTCCCGAGGCTCCGACCGAACAAAGAGCACGGCAGGGCTAAGGGGCAAAGGCCGTGGCGGCGTGGAGTGGACAGCGGCCCCCGGCTCGCGCCCCGCGCCCGCCCGCCCGCGCGGCCTCGGGTCTGCGCCCGGCTCGCTCGCTGCAGGTGCGGCCCCTCAGCGCGGCCCCCCCGCGGCGGCCGGACTCCTGCGCCTCACTCACTTGTCGTACTCCTGTGTCATCGCGCCCGCTCGCCGCTGCCGGGCCGCAGAACTGGACTTTCGGGTTGGGACAGTACACCCGATCCGGGGGGAGGAGGCGGCGGCGGCGGCTGCGGGTCCGGAGCGGCGGCCCCGACGGGTTGGGTTTGCTTTTCTCGCTCTGAGCCGGCTCCGCGCGGGCTGCGCGCACTGGGCGCCGGGCTCGGCCGCTCATTGGCTGGCGATGCGCCGGCTGGGGGCGAGGCCTCGGGGCTGGGAGGCCGGTCGCGCCTCCTGATTGGTCGGCGAGAAGAGCGCCGGGGCGGGGCTGACGGGGACGAGCGGCGCGGGGCGGGGGGCGGGGGCCGCGCGTTCCGCGAGGTTGCGCCCGGGACTGCGCTCCCGGGGCTGCGCGCCCGACTCGCGGCCGTACGCGCCTGCCCTGACAGGAGAGGGAGCGCTGCGGCTGCGGCGCGCACCCGCCAACCTCCGCGCGCACCGAGAGCGCCCCCGCTCGCGCCCCGCCACCGCCCCCGCCGCCCCCGCCGTCCCCGCCGTCCCCGGCCATCCCCTTCGCGACGAGCCCCGGCCGTACAGCCGCCTCCTTCTTCGCTCACTCAGGCCTCCGCGCCCCGTGCCCACATTGCCCGCTGTTCCGGCCCCAGCGCCCCGCGCTGCCCCTGCGCTCGCCCGGCGGGGGCGCCTCTGCCGGTCGCCGCGCTCCCCGGTCGCGCGTCTCACCTCTCGGTTCTCGCAGGCTGTCACGCCCGAGTCCCGTGGCTTCCCCCGAGAGCCGTCTCCGGAATGTCCCTTCTCCTGGCCCACCGCGGCCGCGCGCTTTTAGGATTTCTTGCCCTCGCAGCTCCCGCGGTCCCCTCGGCGGCAGTCCCTGGGGCTCCGCGATGTCTGTGCCCCGCAGCCTCCCGGGCGCCACTTCCCCGCGCGGCCGCCCCACGCTGCCCGTGCAGTCGCGCGCCCCGGGCCGGCCCCGGGCACCACTCCACCGCGACGGCCCCCACTTGTCCTTCCCGAGCTGCCGTCTTTCCCAGGGTCCGCTCACTGAGTCCCCACATGCCCAGCGTCGGACCTGACCCTCGGACAGGCGCGGCCCCAGACGCCGGGGACAGGGCAGTCAACAGAACAGACACAACTCCTCGCCTTCCTAGTTGGGGTAACGGGCAATACAAAAACAAGTAAATGGTGTGGCTGGTTGGAAGGTAAAGCAGGCAGGCCCTGGGGAGGCGGGGAGGAGCGAGGCTTTCAGGCTTGAAGGAGATGAGGGGCCACGAAGGTGGGACTGTACCTGAGGCAGGGACCCTGGTGTGTTTTGTGACCCTTGAGGAGACCCGGGTGGCTGGTGGGGCACAGGGAGGCGGGAGCTGCGGTCAGAGATAGTGGGCGCAGGGGAGCGGATTGAGCAGGGCCTTGCCGGCTTCCGTAAGGACTGTGGCTTTCCCTCTGGGCTAGGTGGGGACGCCTTGGAGGGGCTTGGAGCAGGGTAGTGACAGGGTCTCACATTTTAAAATAGTTCTCTGCTGCTGCGTGGTGGGGACCAGGTAGGAGGCCATTGCCATGATGCAGGCCGAGGGCAATAGAGTGAGGTGGTGGGAAGTGGCCGAATTCTGGATATGCTTTGAAGGTGGGACCAGCAGGATTGTCTGAAAATTGGATATGGGGTGTGAGAGAAAGAGAGAATCAAGGATGACTACAGCGTTTCCAGCTGGGCAACTGGAGGAATGATTTGCCATCCCCTGGGATACAGAAGACCTGGGGCATAGAAGATTTGGGGGAGAACGAGAGTCTGTTTTGGACGTGCTAAGCTCAAGATGTATGGGAGATAAAAATCCATGAATCAGGTGGGCTCCTGGGTACGAGGCTGGAGTGCAAGGGAGAAGTCTGGGCTGAAGCTCACATCTGGGCGCCGCCCACGTCTAGAGGCCATTTAAAGCCATGAGAAGGCAGGAAGGAAAGAGGATGGGACCCATGCTGGATCCAGGAGCCTCCGACACAGAAAGGCTGGGAGGAAGAGCCAGTGGAGGAGACAGAAGACGGGGACACCGAGGTCGGAAGCAATGGAAGCGTGGAAGCCAAGGGAAGGAGGTGAAGTGAGGAGCAGCATGAGGTCACAGGGCCCTCCTGCAGCCAGCAGTCCCTCCTCTGTGCCCTGGTCCAAGGCCTTCAGGGACCGGAATCGGCAGCCTCACTTGAGACCGCCCTTCGCAGTTTCTGTCCTCTGACCCCGGGCCCAGCACTGGATCCATGCAGCCTGTTGTTTGTTCTTACCACTAGTTTCCTGTTTAAATCATTTATTATTTTTTTCTTTTCCTTTTTTTTTTTTTTTTTTTTTTTGAGGCGGAATCTCCCTCTGTTGCCCAGGCTGGAGTGCAGTGCCGTGATCTCAGCTTACTGCAACCTCTGCCTCCTGGGTTCAAGCGACTCTCCTGCCTCAGCCTCCCAAGTAGCTAGGATCACAGGCGCCCACCACCACGCTCGGCTAATTTTTCTATTTTTAGTAGAGATGGGGTTTCACTAAGTTGACCAGGCAGGTCTCAAACTCCTGACCTCAGGCAATCTGCCCGCCTCGGCCTCTCAAAGTGCTGGGATTACAGGCATGAGTCACCGCGCCCTGCCAAATCAATTATGTTTTCTAAGCACGCTAATTTAAGAAAAATGCTAGTCAATAACAGCACAGATGGTCCCAAATAGGGTACAAGTCATCAGGGTGGTGCCAAAGTGACTGACTTGGGAACAGTGTCCCTCTACCTGCCTTTCTTCTATTTCCTCTGACCCGGCTCCACACTGCCACTGGAGTGGCCTTTATAAAACACAGATTTCTTGTCACTCAGTTATACTCACCATAAAGTCCACACTCCTGAGCTCAGCCTCCCCTTGGCGGCCCAGCACTTCCCTTACTGCTCACTCCCAAGCACCGTCCCCGCATTCCCTGCTCCTTCCCTCCATGCTTGGCCCACTCCACTCAACTTCCAGCCTGGCTCATTTCCTCCAGGTGGCCTTCCCAACCCTCTAGGCTGGACAAGGTGTCCTGTGGGATCCACAGCGCCTTCTGCATTGCCCATCACCATGTTTGTCTTATGGGCTTTCCTGTTTGTGTCTGTCTCCACCAAGTGTGAGCTTTTCCAGAGAGGGCAGCGGTTGTACCACCTTCATTTTTATGTTCCTGGTGCCTGGTATATACATAGAAAATATCCAGCAAATGTCTACTGAATGGATGCAGTCCTCTGCAGGCATGCGTTCTGCGCCCAGTCTCCTCCCTTCTGTAGCATAGCTAGGGCTCTTTTAAATGACCCCCCCCACCGTTGCAGAAGATGAAAGTCCTTGAGCCTAATACATGGTAGGCACAAAATAAATAGGGGATGAATGAAGAAATATCCAATCATAAAGCCAAAAACAAGAACAGGAAGAGCCTGAGGTTATTAGACCATAGCTGTAGTAATTAAAAACATTGGGTCTATTTTGTCAATTTGAATATGGGATTGTTTAGTTTGTCTCTAATAGCTCTCTAAAACAGAAATGAAAATCTCTATCTATGACCTGTTGCCATGAACCCTGTTTATTTCATTTTATTTTATCTGAGACAGGGTCTCACTGTGTTACTCAGGCTGGAGTGCAGTGGCACCATCACAGCTCACCGCAGCCTTGACTTCCCAGGCTCAAGTGATTCTCCCACCTCAGCCTCCTGAGTAGCTGGGGCTACACGTGCACACCACCACACCTGGCTAGTGTGTATGTGTGTGTGTGTGTATGTTTTGTAGAGACAGGGTCTCACCATATTGCCCAGGCTGGTCTTGAACTCCTGTGCTCCAACGATCCTCCCATCCTCCCAGCCTCCCAAAGTGCTGGGATTACAGATGTGAACCACCATGCCTGGCCTACCCTCTTCATTTTTAAGTTCTTTACTATTTGTTTAAATTATTAAAGTAATATATGCACATAGTTTTTATGGAAGAAAAAATGCTGGGCGTGCTGGCTCACGCCTGTAATCCCAGAGCTTTGGGAGGCCGATGTGGGCAGATCACCTGAGGTCAGGGGTTTGAGACCAGCCTGGCCAACATGGTGAAACCCCATCTCTAACAAAAATACAAAAATTAGCCGGGCATGGTGGTGGGTATCTGTATTCCCAGCTACTCGGGAGGCTGAGGCAGGAGAATCGCTTGAACCCAGAAGGCGGAGGTTGCAGTGAGCCAAGATCGCGCCACTGCACTCCAGCCTGGGTGACAACAAGACTCCATCTCAAAAATAAAAAAAGATAGAAAGGGATTAGGAACGGGACAAAGAAAGGAGAAAGGAAGAAATTGAAGCTCTGCAGAAGGATACAGAATGCAGTCCCTGGCCTCCTCCATTCCCAGCCCCTAATCCTTGAGACAACCACTGTGAACAATTTGTGTTGATCTTTCCAGATATCTTCTGTCTGTACAAGCACTCACATGGTTTATTTTCTTAGACAAATGGGATTCGGACTGCACAATCTTCCACAGCTTGCTTGTTTTTCCTTTCTATGGTTTAAACATTTTCCACATCAGCACATAGAAATCTAGTTCACTTTAAAAAATGGCTGTATGGTGTTTCCTTGAATGGCTATATGATAACTTGAATGTATTGGTGAGCAATTAGGGTTTTTTCCCCTAGCTTTTCTTAATTACAAACATTCACAATAACACATTCCTCTAACTACATTTTTGCACACTTGATCAGGTATTGCCATAGGATAAATTCCTAGAATCGGAGTTACTGAGAAAAGGGAATGCACAGCTGCCATTTGGTTTTTTGTTTGTTTGTTTTTTGAGATGGAGTTTGGCTCTTGTTGCCCAGGCTGGAATGCAGTGATGCAATCTCTGCTCACTGCAACCTCCACGTCCCGGGTTCAAGTGATTCTCAAGCCTCAGCCTCCAGAGTAGCTGGGATTACCAGTACCTGCCACCACACCCGGCTAATTTTTGTATTATTAGTAGAGATGGTGTTTTGCCATGTTAGCCAGGCTGGTCTCACACTCCTGACCTCAGGTGATCCACCCATCTCGGCCTCCCAGAGTGCTGGGATTACAGGCATGAGCCACTGCCACCGCACCTGGCCTGCAGCTGCCATTTTCCTGGCTCTTGCCGGATTGTTTTCCAAAAGGCTGCTCTTATTTAGATTCCTACCACAGAATATCAGACTGCCTACCGTGCCGCACCCTAGACAACCGTGGGCAACATTGAAGTTTGCTTGGCTAGTCTATTCGATGAAAAATGGGATCTCGTTGTTTTGAATTGCTTTTTTTTTTAAGTTATGAGTGAGGTTTTTCATCTTTTTATTTGTTTGGCAATAATCTTTTTAAACTCAAAGGTAGTGTTTTTTCAAAGAAAGAGGATCTTTGAAGGTACCTTCCCAAGCCATGAGTTTCAGAGTAGAGAACTAATTTGGGACCCCCGCTCCCATTGGAGACCATATGGTACGGTACTAACAGGCTCATGGGTGCATTGAGTGGGGTTGGGAGGTGGCTAGTAGATTTAGAGTTACAAGACCTGGGTTCTAGTCCAGGTTCTTCTATTGACCAGCAGGGTGATCTCAGTAGAGTCACTGCACCCCTGTCACAGAGTTCTCTGAGCGCGTCCTGAATCTCAGGCACCTGGCATTGCCTGTGCTTTTCCTCTCTCCCTTGCCACCCAAGTTACATCTTTAGTGGCCAACTTCAAATGCCAGCTCTTCCAGGAACCCTTCCCATCCCAGTAGGAGGACTCCCCAAGCACCTCCGCTGTCCTTCGTGAAGCCACTCATCGCAAGTGGCTCTGCCTTTACTTGACTCAGTTCCGCACAATTCCGAGGGAGGAACTGAGGCAGATACAGATTCACATGCCAGGGCTGCCTCTGATTTTTATCTTTAGTCTACTTCGCTGCCAGTCCTTGCTTTTCTTATCTGTAAAACATGGAAAATACATCAAGAGACGTGGAGTTAACTATGAATAAAGTACTTAAAGACTCACACAATGCCTGGCAGACAGACGCTGGCAGATGGCGTTCATCTTCTTTAAAGACTAGGCAGTAGGAACCCTGTCCAATTCCTCCACATCCTTGTTGGTTGGACATGTTACCTAATCCATGTGTGGAATTCCCCACATTCAGGGACTTCAGCCCTGATGAAACAGCCCATATTGAAGGGACATCTCAGGGGGCTGAAAGATGATGGCAGAGCCTTCACCCTGACATCCAAGCACCTGTCCCCCCAGTTCATCAGAACCCGGGGTCTCAAGGTCGTGCCAGTGCGAGATGAAAGTCTTTCCACTCCGGAGAAACTGGTGTGGGAGGCAGGGAGTGTAAAATCTCCACCCTCACCACCAGCTCTGTGACAAAGTTTCTTACCCTCTGAGCCTCACTTTCCTCAGCTGTGGGATACGGGATAATCATTCCTATCACCAAAGGTTGTGTTTGTTTTGGTTTAAGAAAAGTATCTCAGACAATGCCAGGCACATTTCAGGAACTAGGTCAATATTAAACTTTCCACCTCCCCATTTTCCCTCACTGTAGCATAAGCTGCTTAAGGGACAAAAACTATATCTCATATTTTTAAAACGTCCTCATCATCTGGCATAGAGACAAGCATATGGTAGATGATCAACAATTACTGTAGTTATTCAGGATGATAATGACATGTACCTTCTTTTGGCAGAATTCAGTGCTCAATGTGATCACATACCTGAGCTCATTTGATTCTTAAAACAACCCTTGGAAGTAGACAGGGTTCTACCCACCTTGTAGATGGAGAAACAAAGTCCAGAGAGATCAAATAACGCAATTCAGTCTCATAGTCAATAAGTTTGGGACTAGAACCCAGATATCTTGTTTCCAAACCCCGTATTTTCCTTCTAGTGGTGGTACTGCCAATGGGTGGGTGTTTCTGCATGAGATTTTGGGTTCAGCCCACAGCACTCATTACAGAGCACCTGGACACGTGGCAGCCGTGGCAGGTGCTAGTGACAGTGTCTGGCTCAGAAGATGGCATTTGATTACTCTCTAAGTTGATTCTCAAACTTAGAGAACACACTGACTGTGGATTAGCTCTCGGTTGTTTGGTATCCACAGGCTCTGTTTTCCTGTGTCTTCCGTGACACTGTCTTGAGCGTGCTTGCTTATGAAGGTTTGACACCCGTCCCCACCATACCTGCCTGCCACTGCCAGGATGACTGGAGTCTCAGGTGAGTCTTGTCAAATACTTGGGACTTGACCCAGACCCAGTTGCCAAGAAGCCAGCAGCCAGCTCTCCCTGTTTCAGAATGTAGGCAGAAGCAGCTATGTCATGTTGGGTGTCACCCACTTGTTGGCAGCTAGAAGAACCTAGGTCTCTCACATTCTTTTCCTGTGGCTTCACTGTAGAGTGATCATTCCAAGGGAGGCTCAATAGTTGCAACACAGTTACCAAAAAGCCCTGGGCTCAAGCGCCCTGGCCTTAACCTCCAGTGAACCTCTCTTGCTTCTGACTGACACCGAGTGGGGTGGAGCCATTTGGCTCAATGCCATTTCAAGCAAACACCCCAAACAGGGGAGCTGAGAGGCTGTGGTGAGGCTTGCTGGCTCACAGGTGCATATTTCACTCTTTGAAGAAAGGGTTATTAATGATCAAACATCTCTATTATAAAATAATGTCCATTTAAAATTGTTGGAGCTGCTGGGTGTGGTGGCTCACGCCTGTAATCCCAGCACTTAGGGAAGCCAAGGCAGGTGGATCACCCGAGGTCAGGAGTTCAAGACCATCCAGCCTGATCAACATGGTGAAACCCCGTCTCTACTAAAAATACAAAAATTAGCCGGGCATGGTGGTACATGCCTGTAATCCTAGCTACTTGGGAGGCTGAGGCAGGAGAATCACTTGAACCTGAGAAGCGGAGGTTGCAGTGAGCCAAGATCGCGCCATTGCACTCCAGCCCGGGCGACAAGAGTGAAACTCCATCTTAAAAAAAAAAAAATTGTTGGAGCATCTCACCACATTTTAGTACAAGAGAGATTTATCTTTGCTTTATAGGTAGGGAAAAAGCAAAGAGGGATTAAATCATCCAGCCAAAATTGACATTTTATTAACTGTGTTTTTACAGTAATCCCTCCCCAGCTGCCAGCTCCCTTACTTGAAGTCTGAGCCTTTTGCAACCCATGTTGATATGTCTTTTCTAAACCATGATATTACTGATTTCAATATCTGTACTTTTGAGTTGATTCCCGTAGTATTAATATAGTCACTGATTTTAACATTAATTTTAACTTAAAGGTTTTGTTTTAATCTGCTGTGACCAAATCTGGAATCACTATAGCTGTAAATAAGTAGATTTATCTAGTATGTTAAATGAACAAATGTAAAATGTTCCATACAGCACAGGAGCTTTCAAATCAGTGGGCATCACTGTTGGTGATGATTAGAAAAAGGAAGAGCTAGAGGCTGAAAAAAGGTAAAGGGAAAAATCAGGAGTTTTTTTTTTTTTCTGAGACCGAGTCTAGCTCTGTCGCGCAGGCTGGAGTACAGTGGCACGATCTTGGCTCACTGCAACCTCCGCCTCTTGGGTTCAAGCAATTCTCCTGCCTCAGCCTCCCAAGTAGCTGGGATTACAGGCGCCTGCCACCACGCCCAGCTAATTTTTGTATTTTTAGTAGAGACGGGGTTTCACTGTGTTGGCCAGGCTTGTCTTGAACTCCTGACCTCAGGTGATCCGCCGGCCTTGACCTCCCAAAGTTGCTGGGATTACAAGCGTGACAAGCGTGAACCACCGTGCCTGGCCAAATCAGGAGAATTTTGTGATAAGCATCAGAGGGAAAAGAAGGGAAGCAGGTCTTGGAGTTTTGGGATTGCTCTTCAGGAGTGGCAGAGACTTGTGTGTGTTGGGCCTGAAATTATCATGGGCACAACCATGCTCTCCTGGTTTAGAACTGGGGAGCTCCTTGAGCATTATTTACTTAGGTATTGTGGTCCTTTTAATAAAAGTTCCTCAAGGCATCATAAAACCTCAAGTTACTCTGCTCTGGGGCCATTATGGGGATCAGCAGACGGCAGGCACTAACTGACACGAAATTAGAGAGCTGTTCGTGTAGATGGAGGACCAGGTAACATGCAAAAGCCAAATCTTAGTATGCATAGGATTCTTAATAAAGCTAAATAAATGTAGTCATCGCATTGAAAATGCAGAGAAGAGCAAACCTGGAAAGTTTCTGATGAGCTGGTAAGTGGAAATTAATTGTATAAAACTTGTAATTACAAACTAGATGTGTAACATTTCCTAGATATGCTTCTTTGGTATGTGGCCTCTATTATCATTGTGATATTTTTCCTGTAAGATCTCAAGTTTCTTAATCTTAAAATCTACCAAGCTGTCAGGTTGGGGAGGGAGCGCTAACAGTAGTGCCTACCTGCCCTGTGGGTACTGGCATCTGTGTGCACAGAAAGCTCATGGGCCAGCACAAGGAGGCTCCATCTAGAGACCCAGGCATGTGGCACAGACGGTGCATGCCCTTACGGAGGTCTGAGCTCTGTGCTCGGAAACCATGAACTCTGCTTGGGGAGCTGAGGTAGGGAGGGTTGAAGGGAGATGGCATAGAGCAAGAGTCCTAAAGGAAGAAGAGAGAGAAGGACATTTCTGATAGAGCATACAACACAGGCAAAGGCCTCAGGGTGTGAGAGGCCATGGCTTGCCTGAGATCGAGGGCGCAAGGCAGGGCGGGGGATGGGAAAAGTGTTGGGGCCACACTCTGATAGCTCAACCAGAACACACTGTCTCTTGCCTCTAGGCAACAGGAGCCTTGGGAGGATGCTGCATATTGTGGGGGTGGGGGGGGTGGGGGGTGGGTTTAGACCCGATTTGGGAAAATAACTGGCAGAGGGGCAATGTGTGTTGGAGGGGAGAGAGCTTTGCAGCTCCTGGGAGAACACGAGGAGCGCCAGAGCTGGGCAGTGACTGTCGAAGGAGGGCGGAGTCCAGAGGTGCTTGGTGGTAGAAAGTCAGCGAAGTGAGGATGAGATTTGGAGGTGACAGGGAGGGAGGGGCTGGAGATTTATGACTTGGCGCAATTAGGTGGACGGGGCTGTCACTGAGTCAGGGAAGGCAGAGGAAGAACAGGTTTGGGGTGGAGGCATGGAGGAGGGGTGGTGAGGATATATGCTAGTTGTAAATGATCTAGTTTTCTTCTGAGCAGCTTTTGGGCTCCTTAGATTCCAAACTGACATCACCAGGGGTTGAGTCTTGGTGAGGCAGCACGGTAGGCTGGCCAAGCCCACAGACTTCAGCCAACAGCCTGGAATCAGAGCCCGGCTCCATGCTTACCAACACGGCCCTGGGGATGTAATTGAACCTCTGTGTGTCTCCAGGTCGTCCTTTGTACAATATTACAGGACCGTAGGGCTGCTAAAAGTATGGATAAAAGAGTCCATACATGTGAAATGCCTGGCCCACTCTAAGCACTATATAAATATTTGATATGGCCACAGGAATGCCAGGGGCGAAACTTAGGCCCATTTCCTCCTTCTGTCTTCAAATAACTTCAGTTTGACTCAAAACCAACATTTGTAGGCAGACAACTGAGCCCATTCACAGAATGGTGAAATCACTGAATAGTGAAAACAGTACAGCAGTAGCTGATCAGAAAGTGGGAAGCTTTTTGTAATTTTCCCCTTTCTCATCACTACTTTCATCAAAGCATTTACTGAACATCTGTTGGATTTAGGGTTCTGTAGGAGCCATGTCTCACGAAAGCCTGTCTAGTTAGTAAACCAGGACACACATAAGCAGGCTATGATAATGTCAAAAATAGGCTGTGCTGTAGGTGCGGAGGAATTGAAGAAAGTGAGTGGAGACAGAATGATCTGAGGGGTGCAGGATCCTGGGTCCCTACCCTTCCTGGGCAGCAGTGGGAGATGGGAGGGCGTGATAGAGCTGGGTTCTAAGAGGCCATTCCACAGCTCTGACCCTTGGGCTGTGGTGAGGAGGGGCAGGCGAAACCAACATTACTGACTTTACTACCTGATTCCCATTCCACATGAGGGCCGTGGGCTGCACTTAGCACGGGGCAATTGCAACAAAACAAAACAACAAAAAACAAAACCAGTTTTAGAGCGGAAGAGCTGACCCTGTGAACTGCTGTGGCAGGATGGACAGTGGAGGGGGAAGAGGCACAGAGCCCACCTCCCTACCCCCGGGGGCTCTGGGGCCGGAGCAGGTGACCGCTTGGGACCAGAGGAGCCTTTCCAGGGAGATTTTTATTCTGGTGTCAGTTGCTAAGGAGAGAAAGGTAAAAATAAGTATTCATGTTTTACAACATTTTCTTATCCTCGAACATGGCAAAGAATACATTTTTTTCCTACTTTAAACCTTGGGGGGAGTTTTAAAAATTCAGGACCACCTTTTTCATTGTAGGTAATGTTTAACTTACTTACTTAATTTAAATTAATGTGGACAACAATGGTGACAAAAGGCAACTGCGTTTAAGTGGTATTCTAACTAAAAATTCCTTTGGGAGTGTCTGCAAGTCACCCAGTTCAACGCAAATATCCATAAAACATGTACTAATTGTCCCAGAAGGGAATGATTGTTTCAGAAGGGCAGAAGGCCAACTGAGCTGAAATACCAGGTTCTTAATTTATAAAGTCAATAAAAGCACTCTTTTGTAAGCTCTTCTGAAGTCATAGCATATTATCAGGTAAGTCTGGCACTAAAGCTCTTTATGCTTAAATACTTCACAAGGGCACGAAACAAGGGAACATACACTTAGAGCTGCTTGAATTCGTTTTGTGAGAGACTTAATACTGTGTGAATTTACTCAGCTTTCAGGAACACAGAGGCATTTTAATTTTTTTAAAAAGTCACCAGCTACATACTCAAGATAAAAACACACACTCTTAACTACCTGCAGTTTATAATAATCCACAGAACTTTTACAGCAGGCCTACTTTGGAAACTGTATTCAAGGTCTTGCTGAAGATTCGGGAAATCATGCTCCTTTCTTATTTAAACAATATGTTGTCTTCTTGTGTGAATAGAGGGATGAATTAATACTCCTTTTTTTTTCTAGGTGGCTTTGTGCCAATGGAGGGAAAAAGAAAGATAACAAGGAACTAGACACTGTGGGTGAACTCCTGGCCTCCTGCTGCGAGGCGCCTGAGGACCCTGGGCTCTCCCTCCTCGGTTTGGGCTTCAGAGGACCCTGGGCTCTCCCTCCTCGGTTTGGGCTTCAGAAGGTGGCTCCACTTCTGGGTGGCAGTGACAGGCAGACCTGCTGAGAGCCCAGAGAGAAATACTACCCTGCAGGGAGATAAGGTCATCAACCTGCCACCACTGGTATATTCCCATAATAATGTCCACTGGTCCCAGTCGAGAGGCACCCACTCCTTTTCCTCTTGTCTAACACAGGAGTCTCGAGCTGCCTAAAGAAACCCATTTTTGGGAAGAGGATTAAAAACAAACAAACAAACAACAAAACTGTGCTCCAAATGTATATAACCCTGTAGATTAATGAAACATTTGGGCCAAAGTTCTGTATTCTCATAGGCAAAGACTCTCATAGTATTAATATATTCACTGATTTTAAATTATTTTTAACTTAAAGGTTTTGTTTTAATCTGCTGTGATGAAATCTTGGATCACTATAGCTGTAAATGAGTAGATTTATCTAGATATGTTAAATGAACAAATGTAAAATGTTCGATACAGCACAGGTGCTTAATAAGTTGGCTTCAGAGCCGTGTTTTTCCAACATGTTCTGATGATCCAAGTTTGATACTTAAGACAATTAAAAACAAGAAATTTAACTTAGTTTCAGCACATGTATGGTATATATATTTGTATGGCTATGAGCTTAGGCTGGTCGTAGACATAAGACAATTGAAGCACTCTTTTCCACAGGTATCGGCCGCATTCTGTTTCACTCCCTATAAGCATTTGATTTTGCACTACAGGTATTACTGAGACCATGTGGAATCTCACTTAGTTTTATTTCCCTTTAGGGTAGTTGCCTAAATCATAAAATTATGCTTCACTGTAGTGGTAGGAAATCTAATTTATTTATTTATAAGATGGAGTCTCATTCTGTTGCCCAGGCTAGAGTGCAGTGGCATGATCTCAGCTCACTGCAACCTCTGCCTCCTGGGTTCAAGCGATTCTCCTGCCTCAGCCTCTCAAGTAGCTGGGATTACAGGCACCTGCCACAAACTCTCAGCAAATTTTTGTATTTTTAGTAGAGACAGGGTTTCACTATGTTGGCCAGGCTGATCTTCAACTCCTGACCTCAAGTGATGCACCCACCTTGGCCTCCCAAAGTGCTGGGATAACAGGCATGAGCCACCCTGTGCCCACACCTGGCCAAGAAATAATCTAATTTTTTTAAAAAGACATAAAATGTGTTCATGAAAGAGATTCCACCCAAATCAACACATAAATCACTCTAGTGGCAAAGTAGTTTATTTATTATGTTTCCTTAAAGGAGATTAAGACTCGACTCCTCTCCCAGCCGGGGCAGCCCGGGAACTCAGCGCCCCCCTCCAGTGGTGCCCAGAGCCTCCCAGCGCCATGTCCATCTCTCTTCCTCTTGGCATCCATTGTGGCACTCAGCCCACCTCTGCCTCATTTCATGATTGTGTGCTTTTGTAGTTTAGAAACAGCTGCGGCAAGCATTTAGGTAAAGGCCTCAAGCAGACAACCTACAGGGTGCTCCGTGTCAGTGCAGGTGCCTGGGCAGAGAAGCTGCGGCACAGCTGCAGAGGTGGCCCTGGGGGTGGCGGGGGCCTCTGCTATCAGGAGGATGTGGAAGGCCACTGTGGGGCAGCCCTGCACGGGACAGAGGGCTTTTGGGACCACGGGAACTGAGAGGAGCCGTTAGGAGGGGGTCACGGGCTGCAAGTTCCACAGTGGGGCCCTGTTGTCCCAGCCAGCAGAAGCACCAGTGACTGTCCCACCCTGGAGCCTGGAGCGAACCAGAGGACTTGTTAAAACAGATTGTTGGACCCACACTGTGTTTCTGGATTGGGAGTCAGGAGTAGGCCTGAGAATGTGCATTTCTAATGAGTGCCCAGGTAATGCTGATGTCACTGGTCCAGGGACCACACTTTGAGAACCAATGTGATAATCAAGAAATGTCTTTTGAATCAAATTTACTAAAATATTCATAAACCTTTCTCCACCCGAAGGATGCAAACGAAAGGGAGACACAGAGACTGTCAAAGCTATAGGCAGTCTGCAGGTGATGATTTTATTTTTTTAAATGTGGTTTGGAATCTGGAGTCTGAGACCTGGACCCAAATCTCACCACAGCTTTGTGCTGGCTGAGCACCCTGGGAAGGAAGGTAACTTCACAGCGGAACCCCTAGCCCCACACCTATTATCTAAAGACGATTGCATGGCCCCCAGAACAGTGGGGACTGAATTTCGTATGGCAGGACCTCATCTGAATATACAGTAGGTGCTCAATACGTGCTATTACCCTCTTCCCTTTTTGGCAGTAGACAGATAAGCTTTTTCTATGACTGATACCATTTTTAGATGTGAAAACACTGACTCCTAGAGAGTAACATTTCATCACTAGCCTTCAATGGTAATTCATACAATTGGAAATGCATGGAAAGCCATATTTTTCACTTCCTTCTCCTCTCTTGTTAATCTTATCTCATATTCATGGGTGGCCCAAAACTTTTCATAGCTTTGAGCGCTCTGTCCCAATATTTTTAAGTACATGGAACTTGTTAGCAACTTTGATTTTTTTATTCAAAGGAAGTGCCATAACACTTCAAATCATGTCAATTCCATGACACTCATCTTCAAAAAAGATCTTTCAGTTCAAATCTTAGAAAGCAAGTTTTTAAATTATAAAAGATATGCTTCTTATATTCTCCAAATCCTGCTCCTGAACAGGGATATTGTTTCAATAGTTTGTTCCTTTTTCACAGCTGAGCAGTGTTTCATTGTATGGATATCCACCATGTGTTTATCCATTCACCTGCTGATGGCTGTTTGGGTTGTTTTCCCTTTTTTTTGCTATTCCAAATAAAGTTGCTATGAATATTTGTATACAAGTCTTTGTGTGGAAACATGCTTTTATTTTTCTTGGGTAGACACCTAGTAGTGGAATGGCTGGGTCACATGGTAGGTCTAATTTTCACTTTTAAGAAACTACCAAACCAGGCTGGGCGCAGTGGCTCACATCTGTAATTCCAGCACTTTGGGAGACAGAGGTGGGAGGATCACCTGAGGTCACGAGTTCAAGACCATCCTGAGCAGCATAGCAAGACCCCATCATCTTTACAAAAAAATAAAATGTCTATTGAATCAAATTTACTTAATATTCACAAACTTTTCTCCACCGGAAGGATGTGAAGAAGGGGAGACAGAGACTGTTAAAGCTATAGGCAGTCTGCAGGTGATTTTTTTTTTTTTAATGTGGTTTGGAATCTGGAGTCGGAGACTTGGGCCCAAATCTCACCACAGCTTTGTGCTGGCTGAGCATCCTGTATATAATTTAAATCAATGTGTAAGTCTCATTATAAAAAGTTACAAAAATTAGGCTGGGCACGGTGGCTCACGCCTGTAATCCCAGCACTTTAGGAGGCCAAGGCGGGTGGATCACGAGGTCAGATCGAGACCATCCTGGCTAACACGGTGAAACCCCATCTCTACTAAAAATTCAAAAATTAGCTGGCGTGGTGGTGGGCGCCTGTAGTCCCAGCTACTCAGGAGGCTGAGGCAGGAGAATGGCATGAAGCCGGGAGGCGGGGCTTGCAGTGAGCCGAGATCGTGCCACTGCACTCCAGCCTGGGCGACAGAGTGAGACTCTGTCTCAAAAAAAAAAAAAAAGTTGCAAAAATTAAAAAATATTAAAAGTTGTAGTCAGCCAGGCGTGGTGGCTCATACCTGTAATCCCAGCACTTTGGGAGGCTGAGGTGGGAGGATCACTTGAGCCGAGAATTTCAAGACTAGCCTAGGCAACATACTGAGACCTCTGTCTCTACAAAAAATAAAAAATTTAGCTGGATATGATGGCACATGCCTGTGGTCTCAGCTAGTCAGGCTCAGGAGGAGCATTTGAGCCAGGGAGTCAAAGCTGCAGTGAGCCAAGGTCACACCACTGTACTCCAGCCTGGGTGACACAGCAAGACCCTGTCTCAAAAAAAAAAAAAAAAAAAAAAAAAAAAAGAAAAGAAAAAAGAAAACCTTACAATAAGTGAAACAGGTAGAGAGTAACAAAATACATTCAATTCAAAATGAACTCTCTAACCACTGCTCACATCCCCACTACGGTGTACTCATCAGAGTAGTCAGTGATACTTTTATGATATACGTTGGATCACATCATTCTTTTGTTTAAAAATTTCCAGTGGCTTCCTGTGACATTTGAGAAAAAAGCCAACCGTGGTAAGGTCATCCTTACCGTGACCTCAGAGCAACCTCTACCATCCCACCTGCCCATCTGCTCTCCCTCTCCCCTTTATCCACAGTGCTCCAGCCACTCTGGACACCCTGCCAGTCCTTGACTGCATCCAGCATGCCCCTGCTCAGAACCTCTGCACATCTTTCCTCTGCCTGGGCTGATCTCCCCCTGGATGGCTGCATGGCTGCTCGTGCTACTGTGTTCCAGGCAAGTTGGTCTCTGCTCTAATGCCACTGCCCCAGAGGATCCTCCCTCAGCCGCCCTTTAAAAAATGGCCTACCTTATCATTTATCTTTTCTTGCTTTTTCTTCATTGTACTTAATTCCCTCAAAAATAATATATATTTTTACTATCAGCTTTCACCTAGTTGGAACCTATGATCTTTAAAGGTGGGGGTCTTGTTCAGTGCTGTATCCCCAGTGCTTAGAACATGCCTGAACACAGGAGTTGCTATCTGTTGCATGCATAAATGAACTCAGAACAAGAATGCCTGATTTTCCAATGTCCATACCAGGTTTTACACATCTTTATAATCTTTGCCAATCCAGTATGTGGGAAACAGTATTCATTTCAATTTGTATTTCTTGAGTATAAGTGAGGTCGAGTATCCTATGATGTTTTTTGGCTTGGCCTTCAGAAAACTAATTTTTCTTTTCTTTTTTTTTTTTTTGAGACAGAGTCTTGCACTGTCACCCAGGCTGCAGTGCAGTGGCGCAATCTCGGCTCACTGCAAGCTCCGCCTCCTAGGTTAACGCCATTCTCCTGCCTCAGCCTCCTGAGTAGCTGGGACTACAGGCGCCCGCCACCATGCCCGGCTAATTTTTTGTATTTTTAGTAGAGACGGGGTTTCACCATGTTAGCTAGGATGGTCTCGATCTCCTGACCTCGTGATCCGCCCACCTCGGCCTCCCAAAGTGCTGGGATTACAGGTGTGAGCCACCGCGCCCGGCCTCAGAAAACTAATTTTTCATATCCCTTACTCAGTTTGCTTTTTTCCTTTTGCTTTGCAAGAGCTATTGATACATTAAAGAAATTATTTCTTTGTCCACCATATGCTGCAAAAATTGACTTTGCCATTCCAAGATCATCAAAGCATTCATATTTGTTTTCTACTAATACTTTTATATTTTTACATATGAAAGATTATGTTTAGATCTTTGATCCATCTGGGATTTACTCTGGGGCATAAAGAATAATGAAGGGATCTAGTTTAAAAAATAAATTTAGCTTTAAAATACGATGAGTATACATTTCTGGATACAATTATACAATTTGCTATTGTTTTAACTTTCTCTTAGAATGTTCATACTCTGAAAAATAAAATCAAATGAAGCTCACCTGCTTTACAATATACATTTTTCTAAGCACACTTGATATATATGTAAATATGTGTCAGAGTCTATACATATATATGCAGTATTTTCCACAATTCTCTGGAATGTTATATTAAAATCTGATGTTATTATCACTATTAAAATATTTTTCCAGAAAGTTTCTATTTCATTTTCTCAATGTCGTCTCACTTTCTTGGATCTTGATTTCTTTCTTTTTACACTGTATTTTTTCTCAAAAAGTTTCTTCTCAACTAAGCTCACTTCTTCATGGAGAAGGGAAGTCTTTATTCTGAGCAGGAAGGAGAAGAGATTTAGTATAAACTGATAACTCAGAGAATAATTTGATTCTTCATAGGTTGTCACATGTGTACAATAGCTAGAAGGGAAAAAGAAAAAAGAATTTATCTTTAGATGGTAACCAAGAAATGCACACACTAACCCCTGAACATCCCCCCAAATAACTTAGCAAATATATATGGTTAGGCTTAAAACAGGACCCTGAGCTGGAAGGAAACTTAGAAGAATTTGTTAACTCCTTAACTGCACAAAGGAAAACATGTTCACACTGTCCATGGCCACCACACAAGGGCCACAGGTGGTGCTAAGAGCTGGTCCTTCAACTCTTTGCTCAAAGTTTCTTCACTCCAGATGGGCCACCACTCCACTTTCTTACCATGGTCAAGGCAAACAAAAGCACACAGGGAGAGATTCTGAACATATTTCTAAAACAAACTAAAGAAAACAAATAATTCCTGACTTCCACCCAAAATAAGACACTAGACTTTATAATGTAGCTTGCAATACTATATGTATTGTGAGAGAAGAGTTTACCAAGCAATTTCCATTATTTTAAAATAGGAAAGCCTTCCGTTACAAGATGGCTGAACAGGAACAGCTCTGGTCTGCAGCTCCCAGCATGATCAGAAGACGGGTGATTTCTGCATTTCCAGCTGAGGTACCTGGTTCATCTCACTGGGACTGGCTGCACAGTGGGTGCAGCCCACGGAGGGTGAGCCGAAGCAGGGCGGGGCATCACCTCACCTGGGAAGGGATTTCCCTTTCCTAGCCAAGGGAAGCCATGACAGACTGTACCTGGAAAATCGGGACACTCCCACCCAAATACTGCGCTTTTCCAATGGTCTTAGCAAACGGCACACCAGGAGATTATAACCTGAGCCTGGCTCAGCTGGTCCCTCGCCCACGGAGCCTTGCTCACTGCTAGTGCAGCAGTCTGAGATTGACCTGCGAGGCAGCAGCCTGGCAGGCGGAGGGGCGTCCACCATTGCTGAGGCTTGAGTAGGTAAACAAAGCGGTCAGGAAGCTCAAACCGGGCAGAGCCCACTGCAGCTCAGCAAGGCCTGCTGCCTCTGTAAACTACACCTCTGGGGGCAGCACACAGCTGAACAAAAGGCAGCAGAAACTTCTGCAGACTTAAACGTCCCTGTCTGACAGCTCTGAAGAAAGCAGTGGTTCTCACAGCATGGTGTTTGAGCTCTGAGAACAGACAGACTGCCTCCTCAAGTGGGTCCCTGACCCCCGTGCAGCCTAACTGGGAGACACCTCCCAGTAAGGGCCGACTGACACCTCATACAGGCAGGTGCCCCCTGGGACAAAGCTTCCAGAGGAAGGATCAGGCAGCAATATTTGCTGTTCTGCAGCCTCCACTGGTGATACCCAGGCAAACAGGGTCTGGAGTGGACTTCCAGCAAACTCCAACAGACCTGCAGCTGAGGGACCTGACTGTTAGAAGGAAAACTAACAAACAGAAAGGAGTAGCATCAACATCAACAAAAAGGACATCCACAACAAAACCTCATCTGTAGGTCACCAACATCAGAGACCAAAGGTAGATAAAACCACAAAGGTGGGGAGAAACCAGAGCAGAAAAGCTGAAAATTCTAAAAACTGGAGCACTTCTTCTCCTCCAAAGGATTGCAGCTCCTTGCCAGCAACGGAACAAAGCTGGATGGAGAATGACTTTGACGAGCTGACAGAAGTAGGCTTCAGAAGGTCGGCAATAACAAACTTTTCTGAGCTAAAGGCAGATGTTCAAACCCATCGCAAGGAAGCTAAAAACCTTGAAAAAAGATTAGACGAATGGCTAACTAGAACAAACAGCGTAGAGAAGACCTTAAATGATCTGATGGAGCTGAAAACCATGGCATGAGAACTATGTGACACATGCACAAGCTTCAATAGCCGATTCGATCAAGTGGAAGAAAGGGTATCAGTGATTGAAGATCAAATTAATGAAATAAAGTAAGAGAGAAGTTTAGAGAAAAAAGTAAAAAGAAACAAACAAAGCCTCCAAGAAATATGGGACTATGTGAAAAGACCAAATCTACATTTGATTAGTGTACCTGAAAGTGACGGGGAGAATGGAACCAAGTTGGAAAACACTCTGCAGGATATTATCCAGGAGAACTTCCCCAACCTAGCAAGGCAGGCCAACATTCAACTTCAGGAAATACAGAGAACACCACACAAAGATACTCCTTGAGAAGAGCAACCCAAGACACATAACTGTCAGATTCACCAAGGTTGAAATGAAGGAAAAAATGTTAAGGGCAGTCAGAGAGAAAGGTCGGTTACCCACAAAGGGAAGCCCATCAGACTAACAGCTGATCTCTCGGCAGAAACTCTACAAGCCAGAAGAAAGCGGGGGACAATATTCAACATTCTTAAAGAAAAGAATTTTCAACCCAGAATTTCATATCCAGCCAAACTAAGCTTCATAAGTGGAGGAGAAATAAAATCCTTTACAGACAAGCAAATGCTGAGAGATTCTGTCACCACCAGGCCTGCCTTACAAGAGCTCCTGAAGGAAGCACTAAACATGGAAAGGAGCAACCGGTATCAGCCGCTGCAAAAACATGCCAAATTGTAAAGACCATCAAGGCTAGGAAGAAACTGCATTAACTAATAGGCAAAATAACCAGCTAACATCATAATGACAGGATCAAATTCACACATAACAATATTAACCTTAAATGTAAATGGGCTAAATGCCCCAATTAAAAGACACAGACTGGCAAATTGGATAAAGAGTCAAGACCCATCAGTGTGCTGTATTCAGGAGACCCATCTCACATGCAGAGACACACATGGGCTCAAAAAAAAGGGATGGAGGAAGATCTACCAAGCAAATAGAAAGCAAAAATAGCATGGGTTGCAATCCTAGTCTCTGATAAAACAGACTTTAAACCAACAAAGATCAAAAGAAATAAAGAAGGCCATTACATAATGGTAAAGGGATCAATTCAACAAGAAGAGCTAACTATCCTAAATATATAGGCACCCAATACAGGAGCACTCAGATTCATAAAGCAAGTCCTCAGAGACCTACAAAGACTTAGACTCCCACACAATAATAATGGGAGACTTTTAACAACCCACTGTCAGTATTAGACAGATTAACGAGACAGAAGGTTAACAAGGATAGATATCCAGGACTTGAACTCAGCTCTGCACCAAGTGGACCTAATAGACATCTATAGAACTCTCCACCCCAAATCAACAGAATATACATTCTTCTCAGCACCACATCACACTTACTCCAAAATTGACCACATAGTTGGAAGTAAAGCACTCCTCAGCAAATGTAAAAGAACAGAAATCACAACAAATGGTCTCTCAGACCACAGTGCAATCAAATTAGAACTCAGGATTAAGAAACTCACTCAAAACCGCACAACTACTTGGAAACTGAACAACCTGTTCCTGAATGACTATGGGGTAAATAACGAAATAAAGATGTACTTTGAAACCAATGAGAACAAAGACACAACATACCAGAATCTCTGGGACACATTTAAAGCAGTGTGTAGAGGGAAGTTTATAGCACTAAATGCCCACAAGAGAAAGCAGGAAAGATCTAAAATCGACATCTTAACATCACAATTAAAAGAACTAGAGAAGCATGAGCAAACAAATTCAAAAGCTAGCAGAAGGCAAGACATAACTAAGATCAGAGGAGAACTGAAGGAGATACAGACACAAAAAACCCTTAAAAAAATCAATGAATCCGGGAGCTGGTTTTTTGAAAAGATGAAAAAAATTGATAGACCGCTAGCAAGACTAATAAAGAAGAAAAGAGAAGAATCAAATAGATGCAATGATAAAGGGGATATCACCACCGATCCCACAGAAATACAAACTACCATCAGAGAATACTATAAATACCTCTATGCAAATAAACTAGAAAATCTAGAAAAAATGAATAAATTCCTGGACATGTACACCTTTCCAAGACTAAGCCAGGAAGAAGCTGAATCTCTGAATAGACCAATAACAGGTTCTGAAATTGAGGCAATAATTAATAGCTTACCAACCAAAAAAAGTCCAGGACCAGACGGATTCACAGCCGAACTCATCAGAGGTACAACAAGGAGCTGGTACCATTCCTTCTGAAACTATTCCAATCAACAGAAAAAAGAGGGAATCCTCCCTAACTCATTTTTATGAGGCCAGCATCATCCTGATACCAAAGCCTGGCAGAGACACAACAAAAAAAGAGAATTTTAGATCAATATCCTTGATGAACATTGATACAAAAATCCTCAATAAAATACTGGAAAACTGAATCCAGCAGCACATCAAAAAGCTTATCCACCACGATCAAGTCGGCTTCATCCCTGGGATGGAAGGCTGGTTCAACATACGCAAATCAATAACATAATCCATCACATAAACAGAACCAAAGGCCAGGCACGGTGGCTCGCGCCTGTAATCCCAGCACTTTGGGAGGCTGACGTGGGTGGATCACGAGGTCAGGAGATTGAGACCGTCTTGGCTAACACGGTGAAACCCCGTCTTTACTAAAAATACAAAAACTTAGCCAGGTGTGGAGGCGGGCACCTGTAGTCCCAGCTACACAGGAGGCTGAGGTAGGAGAATGGCGTGAACCCGGGAGGCGGAGGTTGCAGTCAGCCGAGATTGTGCCACTGCACTCCAGCCTGGGCGACAGAGCGAGACTCCGTCTCTAAACAACAACAACAACAACAACAACAACAACAAACAGAACCAATGACAAAACCACCTGATTATCTCAATAGATGCAGAAGAGGCCTTCGACAAAATTCAACAGCCCTTCATGCTAAAAACTCTCAATAAACTAGGTACTGATGGAACATATCTCAAAACAATAAGAGCTATTTATGAGAAACCCACAGCCAATATCATACTGAATGGGCAAAAACTGGAAGCATTCCCTTTGAAAACTGGCACAAGACAGGGATGCCCTCTCTCACCACTCCTATTCAACATAGTGTTGGAAGTTCTGGCCAGGGCAATCAGGCAGGAGAAAGAAATAAAAGGTATTCAATTAGGAGAAGAGGAAGTCAAATTGTCCCTGTTTGTACATGACATGATTGTATATTCAGAAAACCCCATCATCTCAGCCCAAAATCTCCTTAAGCTGATAAGCAACTTCAGCAAAGTCTCAGGATACAAAATCAATGTGCAAAAATCACAAGCATTCCTTTACACCAATAACAGACAAACAGAGAGCTAAATCATGAGTGAACTCCCATTCACAATTGCTACAAAAAGAATAAAATACCTAGGAATCCAACTTACAAGGGATGTGAAGGATCTCTTCAAGGAGAACTACAAACCACTGCTCAACGAAATAAAAGAGGACACAAACAAATGGAAGAACATTCCATGGTCATGGATAGGAACAATCAATATCGTGAAAATGGCCATGCTGCTTAAGGTAATTTATAGATTCAATGCCATCCCCATCAAGCTACCAATGACTTTCTTCACAGAACTGGAAAAAACTAAAGTTCATATGGAACCAAAAAAGAGCCCGCATTGCCAAAACAATCCTAAGCAAAAAGAACAAAGCTGGAGGCATTACACTACCTGACTTCAAATTATACTACAAGGCTACAGTAACCAAAACAGCATGGTACTGGTACCAAAACAGAGATATAGACCAATGGAACAGAACAGAGGCCTCAGAAATAACACCACACATCTACAACCATCTGATCTTTGACAAACCTGACAAAAACAAGAAGTGGGGAAACGATTCCCTATTTAATAAACGGTGTTGGGAAAACTGGCTAGCCATATGTAGAAAGCTGAAACTGGATCCCTTCCTTACACCTTATACAAAAATTAATTCAAGATGGATTAAAGACTTACATGTTAGACCTAAAACCATAAAAACCCTAGAAGAAAACCTAGGCAATACCATTCAGGACATAGGCATGGGCAAGGACTTCATGACTAAAACACCAAAAGCAATGGCAACAAAAGCCAAAATAGACAAATGGGACCTAATTAAACTAACAAGCTTCTGCACAGCAAAAGAAACTACCATCAGAGTGAACAACTTACAGAATGGGAGAAAATTTTTTCAATCTACCCATCTGACAAAGGGCTAATATCCAGAATCTACAAAGAACTTAAACAAATTTACAAGAAAAAAACAACCCCATCAAAAAGTGAGCAAAGGATATGAACAGACACTTCTCAAAAGAAGACATTTATGCAGCCAACAGACACATGAAAAAATGCTCATCATCACTGGCCATCAGAGAAATGCAAATCAAAACCACAATGAGATACCATCTCACACCAGTTAGAATGGCAATCAATAAAAAGTCAGGAAACAACAGGTGCTGGAGAGGATGTGAAGAAACAGGAATGCTTTCACACTATTGGTAGGACTGTAAACTAGTTCAACCATTGTGGAAGACAGTGTGGCAATTCCTCAAGGATCTAGAACTAGAAATACAGTTTGACCCAGTGATCCCCTTACTGAGTATATACCCAAAGGATTATAAATCATGCTACTATAAAGACACATGCACATGTATGTTTGCTGTGGCACTATTCACAATAGCAAAGACTTGGAACCAACCCAAATGTCCTTCAATGATAGACTGGATTAAGAAAATGTGGCACATATACACCATGGAATACTATGCAGCTATAAAAAAGGATGAGTTCATGACCTTTGCAGGGACATGAATGAAGCTGGAAACCATCATTCTGAGCAAACTATCACAAGGACAGAAAACCAAACACCATATGTTCTCACTCATAAGTGGGAATTGAACAATGAGAACACTTGGACACAGGGCGGGGAACATCACACACTGGGGCCTGTCGTGGGGTGGGGGCAGGGGGAGGGACAACATTAGGAGAAATACCTAATGTAAATGACCAGTTGATGGGTACAGCAAACCAACATGGCACATGTATCTATGTAACAAACCTGTAGGTTGTGCACATGTACCCTAGAACTTAAAGTATATATATAAAAAAAAAGTTAAACCTGAATCTGATCAAATCTCTAACTAATGTTAACTGCCAATCTCTCTTTTTTTTTTTTTTTTTTGAGACAGAGTCTCACCCCGCTGACTGCAACCTCTGCCTCCCAGGTTCAAGTGATTCTCCTGCCTCAGCCCCCCAAGTAGCTGGGACTACAGGCATGCACCACCATGCCCGGCTAATTTTTGTATTTTTAGTAGAGATGGGGTTTCACCATGTTGGCCAGTCTGGTCTCGAACTCCTGACCTCAGGTGATCCACCCACCTCAGCCTCCCAAAGTGTTGAGATTACAGGCATGAGCCACCGCACCTGGCCATAACTGCCAATCTCAAACTAACTACATCAACATATAGGCTATCCAGGGATAGAGGAAGAGGTTAGATGGCATCATATGGCACTGTCTATACACAAAATCTGGACTATGAGAAATTGTATGGG
Organism: Homo sapiens; assembly: GCF_000001405.40. Taxonomy (NCBI): domain Eukaryota; kingdom Metazoa; phylum Chordata; class Mammalia; order Primates; family Hominidae; genus Homo; species Homo sapiens. The sequence continues at coordinate 9,926,433 of NC_000002.12, read as the reverse complement.
ACACATGACCAGGATTACTCAGTAAGTACATTGTAAGAAGAAAAAAGAGAGAGATAAAGAGGTGGGGCCTTAAGAACTGAAACACTTATGAGCCATGTCAACCACTTGCAATATATGGGCCTGATTTGGATTCTGAGTTAAACTCATTTAAAAAATTTTATGACAATAGGGAAAAATCTAATCACTGACTGCATATTGGAGAATATTAAGAAATGACTTAATTTTTTATATCTGATTAATGGTATTATGGTTTTACTTTAAAAAATATGATGTTTGAGATCTGTTTCCAAATAATGGGGGGCAGAGGGGTAGAGTAAGCTGGAGCCTGGGTGAAGCAAGTCTTGCCATGTCACAGTTGCTGAGATTGAGTGACAGAGACGGGGGGTTCTTTATACTACTCTACTTCTGAGTATACCAGAAATTTCCCATTATCAACTTTAAAAAGCAAGTAAAGAAATAACATATAGAAGCTATAGACATTGAGATATTATGATTTACATAATATATACGGCCCTAAATTCCTGAATGTCTATGTTTGCACCATAAAACTCTGCCACTTGGTTGGGCACAGTGGCTCATGCCTGTAATCCCAACACTTTGGGAGGCCGAGGCGGGCAGATCACGAGGTCAGGAGTTTGAGACCAGCCTGACTAACATGATGAAACCCCGTCTCTACTAAAAATACAAAAATTAGCCAGGGGTGGTAGCGCATGTCTGTAGTAGCAGCCACTCGGGAGGCTGAGGCACAAGAATCGCTTGAACCCAGGGAGGTCGCAGTGAGCCAAGATTGTGTCACTGCACTCTAGCCTGGGTGACAGAACGAGCTTCTGTCTCAAAAAAAAAACAAACACCCCAAAACAAAAAAACCCAAAACCAATCAACCAACCAAACAAAACCCTCTGCCACCCATTAGCTGTGACTATGGGTAACTACTCTTGGTTCTCTCATCTGTAAAACGGAAAAAAATAACAGTACTTACACTTTTCTTTTTTTTGAGACGGAGTCTCACTCTGTCACCCAGGCTGGAGTGCAGTGGCACAATCTTGGCTCACTGCAAGCTCCGCCTCCCGGGTTCATGCCATTCTCCTACCTCAGCCTCCTGAGTAGCTGGGACTACAGGCATGCACCACCATGCCCGGCTAATTTTTTGTATTTTAGTAGAGATGGGGTTTCACCATGTTGGCCAGGATGGTCTCGATCTCCTGACCTCGTAATCCGCCCACCTCGGCCTCCCAAAGTGCTGGGATTACAGGTGTGAGCCACCCTGCCCGGCCTGAGTACTGTTTTTTCACTATAGTTTAAAAAAATAGTTAAAAAATAATTTTTAAAAAATTAAAATCACATTTTTGTGGGGCTGCCAAAGCACTTCCATTTCCTGTGGAATACAACTAAAGACCACTGCTCTGCCTCATCTGTGGAACTCCCAGGGAGGTGACGGCCACCACCTACAAGAAGTCAGGTCTTCTGACCTAGCCAACTGTTATAACAATTGGAGGAATAGTAAGGGCATTTCAATTCATTGAAATTGTTAACTCTGCCTCAGCTAGGAAGAATAAACAGCCTCCCATACCTGAAGTACTCTTGTGGCCTTTCTCTGCTTAGTTCCCAAGCTCTGAGTGTTTTCACAATTTTACAGCAAATGTTTTGTTTCTTCTGAACACTCAGAAATGAGTCCTTCTGCCTAACAAAATTCGATACATAGCTAAATATTTGCTCTCATAAGCATCACTTTTCATTGTAATCATTTTCAATGGTTGTCTTAGAGCATATTCGGCATATTTTAGCCTTTACAATGATATTATTACAGTTGCCTGTTTTTATTGTAGAAACATTAGAAAACATGCTAATAAAACCCACCACGAAGGCACACAGCGTCTTAGGACAGGTGCTGTGCTGAAGCAGGGATGTGGTCCCCTTATTTAGTGGCATGGAGCCATGAACTTCAGGCTCTGCGACTGGAGCTCTGTCTGCTTTGGATTCTGATGTTGGCTCCCCTATTGTTGTCAAAGGGTGTCATTTATGTTTGCCGTCAAGATGTCTATCAGCAGAGTGCTTCTCAGACCTCTCCTTTTGTTTCTTTGATGATGAGGAGTTTGGAAATCAGACAACTCAGCCTAAGGGCAGAGTCAGGGGCTCTGAGCGAGGGGCTAAGGGGCTCTCTGAGAAAAAAGGCTGAGTTTTAGTCACGGTCTCTGTGGCATTTTTACTGCCCAGCTGAAGCCTTTTTTGCTTCCTCTGCAGTTCTAGGCTCTGGTCTAGAACAGGTAAGGTTGACAGATAAGTTTGGTGCCTAAAGTCATGGTATCACTGAAACTTCATACAGTTAGAATTTAGTTTTATACTTCATGCAGAGAAAAAAATCTCAGCAGTTTCATCGCTGACTATACTAAGCTCTATGTATAACTCACTGCATTATACTGCAGTATTAAATCTGAGATAATCCACAATCCACCCTCCTGCCCTGTGAAAAAGCACAAAGGTACGGATCACGACATAAGCTGCTCAGGACCAACTCTGCAGCTGGAGGAGGCAGGGCATGGCACACCATGTCTTCACTTGGAGTTGTGGGCAAGCACTCTTCACTGGGGACTATAACTCTTTCTCCTCTTCAGGATAAAATCTGAAAATCATTGACATGACCAATGCAAAGGAATCGATTACCTCAGACATGGCGCTGACCCTGGGTTGGGGTTCTGGCCTTTCCCCGTGGCTGCTATTAAGCAGTGCCACTCTTAAATCAATTTTTTTTTTTTTGAGACAGAGTTTCGCTCTTGTTGCCCAGGCTGGAGTGCAATGGCGTGATCTCGGCTCACTGCAACCTCCACCTCCTGGGTTCAAGTGATTCGCCTGCCTCAGCCTACCAAGTAGCTGGGATTACAGGCATGCGCCACCACATCCAGCTAATTTTGTATTTTTAGTAGAGACAGGGGTTTCTCCATGTTGGTCAGGCTGGTCTCGAACTCCAGACCTCAGGTGATCTGCCCGCCTTGGCCTCCCAAAGTGCTGGGATTACAGGTGTGAACCACCGTGCCCGGCCAACAGTGCCACTCTTTAATCGTTGTAGATGCAGCTCAACTTTTTTTTTAAGCAGCAAATCTTAATATAGACAACTTTATCATCTCCCACTGTATTTTCTACAGTTCAATTATCTTTGATTGATACCAACTTAAGAAATAATTTTTTTTTTTTTTTTTTTGAGATGGAGTCTTGCTCTGTCGCCCAGGCTGGAGTGCAGTGGTGTGCTCTCAGCTCACTGCAACCAATGCCTCCCGGGTTCAAGTGATTCTCATGCCTCAGCCTCCCGAGTAGATTATACACGTGCACCACCACACCCGGCTAATTTTGTATTTTTAGTAGAGGCAGGGTTTTGCCATGTTGGCTAGGTTGGTCTCGAACTCCTGGACTCAAGTGATCCACCTGCCTCAGCCTCCCTAAGTGCTAGGATTACAGGTGGAGCCACCAAGCCCAGACCAGGAAATAACATTAGTTAACAGAAAATTAGCTTTGTTTAAAATAATAATGGTCATACTTATGTTTGATTGAGTACTTACTATGTGACACACATCAAATACCTCATTCAATTCTCACAAGAACTTGGGGTAGGCCCTATTTTCCATTCATTCATTCAATAAATACTTGGTGGGCACCTAGTCTGTGCTAGGCCCTGGTCTAGCCGCTGGGATTTTTCATTAAATAAAACAGAGTCCTCCTTACATTCTAGTAGTCCTTACATTCTCAAGGCCCTTACATTCTAGTGTGGGGAGATGGATAAATAAGCAAAATAAATATATAATAATATATTCTATTAAATAGTGATGAAAACTACAAAGAAAAATGAAATAGGCCAGGGGACAGAGAATAATGAGGGGTGTTGGGGGAATGATTGGTGCTATTTTAGGCAGGATGGCTGAGAAAAATCTCTCCAAGGAAGTGAAATTTGAGCAAAAACCTGAAAGAAGTGAGCCCATGTGGATACATGGGGGAAAGAACATTCTAGGCAGGAGGCAGAGCAGGTACAAAGGCCCATGTGGGGAGTGTCTGGTAAGCTCAAGGAGCAGCTGGGAGGTCACTCTGAACATAGGGTGACAGCAAGGAGGTCAGAGGACAGCAGAGGGAAGGTCAAGAGGGCCGTGTTGGCTCCACAATGTTTTTTGGGTCTTCCTTTCAATGAGATGGGAGCCACTGAAGGTTTTGAGAAGAGGAAAAGATCAGTATTATCCCCACATTTACAACTGGGTCAGCACAGCTGTAGAGAAGTGAGTAACCTTCCTACAATTAGCAAGTGGCAGACTTAGGATAGAAACAGCCCGATTCTATGATTCTATAGCAAGTCCTCTTAGCTACTAGAAAATTTCCTCTTGGGCAATTTCTATGTCAATATGGGGATGAGATTACTTTAAATATAGTCACAATGAGAAAAGCCTTTATGCTTTTATTTTTCACACGTTAATTACTGAGAACTTTAGTGAGGGAATATTAGTCTAGTCTTTTTATTTTTAACAGGAAGACACTGAAAGGTAAAGTAACTTCAAAGTCACAGAACTATTTTATTGAATGGCCTTTTCGCTATTATTATATAAAACGGAACTAAAAGTTAAAATAGGCAAGGAGAAAAAAACTTCATGGCATAGCCTGAATCTTTTTAGTTTTTCTCCTCAAACTTTATTATAAAAAATTTCAATCATACAGCAAAGTTGAAAGAATTTTATGGTAAACACCTGTATACCCCACTGATTATCTCTGTAATTTTTAATCCATATACTCCTCTCTACAGCTATTAAGACACTACAGAAGGAAAGTGGGGAAAACATACTCTTATTAAAAAAATCTTCTCTTCAAGTGGACTTGGAAAACAAACTTCCTGAGTTACCTTTGTATCTATCTAGGACTTAGGATAATGACTTATTTTTATCAAGTACTCAAAAAATACTTTTGGAGTTGATTTTCAGTACAATTAAAGAAAAACGAATGTGCTCTGGGGAGTAATATGTTCTTCACTATCTACTGCCTGAGGAAATTTTCTGAGTCATATGAAAATAGATGGCTGGGCGCAGTGGCTCACACCTGTAATCCCAGCACTTTGGGAGGCTGGGGCAGGAGGACTGCTTGAGCTCAGGCATTTGAGACCAACCTGGGCAGCATAGGGAGACCCTCGTCTCTGCAAAAAATAAAAAATTAGCTGGGTATGGTGGTGCACACGTGTAGTTCCAGCTACTTGGAAGGCTGAGGTGGGAGGATTGCTTGAGCCTAGGAAGTTGAGGCTGCAGTGAGCCATTATCGTGCCACTGTACTCCAGCTTGGGTGACACAGCAAGACCTCATAAATTACTTAAGAATTTACACTGTATTATTCCAATATCGACCGTTTATAGGGAATATATAACTCTTCTGAAAAAATAAAGCAAAAATAAGAAGGCAGCCTATTACTAAGCCGGAAGTCTAAGAGCCAGTATGCCACAGAGCCGATCATTAATTAAACCTGATGAAGTCAAAAGCCTGTGTCTTACTATTTAGACATACAAGTTTTCCACTATGTCCTACACAGATTCCTCTCCTCAGTGCAGCTTCCCATCTTTAGTCCTATTTTATCCAGACCCAATAACCATAAAAGCGCGTGTTGTTTTCTAGACTTCACATGCCCACACTCGACAGATACGAGGACAGAACATAAAACATGAAATCAAGGGGACAAAGTTGAATGAAGATCAGAGTATTTCACTGACCAAGTATCTCCCTGCAGATTTTTTATTAGTTGTAAGGGGAAACATAGTAACTACACTGTGGAAAAACGACACAGCACCTTGACTGGGTGATCACTATTAACACCTGAGGGGCAAATGGACCCCCCGCCCCCCGCCCCAGTCTACAGACGCCATACCCTGAGAAATGATACCCTGAGGAGGACACGGCACTTGTTTTGGCCAGGGATGCAGAACCTGAATCTAAACATGAGGAACCATCACAACCATACTCAGAAACATTGTGTAACATCACTGACATTTCTGAAAAATACAGCTCAATGTCATGAAAGACAAAGAAAGGCTGAGGGACAATCAGATTAAAGGAGACCGAAGAGATAAAATCAATCAATGCCATACCTACTCCTGAACTTGATCCTGCTATAAAAGGACACTGGGGGTCTAATGAGAAAATTGGAATATGGACTGTGGGTGAGATAAAGGTATCGTATCAGTATTAAGTTTCCTGAGTTTGATAACTGTACTGTGGTCACTTAAGAGAATATCCTTATTTTTAGGAAATACTTAAGGAAGTATTAAGAGGTAGAAAGACATGATAAAGGTAACTGACTCAGAGAAGTGATATGTACTAAAAAATACAGCACATTCTCCTGATCAGCATTTACAGCCACTTCTATTGCTTGCCTGCCACACTGCAGGTTAATTTAGCTAGAGGGGATAGTTTGTGCTAATTGCCCTGTATCCTCTTTCTTGATTTTTACCAGCTTTCCTAGAACTCCTACACAAGACTCAATGTATAATTCTGATTTTCGTGACTTTAAGCTCACCAGCTTCTAATTCCAACAAAAAACCTATCTGGCTCTTATACAGTCAACTACTTCAATTATATGTGACTTTTTCTAAAAGCATTATTACCATCTGCAGAATTTCTGTGTACTAAGCCAATATAATGAATTCTTAGTCAGCAGTGATTGGCCTTTCTCTTTCAGGACTCCCTGAAGGCTGTGTCCATGGAAACACGTTCTATCAGTGTCCTCTTCAGTCCAGTTGAACTGAAAACTTGAAGGGCTTTTTTTTCCAGCAGTTGCTGTTGACTCGACCAGTGTGCTAAATTGTTTCTGTAGATTCACCACCATTTCTGGAACCGGAGAAAAAAAGGAAACAAAATAACAAGTAATGTTAAATCACAAATAAAGCCTGGAATTTACTTGATAGGAATGTACCAATATTGGTTCCTTAGTTTTCGCAGATGTACCACAGTAATGTAACAGGATAACGTTAAGGGAAAATGAAACTGGATGAGGTGCATGGGGGAAACCTTACTTCAAAAAGAATGTACAGTCTAAAAGGAATTCTATAAGCAAAGAATTTCCAAAATCATAACGATTTAGGATTTTAGATTTTGGCAGGAACTGAGGCTCTGTTTTGAAGAACGACATATTCCTGAAGTAGATTCCTGCAGAGATTTCTTGCAGAGTATGATGCTCCTTTGGATGTACATGTGCCCTGGAACATTTGTTTAAAAAAAGTAAAAAACTTAAGCATTCAACATTTCAAGTCCAGATATTTAATTTTTCTACAACTGTGTTGCTACTTGGTATTAAAAAGACAAAATTTGACTTACCTCTTTTTTTATATGCTACTGGTTTGTCGACAAATGAGTAGTAGAGTGGCTTTTCACTTTTCCACAGGTACCTGTACAAGGTAAAGAAACAGCTGGAGCAGGACGGAGATGAAACGGACATAAACACATTGTCTGAAGCACTATCTGAGATTTCTGATATTTCGTTATAGCTCTGGCTTGGAATGGCCTACTGGCACATGTCTATATTGCCTATTGAACTTAGGCCCTAGAAGGAACCACTGACCAACAGCCCAGGCCAAGAGAATGGTGTGCTCCTCTCAAAAGCCACCCAGATGCTGTGACATCTTGAAGAAGCTATTAATTATACAAAAAACATAGAAACTGTTTCCTTCACCATAAATTTCCCTTGCTGCTCATTCTCATAAAGTGAAGCTACCTCAGAAACAACTGTTCCTCATTGCCTTTGTCCCAATGCCTTTTTGCTGAGAGTTGTTAGTAGTACTTCTGATTCTGATAACTTACACACAGTGAACAGTAAATGCGTCTCTCTGGCATCTGATGCCAGGAAATCTATTCTATTCCTGGTGTAAAGGAGAGGAAAAGACTGGATTCCAGGATGACACAGTCCCAGTAGTCCCTGTTCTGACTCAGCCTATTCTTGCCAAGGGAAGGATGGCCAGGGAGTTTCCACTGTAAAATGGGGATCCTGGATTGCTCTGGCTCTTGGGGTTCCCTCCAGGACAAACACTAAGAGCCATCTAAGGTTCCTACAGATGAGGGTGATCAGTTCCAGACTCCAAAAGGAAGTGACATGTTCTATTTCTAGTTCTAGTGGCTGTTGCTAAACTTTGCCAAGCAGACGCTGCTGCTCTGGAACAAAGACAACAAGGTTCATTCTTGGTCTCATTTTTATTATTTCTGTGTTCCCTAGAGCAGAGAACTTTCATAACTTATAATAATTTTAAAAATCCACCTTCTTCTTAATCCCAGGCCATTTTCTTATTTTGAAAGACACTGTGGCAACAAGAAAGAGTACTGAATCAGAAGACCTGGCTCCACCATTTTCTTTTTTTTTTTTTGAGACGGAGTCTCGCTCTGTCGCCCAGGCTGGAGTGCAGTGGTGGGATCTCGGCTCACTGCAAGCTCCGCCTCCCGGGTTCACGCCATTCTCCTGCCTCAGCCTCCCAAGTAGCTGGGACTACAGGCGCCCGCCACTACGCCCGGCTAATTTTTTGTATTTTTAGTAGAGACGGGGTTTCACCGTTTTAGCCGGGATGGTCTCAATCTCCTGACCTCGTGATCCGCCCGCCTCGGCCTCCCAAAGTGCTGGGATTACAGGCGTGAGCCACCGCGCCCGGCCGGCTCCACCATTTTCTAGTGGCATGACCTTGAATGACAAATTATGGAGGTTCTTAAAGGCAGAGACTGTCTCAGCCATCCTTATGCCCCTAGTGTTGTCAGGGAGTGGTAGAGAGTAGGAACTCATTTAAACATTTGTTGAAGAATAATTGGGTGAATAAATGAACAAAGAAATGAATTTAGCATCTCTAAACTTATCCTCTACTTTCACAGGGTTATTCTGAAGAATAAGATGCTGTATGTATTGGTTCTTTAAATCCTATACAATAATTAGAATTATTATTAGTACTTGACAAAGTGCCTGGCTAGTAGATACTCAAGAAATATCTGTGAACTTTCCAGAAAAACAGATTAAAAATAGGAAGCCAGAAATACAAATATTTTAAAAATCTGTAGCATCTATAATAATTTCTCACCATTTATTTTTAATACTAGGAAGTAATACGTATATAAAAGCACACATTTTTAACAATATTTTAGTAATATCATTTAGCAAATAATCATTTTAACCGATTTAAGAACTGATTTTTTCAAGAATTTTAAAAAATACTTGATCAAGTCAGTAAAATCATGACTATACATAAAACAGATGTTGACTTTTTATTTTGAATTTCTGCAATGATATTAAATGTTAAGAACAGAAAGGAGTCGGGCGCAGTGGCTCATGCCTGTAATCCCAGCACTTTGGGAGGCTGAGGTGGGAGGATCACCTGAGGTTGGGAGTTTGAGACCAGCCTGACCAACATGGAGAAACCCCGTCTCTTTAGTAAATACAAAATTAGTTGGGCATGGTGGCACATGCCTGTAATCTCAGCTACTTGGGAGGCTGAGGCAGAAGAACTGCTTGAACCCGGGAGGCGGAAGTTGCGGTGGGCCGAGATCGTGTCATTGCACTCCAGCACTCCAGCCTGGGCAACAAGAGCAAAAATCCATCTCAAAAAAAAAAAAAAAAAAGAACAGAAAGGAAATTTTTCTAATCATTAGGTAGCAGTAGAGATGTAATTAATGTTATACAGGAGATGGTTTCCTGAAAATCATGTGAAACTAAACTTTAGTGAACCATACCACATTTAAAATATATCAGAGAGTTTGTCATTTAATGTTATGGTAAATGAGTTAGCGATTCTTTAAAATATATTTTTTTGCCATTAATTTTCTTAAATAATAAAATCTCAAAGGATAAAGAAGTTCCCTGAACAGTCTAATCCCAATCCCTGGGCACACTCACTGTTAAACATTCCTTGTGAATACCTAATCTAAATGGAAGTTTCTTATGCATTTACAGTAAATGCCTACACAAGTGGCAATCATGCCACAGATCAAGAAAGCATTATGATGCCCTTGGGGTGATATGCCCCAAGAATGGGAAAGGTGATCTAAAATAAAAATACTCTTAAGTGTTCAGATACCTGAAATGAAAGCTTCTTCCAAAATTGACTTTACCTTGCCTGCCTTTTCTCATTACATAAAACTACAAAAGGAGACACATCACAAACCATGTTTTCCAGTTACATGTTATCTATATATTTCTCTCTTGTCTGTCTGCATATGTTTCCTCATTTTTAAAAATTAAGGTATAATTTACATTCAGTAAAATTTACTCTTTTCAGTGTAGTTCTGCTAGCACTGACAAACACATACAGTTGCATGTGTGTACTCACCACAATTACTACGTAGAACAGTTCCATCACTCCAAAATATCTCCCACATCCCTTGACAGTCAACCCTTGATCTCAGGCAACTACTGGTCTGTTTTTCTGTCCCCATAGTTTAGCCTTTTCCAGAATGTCATATAAATGGAATCATAGCATAAGTAACCTTTTGAGTCTTTCACATAGCATAATGCATTTAAGATTCACTCATATTGCTGGATGCATAAGAAGTCTGTACTGCTAAATGGTATTCCACTGTACGGATACAACAGTTTAGCTAGTCACCAGTTGAAGAACATGTGGTTTGTTGCCAGTTTTTGGCAATTATGAATGAAACCATTAGAAACATTCCTATGCAGATTTTTGTGTGAGCTTGTTTTCATTTCATTAGGGTAAATATCTAGGAGTGAAAAACACTGGATAACATAATAAATGTATGTTTAACTTTGAGAAACTGACAACTTTTCAAAATAGCGGTACCATTTTGAATTCCCACACTGGGAATGATCAGTTTTTGTTTTTGTTTTGTTTTGAACCATTCTAATTGGTATATAATGATATGTCATTGTCGTTTTAATTTGCATTTCCCTATTAATGATGTTAAACATCTTTTCACATGCCATCTTGATATCATCTTTGGTAAAACGTCTTTTCAAATATTTTGCCCATTTAAAAAAATGGAGTTTTTTTCTTATTGCCTAAAAATTCTTTATATACTCTAGATACAAATCTTTAAACGGATATGTGATTTGCATTTAATTTCTCCTCGTCTGTAGCTTCTTATTCGTTTAAGTTCTTTTGTGGAGCAGAGGTTCTTACTTCTGATGAAGTCCAATTTACCAATTTTTTTTCTTTTATAGATCATGCTTTTGGTGTCACATCTAAGAAATTTCTGCCTAACCCAAAAGGGAAGGCAAAAATTAGCAGTGAACTCAAATTAAAACCATAATGAGATATCACTATACACCAATTAGGGCATAGAGATTTTCTGCACAGGCTTAATTTTTCTCCATGTTCTTCTCAACATCTTCTATAACAGCTAGAAGTCATCAAAGTAGCCTCTTACGCTGTTTTAGGTTTTCAACTATTGTTTATTAGTGTTTTTCATAATCTCATGCATAGGAACCCATGCTCAGATATAGAAAATGTTTTAATAATTTTCATCTGACAACATGGATGATAATATTCAGAGAAACAAAGAGAAAAATTAGACATGTATGTCAACATGGGGGTGGGGAAGGGTGAAACCGACAGGTGGCCACCACGCACTGAGCTCTGGGCCTGAGCAGCAGTTGGTAGTGCTTCGCATATTACTCAGCAGTGACTCACACTGCACGTGTGTGTCAGCCCTCAGCACATACTCTAGGAAGAAGGACCTTGGAAACGGGTCCCCTCGACAGCCTCCACCTTGGGGCCCGGTACCTCCCTGGAAAGTGCCATTTTATAACCAGACTTACTTTCTTTGGCCAATAAATTATTCCCTAAAGTAGCTAAAAGCCGGTAAGTCTTAAATGTGCAACTGACATAACACTGCAATAATGAACTGGGCCTCCAAGAGCTATGTTTAAAGTGTAGGTTGGTGTCTGGCTTGGGGTAAGGAAAGCCCTGTCACCACTGAGACCCCAGGGAGGAATGGCCCCTAGGCACCCAGTCCTTAGGATCCGTCAGGACTAACCCCAGCTAGCACCACAGAAAGGAAGGCTGATTCTCCAAAATGACCTAAGACACATAACAAAATCTTGTTCCTGCTGCTATTCTTGTGCCCACTGAGAGCCACTGACTGAAGAGTCACTCCTTCTCTGATGAGGAGGCAGGGAGCCTGGTTTCCTGGGAATCCATGGGCTGTTGGGATAAATTCACCTCCACCCCTCTTCTTCATTGTGCATCAATCCTGCCTACTGAGAGGGAACCTGTCACACTTCCCTGCTATGGAAAGGATCATCTCCACAGTGCCTTTTCTACCCCAAGAGTCTGTTTTTCTATTTAAAAGCCCTCTGAAATTTAGAGGAAAAATAATCTAGTTCTACTCTCATACTGGAAAATTGGGTCTTAATTACAGTATATAAGTGGGCATTATTATGTCTATTTTACTGATGAAGAAATAGGAGCTGAACAAATTCTCATTTCAACTAATATGGGGAACCTTGATTTTTCTCAAAGGATATAAAATTACTGAGTCGAATTAGTATTACTGTAAATTTACATTAAATACAGAGATGTTACCTTTTTCTTCAAAGCCTCAAAGAGACTCAGACTCAGCAAAAGGTTAAGTAACTGGCCCATGGGCACACAGCTAGCTTGTAATGCAGACAGGATTCAAACCTAGCGCTGCTTATGCTCTCTTCTACCCTACCACAATGAGCCCACATCAGAATGACAGTTCAAAGAAAGGCAGTGACACTGGCTGAATCAAATGGACTTGCTATCTGCTTTCCTTTGTTTTAATTTTCACAGGGATCTTTATTTTGGGGGAACATTCCAATTACATATGTTGCAAGGTAACATTTGTAATCTTTTTAATATTGGGAAGCATAGATGAGAAATGACTAAATTTGAGAAAGGGGAAGAGGGAGGAGTATTAGAAATATAGGCAAGTCTCATGCAAATTATAAAAAGTTAAATTATAAAAAGTATACTGTGGTATCCTGCATTGGATCATGGAACAGAAAGAGGACATTAATAAAAACACTGGTGAAATCCACATCAAATCTAAACTTTGATTAATAGTAATGTAAAAAAGAGAAAAGTTAATTAGAGTGTAGGGCTAATATTTCCAGAAAAAAAAGTCACAATGTAGATAAGTGTATACTGATGAAGCTTCAGCTTTCAAATGTAAAGTAACAGACACAGAAGTAAGGCAGGTGCATCTAAACCAGGAAGGAGAACATACTTGGCCCTTGCTTCTTCCCATTTTTGTTTTTTCTCATCAAAAGCTTTCTTCATAATTTGGTACCACTTTCTGAAATCAAACCATGGCTTATCTGAAAGAAATAAAATCCAAGATTATTAACCAAATAAACCACACTATAATAATATACATTGTTCATCTGAGTTTTCATTAATTGACTGCACTGGGCAGTTGGTGTGAGTGTGTGATCAAGATGTAGACATTAGAGAGACAACAGAACTGAATGCAGTAAAGTATAAAAACTCACTCCTCACTCTTTCACTCCATACAGGGATTATTCTCCATTATTCTCTGGCGAAGGCAGTCTCTTTCCATGCCTAACTAAAAATCTTTTCAACTGGTCAATATGATAATTGTTTAATCCAATATGACCTTGTAGACCATACAGCCACAGAAGAGAGGAAACTACCGAAAGAACTGTAAGAACAGAGGAAAACTATAGTAATCAATAGAACTCACGGTTCTTGGACCTGGAGTAAATCACAACTTTTCTAAACCTCAATCTCCCCATCAATAATGCTGGGGGCAGGGGATGGTGATTAGCAGACAGAGCAGAGAGAAATGACAGTGATCTTTGCCCTGCTGACAGCATGGATTTATTTTGAGGCTTACAGGGAGACAGGTCAAAGCGCTCTGTTTATTCTACATGTCTACGTAGTAAATTATCATCTTTTAGCATTAGAGGGGATGTTAGAAGACAGCTAGTTCAACCTTTCACTCTACATAGAAGCCAACATGAGCAATGTACAGAAAGTAGTATTTTATTTTGCACATATTCTGGAAAGAACACACAAACTGATTGCTTCCAATAAATTCAAGCCTCTAAAACCAATGAACATAAATCCTAATGAGAACAGAACATTAAGAAACTGGAATTGAATTTAATAATCCACATATTCACCACACTTCACTGAGTTGCTCTTAGGCTAGTCACTATGTTAGGCACTAAAGATACATTAAAAGAAAAAAAAAAAAAGATATGATCCCTCCCTCCAGAAGCTCACACTTCACTTGTCTATCTGTCTATCACTTATAAAGTACTTATTAGATGCCAGATACTCTTCTAAGCACTTTACAAATATTGGCAATCTAATAGGGACAGACGTACTTAGGCCATTAGTTAGACCTCAAGGCACTAAACATCTAGCAAAAGTCTGAACAAGAGTGACTGCGGCAGGAGTTATTAGTTCTGATTTGGGAAGAGGTGAAGCATTGTGAAGTGGATAGGTGTGAAGACCAGACAGAAGAGTGGTGTTTATGCTGCATCTTCAAGAATAAAGAGGCATTTGCCAGGGACTGAACAGGAGTTGGGGTAAGAAGGAAAGAGCATTTCAGATAGAGGGACCAACAAGAGCAAAGGCTGAAAGCATCAGAATCGACAGGATGGTCACAAAGCTGCCTGTAAATTCATGATCTAGCATGGCTGGTGAGTAGAAGTTGGGAATACAAAGCAGCCTGGTCTTACATATAATACGGACTCACTGATATTTTTTAGTACCCTAGAGATACAAGTAGGTAATTATATGAAAAAACAATACTGGTACAATATACAATTTGTATACATGTGTTTATGTGTATATGTGTATTTTTCAAAGTTGTTTGCCTACATTTATTCCATCTTTTAATCTATCATCTATAACCACTTTGAATTTGAATGATAAAAAATTAAAATACCTTTTTTGTTCTTTTCATTATGCTTTTCAGCAAGATTAGACAAAGACCTGGAGATAACAATAAACAAATCAATTTATTTAGAAGTCATGTATTTGGAAAGATAAATTCTGAATTCTTCTGAGAGAAAAGTGTAGAACAGTATTTGAAATTGATACCATGTTTTAATGGAGAAGCAATCACTGAAACAGAGGAGGAGACACTATAAATACTGTCACTCTTTGTTGGCATCTGGGAGGGGTGACATATTAAGATTCCTTTACTTTCTAAAATAATCTTTGAGAACACATATTGCCAGGAGCCTAAAGGGATATAGATAGAGATTTATGAAGATACTTTAAAACTAGGAAATCAGTGGAGCAATGAGGAACATTGCTACCTAAAGAATAACAGGTATAAAACATGATCAAACAACTGACAACCAGCTGAGTCAAAGTACTGTGTAAGAAATAATTGTGACTACTAGTCAATGTTCTGTAACAATTGAGAGTCTCCATTTTTTGAGATAACATATAATTAGGTAAATACAGTACAAATTTTTTCTTTAGCTCTTTTTTTAAAGTGTCTTCATGACATTTAAAGCTTTCTTAAAAAACTAAGATCAGCACCATAAAATGTTACTTGTCATAAAATTGACGTACACTTACCACTCGAAACTGTCATCCAATAGAAAGAGCAGTTTCAATACCACCACAATGATAGCTACAGCTTGTACATCGTACTTAACAGTTTTTGCCATTTTAGCTATAGGATCAAATGTCAGAAAATCCACTTCTCCCATTCCAGTCATTTTTACCACGTGGCAAGTTAAGCTATGCATTTCATCTGAAGAACAAAACAGTAAAATGTAAATTATTTGCCAACTAGACCATCCCCAATGTATATATCCATAAAATAACCTTTATCTTAAAACACGACACTATGCAAGAACTCAGAGACCCACATTTTGTGAATAAAACATCAAAACATGGCATCCATATAGAAAAATGAATGGTAGAATCTTAAAACGGCGTATCATTCCCTATTCCGACTTCCTAAAACATCTACTATTTCTAGGACACATCCTGGCATCTGGCAGCCACATACCAGTTGTTTCATCCACATCTCTTGTCTGTGTTTCTATAGCAGTGTTTGCTCACCTAAAACTAACTCCCTTATGAGACCAAAAGCTTCTCTAGCAATGTATGTGCACTGGCTGGCATCCTGGCTAGCACACTGGAAGCCCTCAACAACTGTTTAACTAGATATATTGCTTTCCTAAAGAAATTATATGTTCAGCATAGACTACACCTATTACTCAAGACTGAATAATGTGGGACTTGGAACCAGAAAACCTAGGACCTATATTTAAGCTTTCCAATCACTAGCTTTGTGACTCTTGGATCAGAGTCACTTAGCCTCAGTTTCTTCACTTGTAAAATGGGTTATAATGAGAATAAATTGAGGTTATGTTCAAGTGAATAGACTTTGAAAACTAAACAAAAAATTTCTGTACTTCCCAATCTAAGTATGTAAGCTGTGACCACACAATTTCAAGTATGACAGCCATTTTTTATAAGAGATAATGAGCTTGCATGGAACTGAACTGAATCTTCTACATGCATTCAGTCACCATGTCCTGTTAATTCCATTCTCTCAATGTGGCATATAGTACCATGGTTGAGAATAGACTATGGAACCAAACTGCCTGGACTAGAGTCCCTGCTCCATCACTTACTAGCTCTGTGACCGTGGACATGTTATACAACCTTTCTGTGCCTCAGTTTTTAAACAATCTATCTAAAATAGGAATAAGAATAGTACCTGCTTCATAGCTGTTGTGAAGACTAAATTAATGAATATACCTAAGGCACTTGGATCAGTGCTGACTGCTTTCCAATCCATCCCCTTTCTTCCCGTCACTGTTGCTCCTTAGGCCACCCTTATAACTGCTCTCCCTTTCTCTAGTCTTACTCTCCTGTGGCCCAATCATCGTATTCCCCTGCTCTCATGAACTCACTAAAGCTTTTAGCTCCCAGCCTAATCTCCATAGTTCCCCCAAACAAGCCATATTCTCACTTGCCTCTCTGCTTTGCACAGCTACTTTTGCCCCTTTGCCTAGAAAGCCAGTTTCTTTCCCCCATTCCTCATCTCAGGCTCTGCCTGGCTGAAGCTCACTCATCTTAGAGAACTTGGTTATACCAGTGACCTCCTCTAAGAACAGACATGATACCACAGCCTCCTGTGACTGGCCCTCTTCTGAGTGCTAAAGCAGATGTCCTGGCATGTACCCTTCTATTGCACAGTTAAGGGTTTATCTTTCTGTTTCCCTCTTAAACTTGAGGGTGACTCAATCTTGTTTTATTTGTCTTCCTAACTGCTACAACCCACACATAATTCGTACTAATTACACGTTTATGATAAAGAATAAAACACAAAATTAATTTCTTTCTTGAAACATTTAAGTAAAAAAGTTTTGCTGATTAAAAAATGCTTTGTTAACATAGAAACAGAACACATATAACAATGATAATTCAAAATATCGCATCAAAGTATTTTTCTGTCTACCAGATTCTGGTAGCTTGGCTCAGGTTTTCACTTGGCTTTTATTCTTCCAACAAACATTTATTGAGCAACTAGTGTGTTCTGGGTACTTAAGACACAGACACAGTCCTCTTCCTCAAGTCCTTTTCCTAATGAGAATGCAGTATGCTACAGGCTATGACAAACATGGGATGGTGCTTTCAGGAAATGCAAACAGTCCAACAAGGCTTTAGTGTTGAATGTGAAGAGGCTGGCAGAGCCAGACAGTGCAGGTCTTTGTGAGGCAGAGAATTTGGACTATTATACTATTAAGATAATTTCAATTTACAGGTGTCACCTGAATTTACTCCTGGGCTTCATTCAGATGCAAAAAGATTAGGAGATAGAGAATTAAGCTCAATTCAACAAGCATTTACTGAGTGTCTACTAGGTACAAGATACTGTGCATTAATATAATGGAGGAAATTAGAGAAATGAATGATAGGACTCTTGCACTCAAACATGTACACTTCAAACATGGAAAAAATTAATTTTAAAATACCTTCACTAAAATTTTAACCATTATCTATATTGGGTTGTAGAAGCTACAGTCTCTTCTCAGATAATTTAAAAATCAAAACCATATTAGTATTATTATTCTAAAAAAATGACATTTCTTGAAATATTTCTCTTCTTTTAAAATTAATATCTTGGCCAGGCGTGGTGGCTCACGCCTGTAATCCCAGCAGTTTGGGAGGCCAAGGTGGGCAGATCACCTGAGGTCAGGAGATCCAGACCATCCTGGCTAACACAGTGAAACCCCATCTCTACTAAAGATACAAAAAATTAGCCAGGCGTGGTGGCGGGCGCCTGTAGTCCCAGCTACACTGGAGGCTGAGGCAGGAGAATGGTGTGAACGTGGGAGGTGGAGCTTGCAGTGAGCGGAGATCACGCCATTACACTCCAGCCTGGGTGACAGAGTGAGACTTTGTCTCAAAAAAAAAAAAAAAAAAAAAAAAAAAAAAAAAAAGAATTAAGATCTTGAACTGCTCCGCTTATGCCAAAAGTACAGACTAATAAGAAAAGCAACTGGAAGAAATGATGAGAATGGTAGCAAGAACAGTATAGGGTCTTGGAAGGGAGCAGAGGGTGGGAAGAGCACAGGCCCTGGAAGGGGAAGACTGGGTTGTAGGAATCTACTCTGCCATCTACCAGCTGAGTGTCCCTGAACTGCCCTAAGTCTCATCTGTCAAGGGGAAGCCTGCTTGCCCTCCCTTCCCACCTTCACAAAGAAGAGAATTTATATATGGGCACTTTGGAAACTTCAGAAATTACATACATGAAACAGAAATTACATAAATGATCATGAAAGCCATCAGAAACTCTATCCAGCAGGCTCGTGGGTGACAATGGGAGGAACCATAGTAGAGGGTGGAGAGTGCATCTGAGCTCATTCATGGCCATCAAAGGGGCAGCGCTTACTCAGGCAGGGTGTGTGTGACATACTTGCCGAAAGCTTTCCCCGAGCCCCAGAGGCTACCTGGTCACCTTTAAAGGCGTTGAGGAGGGGCGGCTATTGTCTCAGCATGTTTAAAACCGCTTTTAGCTTTCTGGGAACCCTAAACCCTCTCTTTGTAAAAGTGCCACATACATAGATCTCTTCTTTTTGATCAATGGCACTGCACAACTGACGGCATTACCGAGAGCAATATTTGTAATTACAAATGGCACATTCTGGAAATACTCTTGTAATCTTATGTATGGGTGGTTTGCAAACCAACTGTAAACATTTTAGAATCTACATCCTAAGGTATAGGGACTATCGTAACTTAATTTGTAGATCTATTTTTTGTTAAAAAAAAAAAAAAACAGGCCAGGCTTGGTGGCTTATGCCTGTAATCCCAGCACTTCGGGAAGTCAAGGCAGGAAGATGGCTTGAGCCTGGAGGTTCAAGACCAGCCTGGAGAACATGGCAAGACCTCATCTCTATTAAAAATAATAACAATAAAAAAAACTAGCCAGGTATGGTGGTGCGTGCCTGCAGTCTCAGCTACTCGGGAGGCTGAGGTGGGAGGATCACTGGAGCCCAGGAGTTCAAGGTTGTAATAAGCTACAATCACGCCACTGCACTTCAGCCTGGTCAACAGAGCAAGATCTTATCTTCAAAAAATCGCAAAAGCTTATTGCACTCCCCGTGCCCATTAATAAGTAATACAACTCAATATAGGATATTTATAAGATACATAAAGGTAGGAGAAGAAAAAAATAACATGTGTTACCCTAAGGTAGAAATAGCCACTTTAACATTTTGGTATATTTACTTCTAATATTTTCATGAATGTCTTCATTTTCTGTAGCTGTGGTTACGTTATACATAATTTTGTAATTTGGCTTGTTCGACTTTTTATTATAACATAAACATTTTCCATGCTTTTATGAACTCTTCATAAACATTATTTTAAAAGCTACATACCTAAAGTTCCACTGAACGTACACAACACTGTTTACATAACCCTTCCCTTTCTTTTGGATATTTGTTTCTGATTTTTCAATATTATAAATAAAGAGACTAATGACATTTATGGGTAATTTTTTTCTATATTTCAAATTATTTCTATTGAACAGACTGTGAGAAGTGAAATTTTTCTACCTCCATTTTTTATAATACTGCCTCCAAAAAGTCACTTAATAAATATCAAATGACAATAATGTCTCTCTGTATATTGTAACGGATTTATTTCTACTCCTTACGCACAGGAAATGTTAGGCAAGAAATATGGTTAAACTATAGATAACAGCCAGAAAACCTATCATCCCCTCTCTGTCCAATAATAAACACGTGACATAGATGCTTGCTTGCTATTAACCAGGCTGCATCAGTTATATTTTGATAATCCCTGGTATTCCTTCCATAACCCAGTATTCTCTCTATAAACTCAGGATTTAGAACATAAGACAGCATACAGGAACTTTCCACACTTGAGAGACCCATCAAAGAAGCAGAAAGAAAAAAAAAATCCAAAATAGTAATTCTGATCTATACAACATGTCCAAATGCAGAAATAAGATCTTCCAAATTCTGGAATCTTAAATAATTACTGATTTCTGGAATCTCAATAAGAGCCATATTCCTTAGCTTTAGAAATGTTACATTTGAAAAATTTAAATTATTTTTGTTCCTGTTTTAAAAAATATTTTTAAATTATGACAATACTTACATTTATATATGTTACTACATATTTATAGTCACATTTATAGTTACTATACATACAATTTCATATATTGCTTTTTTCACATAACACATGTATTTTACTCTCCTATTAACAATACATTCAATCACATTTTTTACATGCTTCAGCAATGGTATAGTCACACCACGTTTGTATTTTCTCTTAAGAATATAAGTCCAAAATTTCTCACATTTCTAGTCTAACAAGAAATTCAGGACTGGATTCCACCAGCAGATTCCACTGAGGTTACCTGTGTGTTGGTATACTATGAACCAGGTATAGTGAGGCTCTTTTTACATTCTATGTTTCACTGCCTTAAAGAGTTCAATATGATCTGACCAGACTTTGATCTCCATTTGTTTTATGGACTGGATATATTACCAAGCAACAAAAATGTTACCACAGATTAGCTTCTAGGATTTTTTTAAAAATTAGAATTCATTATGTAATAATAATGCCTCATGCAAATTAAAAAGTGCCGTTTTGGGATGGAGGACAGGTCATTAAAAACATATACTGAAACATTTGGTACTTTACTTGCACTTAGCAAACTTACCATAAAAATCAAACATATTCTCTCAAGCATAAATCCCTCACACCAAAACAGAACTCTTATTTCTGAAAACTCTATTTCTGAATATTGTCCCTTTAATGATTTTAAAAGGTCTGAATTATTTTAAGAAAGGATTTTGACATTAAGTTTCATGTAACCATGGACCTTTTCAGGTGGTTCTAATAGTCTGTGATTTGAAAAGATTCTATACTCTGCTTATTATTACTCTACTAGTTAAAGTGTCCCCACAATATATGTCACACACTTACCAGGGAGGTTGACTTCCATCAAGTATTTCATACACAGTATGTTGGGATGAAGATAGCAGTCTTCAGTTATGTCTGGAAAACGAGGCAAATCTAAAAATGTTCCAACTTCTACTGTTTTTTTGTAGATGTCCTCGTAGTCAGGCCAAGACTGAAATAAAAGAGAGACCATCATAGTTGCAATTTTTGCAACAAAACTTATTTTTAAAAATATGTTCTGATTTAGAATGGCTATTATTAAAAAGTAAAAAAATAACAGATGCTGGTGAAGTTGTGCAGAAAAAGGAACACTTATGCACTGCTGGCAGGAACGTAAATTAGTTCAGTCACTGTAGAAAGCAGTTTGGAGATTTCTCAAAGAACTTAAAACAGAGCTGCCATTCAAGCCAGCAAACCTATTACTGGATATATACCCAAAGGAATATGTCATTGACACATGCACGTGTGTATTCATCACAGCACTATTTACAACAGCAAAGACATGGAATCAACCTAAATGCCTACCAACAGTGGACTAGATGAAGAAATTGTCGTCTATATACACCATGGAATATTACACAGCCCTAAGAACAAGATCATGTCCTTTGCAGTGACAGGGATGGAGCTGGAGGCCATTATCTTAAGCAAATTAATGCAGTAACAAAAATCCAAATACTGCATTTCTCACTTATAAGTGGGAGCTAAACATTGAGTACACAGGCACACAAAGAAGGGAACAACAGACACAAGGGCCTACTTGAGGGTGGAGGGTGAGGATCAAAAAACTACCTTTACTGTGCTTGTTACCTGGGTGACAAGATAATCTGTACACCAAACCCCCACCACACTCAATTTACCCATGTAACAAACCTGCCCATGTGCCCCTTGAACCTAAAATCAAAGTTGGAAAGAAAAAAAAAATTTCTGATTTAGCAAGTAATATGTTCCAAGCCAAAGTATTTGGAATGCTTAAGAAAAGAAAAAGGAACAGATAAAACTAATATGCACTTACTGAATAAAATTTGGAATTTGGAGAAAAGCATGAAGGGAGAAAACCCCCATAAATCCTTAATATTTTAACTCAGCAATTTTAAGTCATAAATACTAAATGTTAAAAGCCACTAAAATTCTATTTGGCTCTTAAAACTCTTACTGGGTTTTCCCATGATATGGTAAAATCACTACTTCTTGCCTTAGAAGAATCTGGAGAAAGGATGAAAGCTACAACCCAATCAGAGTTATAATGTTGTCATGACTGCTCTGATACACAACCTCCCTCTCACCTTTCCCACCTGCACTCTCTCATTACTCTTCAAATTCATAGCTAACAAATGCGGCTCACTGTTACATAATATTCACGTGCTTTCCACATGGGAGTAACACCAGGTTTTAAGTCTAGTAGTTAAAAATCCACAATTCAACTTTATACTAAACTCGCACATATAAAAATATATAAGATTCTCTTACAAAGTTCAGAAAAGCTATGAACAAATATTAATATATTCTGTCTAGCACTTACTTTAAGAACTCGAAGTTTTTTGCATATACCATTTGTATTTTTGCAATTTATAAACATTCCTAATATTAATACTGCATGTAGTTTTTCACTTACTCATCTATTCACATAAAAAATTTAGTTTAGAGTGGCCAGGGTACGGTGGCCCACACCTGTAATCCCAGCACTTTGGGAGGCCGAGCCGGGCGGATCATGAGGTCAGGAGATTGAGACCATCCTGGCTAACACGGTGAAACCCCCTCTCTACTAAAAATACAAAAAATTAACCGGGCATGGTGGCGGGCGCCTGTAGTCCCAGCTACTTGGGAGGCTGAGGCAGGAGAATGGCGTGAACCCAGGAGGCGGAGCTTACAGTGAGCCGAGACTGCGCCACTGCACTCCAGCCTGGGCGACAGAGCCAGACTCCGTCTCAAATAAAATAAAATAAAATAAAATTTAGTTTAGAGCCTATTCTATGCAAGGAATTGTGCAAAGTACTTTGAGAAATAAAAACATGAATAAGATAATCTCAGAAATAAAAAGATGAATAAGACAATCTCCTTAAGCAGTTGACAATCGAGAAAGGAGATAGAAGGCTTGGATAAATAACTATAGTACAACACACATGTGCATGTAGGATTTCAGAAAACCAACATTTCTGATATGGTAGAACAGTATCAAAATTGAGCCTAATACAAAAATTTTGAAAATCCATTTTGCAGTATCTATTAAAGTTGAGCATATGTACCTCCTAGGTCAAGGGAATTCTACTCCTAGCTATGTATACTCAGCAGAAATGCGTATGCATGCCCATAAAAGACATGTACTAGGATGTTCATAACAACACTATTTGTGAAAACTCTAAGCTGGAAATTACTCAAATGTCCATAAATTACGTATCTAGAATAGATAAGTGAATTGTGATATAATCTCACAATAGAACAGTGTTCAGTAAGTGAATGTGCTACATGTAACAATGAATCAATCTTCAAAACATAATGTTCAAAGAAAAAAGCCAGATGCAAAAGAGAATGATTCCAGTTATATAAAGTATAAAACTCAGTAACTCTGTCCCCATCTTCTGTACTGTTAGAAGTCAGGATTTGATTACTCTAAGGGTGGGTAGGACATGACTGGAAGGGAGCACCCAGCAGAGCTCCTGGGGTGCTGGTAACGCTTCTCCATGAAGCTGGGTGCTGTGGCTGTGTTCAGGTTATGAAAATTCATCACACTGTCTATACATTTATGATGTGTAGACTTTCCTACGTGTCTATTTTACCTCAATAAAAAGTAAAAAAAAAAAAAAAAGCTTCATATATCACCTTTGTGGGAGAAATCATTGCTCAAATACAAAGGTGGAAAGACCTTAATGGTACAGGGGTATATGCTTAACGGAGACAATTACACTGTTAATTTTTAGAATTTATAACTATGCTTGATTTTACTTTGCCTGAAGCTAAAATCTTCCCTGTATTATATTTATTTTGGTACAACTATTTCAATAGCTAAACTCTTACATTTCCTTAGGAAAAATGCCTTCAGTTTATGTTATATTATCAACATATGATTGATCTGTAGCTGAAGAATACAAAGTAATTTTCTCTTAATCCAAAGTAGCAATGTGGCATTTTAAGTTTTTTTTTTAATGTTGGGATACAGTTATTCTACTTGTACACTAAAATACTATTAATTGTATTTTAATCTGTGAATTTTAAAGAGAGAAAAGAAAAACATAAGTTCTCAGTGAACTTTGAAAAGAAGGTGTCTTCCTTTTTATTTGTAAAATTAATTAATTTAGACCTCTGGTTCATTCTGCACAGAATTTGAAGCATCTTTTCAAGCTGAGACAATTTAACATTACTAATAAGATTTACAGCAATCTTAATCCTTTTAAATAATGCAGGTAAGAGATGCAATTAAGTACTTTTATCTGCAAACAAAACACTAGAGCAGTAAATGTTCCCCTTAGAAAAAAAATCATCTAAAAAATGATTTAATGGATGATAAATTCATGACAAGTATGTGTAAGGTCACTAATGAGAAGCAATTTGGTAGGCTACAAGGATTTAGCATCTTTTCAAAACTTCCACACTAAAAGCTGATACATGAAAGTCAACATCTGGTGACAAAGAGGCCACTATTCTTTCGAATATGAATTGAGGAGAAAATAATTATTAAGTGTGCATATCTACCTATCTATCCTATAGATTAGATTCCAGATTCTGCTAGTCTCAATTCAGTATTACAGATTTCATTTTTTAAAATTTCTTTTATTTTTAAACTGAACCAACTTTTCCTTTTTGAGTAACACTCAAAATATTTTTTTAAAGGTGGCTAAAGGTTTTCAATCCTATCCCATTTTCTTTTAACCAGTCTTGCCTCATTGTTATGCATTTAGGTTGTTTCCCATTTTTAAACCAGTATAAAGAATGCTATGATGAATATATGTTAGCAACATTTAAATTTGATTATAAAAATAACACATCAACATTATAGAAAATTTAGGAAATATAAAATTCTATACTAAAAGATAATAAAAATCTCTGACAACTTAGAGAAACCCTCTGTTAGGATCTGGGTGGACTTTTCTCTCAGCTCATTTGGGCACATCCATATTTATAACATTGGGATTTAAATTCAACAGCCTATTTGACATCTCTACTTGGATTATCTTTCTAGTATGTCAAACTTCTATATCCCAACATCTTCCACATCCCTAAATTTTAATCCCTCCAGCAGTGTTCCTTACCCTGTCGCAAAAAGCAAACATTTAGGAACATCCTTGACACCTCCCTTTTCTCACACACCACATTCATTCCATTCCACAGACTGTTTACTCCACCTCCAAGCCTGGTCTTCAGTGATAGTCTTTCTCATCACTTTAACAACTCTACCCCAGACCCGAACTATCAAAAACCTCCTGACAGCCCTATATCTGCTTCTAGCTCTTTGCAACTGGGAGCCAGGGTAAGATTTTATTTTATTATTATTATTATTTTTGAGACAGGGTCTCACTCTATTGCCCAGGCTGGAGTGCTGTGGCATGATCACAGCTCACTACAGCCTTGACCTCCTGGGCTCAAGTGATCCTCCTGCCTCAGCCTTCTGGGTAGGCTGAGACTATAGGCATGCACCACCACACCCAGCTAATTTTTTGTATTTTTTGTAGAGATGGAGTTTTGTCATATTGCCCAGGCTGGTCTTGAACTCCTAGGGTCATGCAATTTGCCTGCCTTGGCCTCCCAAAGTGTTGGGATTGCAGGCATGAGCCACTGCATGCAGCCCAGGGTAAGATTACAAAATGAAAATCTGGTATGTCATTCCCCTACTAAAATCCCTCTAATAGTTTACACTGCTCTTAGGCTAAGCTCCTGCCTGTCTGAGAGCTTTTGTACAAACTGGATTAGGAATATAGTTTCATCTCCTGAATTTTGACCTAACATTATGTTTTGTGAGAATTTTCTAATGCCACGAGATAGCCTGTGAGAACATTATTTTGAGTGACTGGAAAACATTCTTCTTTATGAATCCATCATTTCCTTATTACTGGATATTTATGTTAGATACACATATCATGCATCATATTAAGCAGCTAAGAAAACGTGCTTTGATAGGCTGTTTTATGATTTAGGAAAATATTCATAGTACAATGCTCAATTTTTAAAATGCAGGAGACAAATTTGTATACATGCTTCAATCCTAATTTTGCAAATATGTTTATGCACATTAAACAAGACAATCAAAAATAGCAAATGTTAATGGCATTCATGAGAAATCAGACTGTGATTTTCATCTCCTTCTTTGTACTTCTCATTATTTTCTACATTCCTTCTAATTCTGAATACATTACTTTTGTAATAAGAAAAAAACATTCAAAAATATATTGTGGTTGTCTAAAAAATTAAATATAGACTTACTATATGATCCACTAATTGCACTTCTGGAACTGAAAGCAGGGATGCGAACAAATATTTGTATACCAATGTTCCTACTGGCACTGCTCACAATAGCCAAAAGGTAGAAACGACCCAAATGTACACCAATGAATGGATGAACAAAATGTGGTATGTATGTATGTAAATGTATATATATTTTATATAAGACAAAGCTGGATATTAGCAAGTAGTATATATAGATTTTGAATGTTTTATATATATCATAGAATATTATCCAGCCTGAAAAGGAATGAAATTCTGACACGAACTACAATATAGGTGATCCTTAAAGATATTATGCTAAGTGAAGTAAGCCAGACGCCAGACACAAAAAGTCAAATGTTGTATGATTCCACACGTATGAGATACCTAAAGAAGTCAAATTCCTAGAGACAGAAAGTAGAATGGTGTTTACCAGAGGCTGGAACAAGTGGGGAATGGGAAGTTGGTGTTTAATGGGTATGAGTTTCAACGTGGGAAGATGAAAAAATTCTAGAGATGGATGGTGGTGATGGATGCACAAAAATATAAATACACTTAATACCACTGAGCTGCACACTTACAAATGGCTAAAATGGTAACTTTTATGTATATTTTGCCACCAAAAAAAGTATAAAATGGAACCTAAGTTCTCAGACAAGGTGGCAGGAGAAAAAAAAAAAGAAAAAAGGAATGTAAGTAATGTCTGTCTAAAGGAAAAAAAAAACACATGTTAAAGAGGTCATAATTAGAAGTGTAATAAAGCTGGAAATTTAAAAAATTCAGCATATATGAAATCTACAGACATTCAAAATCTATACCACTTGCTAATATCTACTTTTATCTTACACGAAACCTCTTATAAATACACTTTTGGGGGAAATACGGAGTTATTAAACTATAATTATTAAAAATGTAACACCAAGATATGTGTCTACATTTCCCAGAATAAGAAGCCTGCCAGAATCTTCTCCATTAGATACACTGTACTCTGTCAATGACTTACAGAGAGAGGAAGGATACTTCTATCTTTTCAGCCTTGATTTTCACTGTTTTCATATATGTTAAACTCACAGACCAGTTTCTCAATAGATATAGTTCCCAAACAGTTTTAAACAGAATCCTGTTTAAAACAACACATACTTAATAAGGTATAACAGCATTTTGTTTTATACTGACCCTTTGGTTATCTGCTAATTCTACCTCAAATCTTCTGTGGAACAAGGTGGAATAACAAAAGACAGACATAGAGATAAGGCTTATATAATGCACTGCTCAAAGCGTAATCTCCATCAGAATCACTTGCAAGATGCTTACGAAAAACATCTTCTTAGAGCCCACACTATACTTAACTGAATCAATTTCTGACACTGGGTCTAAGAATCTGCAGTTTA
The DNA here is from genome assembly GCF_000001405.40 of Homo sapiens. Taxonomy (NCBI): domain Eukaryota; kingdom Metazoa; phylum Chordata; class Mammalia; order Primates; family Hominidae; genus Homo; species Homo sapiens. Next base: position 9,898,227 of record NC_000002.12, on the reverse strand, counting down.
AACAAGCTCTCCAGGATATTCTTATGCATACTAAAGCCTGAGAGCCTCTAGAGATTAATGAAATTGCTATGGATCCCCAGAAAACAGAATATGCCGGTTGTAGGAAACAAAAAATAAAATGCAGAGGCTACTTTTCTTGTAGACAGGAGGAAGTGCTCAGATAGTTTTACTCTCCAAGTTTGGAAAGAGAAGCACACATACACATTCCAGTGAGGCTGAGATGATGGTAGCTGGGGGCGGGGTGGGGGGTTGGGGGAAGTGGGCCAGGAACACAAGAAAACACCAGCTGGCTTCTCTCCCTCATGCTGTCTGGGAGGGAAGAGTAGAAATGAGGGAACCTGATCATTATGTTCACTTCAACTTCCCTCAAGTAGATTTGAAACCTGTCAGGTTATTATTCTAATAAAGATTGTACAAAAAATCCCAAGCATTACATGTGGCCTACAGAGTAAGAAGGTGAACAAATCTAGAGTCAGGTTTGAAGATTCTGGGCAGATCAAAACAATCCAATAAGGCCCTCATTTGAAGGTGCTTAAGAAGTGACTGACAGCTCTGGACGAGTCTTTTTCTTCCTTCAACCAAAAGAAACCCAGTTTCACAAAGGGTGTAAGATTGCTCCAAGCAAAATGAATCATCCTGGCTAAGTGCCACGCAGTGGGTTTGGCTGACCCAGTATTACATCTTTTCTTTTTACTCATTCAGGGAGAAGATCAGAATGCTGTTGATCAACATTCAAAATATTGGAGATGTACTTCAGAACAAATTTCCAGTTTCCTCTTTATCCCTTCTTGCTGCGTCTAGTGAGGGATGATGAAATGACTAATTCTTGAGAGGACTGAGAAACACTGCCAAGGACTGTGGTAGAATAGTATCTATGTTACATATTATCTATTTTTAAACTGATCTGTAGGTTTAAAATATATCAAGAAAATCAAGGCTGAAAAGATAGAAGTAGCCCTATTTTAAGTCACTGACAGAATAAATTGTATCTAATACAGACAAGTATATCTAGACCCAATACTTTGGTTCAATCAGTGATCTGATTATTTGGTATGCTGTGAAGAGATGGTGCCCCTGAAAGGTACTAGATTTTCAGTTTATTCTACCAGGTAAACTGAAAGATTTTTGCTAGAAGTAAATAGGGCTTCAAGTCAGCACCATACTCCAGAAAGTTGAGTCACAAATGAAGCAGCAGAAGAGGCAGAGGCAGAAAAAGGAGAAGAGGGTTATCTCCAAATTAATTTAAGTAAATGAAATGAACTGGCTATCTACTTGGGCTCAGGAATCACAACTCAGAAAAAGGAGATGGCTGGAAAGACTAAAATTTAATTTGCACACCTATCTCCTCTCCTGAGCTCTGCTCTGCTCTTAAGTCAGGATAATGGCAGGAAGACTCAGACTCTCATGGCCTGCTTAGAAAAAGAAAAACCACATCAACACTCTCTGTATTCCATGTCCCTCTGCTTTAAGTGAGTTTTGCCAGATTTGTTGTTATTAAGACAGAGGGGCCACTGAAATACTAACAGAACAACTTAATGGAAAGAAAGCTCAGCTGGGATAAAGGTTTGAAAAGGGTTTTTAAAGCTTTTTTTTTTTTTTTTTTTTTTGGTTTTTAGATGTGCTCTCAACTTTCTGGAATAACAAAAATAAAACAAAACCAAACACAGAAGGAAAACAGTCCCCAGCAGCCCACACACAAAACTCCACTGGCATATCTTCATCGCCATCTCCTAGCACAATTGCACCTTTTGTCATTTCTGGTGGAGGTACAGCTGCTGAAGAAGCCAAGACTTAGCGGAGAAAGCTAAGGCATGGAAGGGGGGAAGAAAATGCTTCCTTTGTTAATGAAAAGCCGTTTCCATTTAAAAGTTTCAACATACTATAGAATAGTGAATGCACTTTTGTGAGCAATAGCAAAAAGCACACAATGAAGAAAAGCTGCCTGTCAATTAAATCAACAGTCATCTGAAGGCAACACAAACCTCCTCTTCTTGAAAAAAGAGGGAAGGAAGGGAGGGAAGCAGGGAGGGAGTGTGGACATTTACTACACTTGGCTGAGGATGTGTCTAAAAGGAATAATAAATGTGACATACAGGGCTTCTCGAGTGATACAGGTCCATTTCATTACAATAGTAAGAAATCACAAGTTTAACATGTTTTTTAAAAGACCACAAAGCTACAATAAATTGTTCCAGCATGCATTAAAAACGGAGTGCTTGGGAAAGCATTTTATTGAATTTCACAAATATTACAGCGAGTTTACTTTCCTTCGTGAAGCAATACTTTAAGACAGGTAAGGACAGGCTAGAGTTTCTGTTACACAACAGCAGGCTCCTGTGATAAACCTGATTACAATACCCTGTCAGAGGCAAACTTCCTGCTCAGCTATTTAAAAAAAAAAAAAAAAAAAAAAAGAGTGCAGTGCCTCACCCTTACTTATTCTTATTGTTGTTTTGAGGCAGATTCAACTGAGAAAAAGCTAATGCAAAGTGCACCTGTTAAACCAAACTGTTATCAAGACTCTCCATAACAAAGGAGAATTAACAAGGAATAAAACTATCAGAAGTAATGACAAAGCACTGTAATTATTTATGGAAAAAGAATAAAATGAATTCCACATGTATCATGATGCATAAATAGTTCACCTTGCATTTTTAATCTGCTAGACTTTTCTTAATGACAGTAAACCTACCATGTAGTAGAAAAAATACTTTTTTTTTTTCTTTTGAGACAGGGTCTCACTCTGTCGCCCAGGCTGTAGTGCAGTGGCACAATCACAGCTCACTGCGGCTTCCACTTTCTGGGCTCAGGTGATCCTCCCACCTCAGCCTCCTGAGTAGCTGGGACCACAGGCAGGTGCCGCCACGCCCGGCTAATTTTTGTGTTTTTTTGTAGAGCCAGAGTTTCACCATGTTGCCCAGGCTGGTCTCAAACTCTGGGGCTTAAGGGATACTCCCGCCTCAGCTTCCCAAAGTGCTGGGATTACAGGCGTAAGCCACCATGCCTAACCACAAAAAATTTTTTTTGTGTTCAAAATCTAGTCTTCTGGGAGTTTGTGGTGAACACATTGCTTTATGTGAAATATAGTCTTGGCCCTGAGGATGAGGCCTTTTTAGAAACGCGTTGTCAACTTGTACAGACAAACACAAACCTTATGAACAAATACAAAATTATGAACTGCTGACCAATGAGGATTTGCCAACTGAACAGGAGATAATAATTTGTTTTGGCCCCAGGATCAGAGCTGGTAAAAACCTATTGGAGTCCTCCTTAATATGTGCCTGTTCTCCAAACGCTCTGCTGATTGTTGCATAGCCATGTTCCAATTTCACATATCTGTGGTAATGAAGTTTAAAAGATGGTATCGAGAAGACTAGATAATCTCAAAATAATTTCTATTTGATTTTGGAAGGGTCATGTGATTACTCTTGCAGCAGATTTACCTCTGCCGTTACTCGGTTTAGTTTAGGCTAGTGTAACACCAGGTTCCCATTCTCTCCTCCTGGGAGGGACAGGTGAGGGAAGCCCCAGGTATACTGGGTACTGGGGCATACTGGCCCAGGATGAAACAAAATCACAGGTAATCCACACAAAATTATCAGCTTCACTTAGCAAACATGAGGTATGATTCTAAAAGAAATATAAATGTAGCCTCAGATACATTTTCTAGCCTGAGTAATTCACTGTTGGTTTCAGCATACTGGTAAGAATATGAACTGCTAACTTTTTCATATGAATGATACTGACACACCCATAACTCTTATTTTTAAATGTCCTTGCTAACAAGCAGAAGTTATATCCTTTATATATTTACCACTAAAATTTAATAGAATGTTTTTTCTTTAAATTTCTCTTAACCAAATGCCACTATTTAGTGGCCTTCTGATATATTGTATAATAAATATATCAGAAGCAGTCTAGAAATTTCCTACCTATGTGAGAAAAACTCCCCAACAGATCAATTTGAATTTTTCTGAAAATAGTGTTTAAACTTACTGTTTTATAGCTATTTCAAATCATGTAATCAATAAACACAGACTGAGTCCTTATTTTGTAGACGGAATTATAGTAGGTCTTATAGAATCTATAATATAGATAATAAAATAGAAGCATTAAATACGGTCTTTATGCTCAATTTACACTTTTAGTTAAGGATGTAAGACATATACAAACAAATCATGCATGACATACTGTCTTCTACTCCTCTCTTTTATAAATTCTATTTAGACAACATCCTTTAGCTGCCTTTAAAATTCTGAAAAATGCAAAAGAATACATATACTATATCTGTAAGCTATGAAGCCTGGTAATAATAAATGCCTATGAATCCACTACCCAACTTAAGAACTAAAACATTGCCAATATGGTTGTATCTACTAGTATACTTCCTCCCTATCCCATCCCTCTGTCTCTGCCTCCAGAGGTAACTAGTTTACTGAATTTTGCTCATTGTTAACTTGCCTTTTAAAAAGACAGTATTATACCATAGTATGTAGTTTTCTGAGCTTTGCCTTTTTTTTAAAGTTATGATTATTATTTGAGACAGGGTCTTGCTCTGTCGTCCAGGCTGGAGTGCAGTGGCATGAGCATAGCTCACTGCAGCCTCGACCTCCCAAGGCTCAAGCAATCTTCCCACTTCAGCCTCCCTAGTAGCTGAGACTACAGGGCGAGCCACCACGTCTAGCCTGAGCTTTGCCTTTCACACTCTATATAATGTTTCTTAGGTTCATTCACGTTGCTTGCAGCTGCAGTTCATGAATTTTCATAGTGGTTTACTGTACCATTATATGACTATATCACATTTTTTCCATTTTCCTGTTGATAGACATTTAGATTGTTTCTGGTTTTGTTTGGCTTATTTTTTCATTACCTAGCTACCTTGTTTTAGTCTTTTAAAGTACTCAGGAGTAATGGGTCAGGATGGATATAACTTATAATCAATGACGCAGAAATAAAATTACACAGATACACAAGTAGGTAGGTAGACAGATAGGAAAAATGGCACAAATGATCAAACAATGGCATAAAATGCTAACAACAGTTAACTCTGGATACAGGATATATGGGCATTCTTTGTACTACTCTTAGTTTTGCAACTTTTCTATAAATCTAAAATTATTCCAAAATAATTTTTTTAAGTGCTCTCCAAGATGTAAGTGAAAAAAAGCAAAGTGCAGTGGTTGCTACCAAGATGTAATTTCATATTATTTTCTATGCTTATATCTTCCACCAAAATCTCTAAGAAGTCTCTCTGCTTTTTTACCCTGTCCCTTCACTCAAAATTAATTTAAAAAGATGAAAGGTAAGTGTTGGCAAGGATGCAAAGAAAAGGGAACTCTTGTACATTGGTGGTGGGAATGTAAATTACTATAGCCATCATGGAAATGAAATGGAGGTTACTCAAAAAACTTAAAACAGAACTACCATATGACCCAGCAATCCTACTGCTGGATAATATCCAAAAAAAATCAAAATCAATATGTTGATGGGGTTCACTGCAGCATAACTCACAAAAGCCAAGATATGGACTCAACCTAAGTGTCCATCGATGGATGAATGTAAGAAAACGTGTACTGATATAGAATGGGAAACTATTCAGCCTTAAATTCAGAGGGAAATTCTGTCATTTGCGACACCATGGGTGAACCTAGAGGGCCCATAAGTAAAATAAGCCAGGCACAGAAAGACAAATACTGCATGATCTCACTTATATGAAGAATCTAAGGCTGGGTGAAGCTGAGGAGGGAGGGAATGCGGAGTTGTTGGTCAAAGGGTACAAAGTTTCAGAAGACAGAAGGAACAAGTTTTGAGATCTACCGCACAGCAGAGTGACTACAGTCAATAATAATGTATAGTCATGCGTAGCTGAATGACAGAGATACTTTCTGAGAAATGCATCATTGGGTAATTTCATTGTGTGAAGAGTGTACTTACACAAACCTAGATGTTACAGCCCAGTACACACCTAGGCTATATGAGATAGCCTACTACTCCCAGGTTACAAACATGTATTGCATGTTATATACTGCTGAATGCTGTAGGCAACTGTAACACAATGGCAAGTATTTATGTATCTACACATAGAAAAGGTACAGTAAAAATACAGTATAAACAAACTGTACACCTCTATAGGGCACTTACCATGAATGAAGCCTTCAAGACTGAAAGTTGCTCTGGGTGAGCCAGTGAGTGAGTGGTGAGTGAATGTGAAGGCTTACAATATTACTGCACACTACATAAATGCTGTACACTTAGGCTACACAAAATTTATAAAAAATATGCTTTCTTCAGTAATAAATTAACCTTAGCTTACTGCATCTTTTCTATATAAACTTAAAAATAATTTTAACTTTTTGACTCCTGTAATACAACTTAGTTTAAAACACATACTGTACAGCTATACAAAAATGTTTTCTTTATATCCTTATTCCATAATGTTTTTTTCTATTTTTAAAATTTTTATTTTTTGTTTTTTTACTCTTTAAACTTTTTTGTTAAAAACTAAAACACAAACATACACATTTAGCCCAGGCCTATATGGGGTTAGGGGCAATAACATGCATGGAGCTGTCATCTTCTGTGGTAACAATGCCTTCTTCTGGAATATCTCCTACGGAACCTGCCTGAGGCTGTTAACTTTTTTTTAATAAGTAGAAGAAGTACACTTTAAAGTAATGATTACAAGTATAGTAAATACATAAACCAGTAACAGTAACAGTTATTATCAAGTATTATGTACTCCAAATTATATAAATGTATTAAATTATCACATGTATCCCAGAAATAGGTACATGTATCAGGCATCAGTTAAAAAAATTAAGCATACCAAAAAAATTCTTACACCTTACAGGGAAATAAAGGTGGAGAATAAAAGAAACAGGACAGTAATTTTAAAAAAGTATTCTGTATCACACATAATTATATATGGTATACTTTTCTACCACTGGCAGTAAAGGTCTGTTTATAGAAGCATCACCACAAACACACAAGTAATGTGTTGTGCTAAGAAGTTATGAAGTCTACAACATCACTAGGTGACAGGAATTTTTCAGCTCCATTACAATCTTATTAGACCACCGTTGTATATGTGATCCATTGTTGACTGAAACAGTTATACAGCACATGACTGTATTGTATAATTTAAAGTAAGAGAGTAGGCCAGGTGCAGTAGCTCATGCCTGTAATCCCAGCACTTGGGGAGGCTGAGGCGGGTGGATCACCTGAGGTCGGGAGTTCGAGACCAGCCTGACCAACATGGAGAAACCCCATCTCTACTAAAAATACAAAAAAGTAGCCAGGATTGGTGGCGCATGCCTGTAATCCCAGCTACTTGGGAGGCTGAGGCAGGAGAATCGCTTGAACCTGGGAGGTGGAGGTTGTGGTGAGCATAGATTGTGCAATTGCACTCCAGCCTGGGCAACAAGAGGGAAACTCCGTCCCCAAAAAAAATAAAATAAGAGAGTAAATTTCAAATGTCTCACCATAAAAATGATAGGTGAGGTGACAGACATGTTAATTAGCTTGATGTAATCATTTCACATGGTAAACATATCTCAAAATATCACTGTACCCCATACATGTATTAATTATAATTTGTCAATTAAAAACAATATTACTTCAAAAAAGAAAAAAAATAGATCAACAAAAGGGATTATTACTAGGGCAGGTATTTAGGGGAAAAGATTTAAGTAAAGATCAGATTAGTGACAATATTCATGAACAGAGACTACAATTTTTTTTTAAAAAAATCCAAGAATGAGTGAGCAACAACATGCTTTCAGGCATCTGAGAAAGAACTGTTCAGGTAATACCTAAAAAGCATCTGAATACTGACTCTATTTCTAAATGTCTAAAAATTAGTATTTGGAACACTTCTGTTTCTGCCCATGAAGGATTACCAACCATGGGAACTGAGCTTCCACCGTATCCAACAGAGAACTGGAAAAAATATATGAAAGAACAGGTTCAAGCATTGGACAACAGACAGCATGGACACTAATCCCTTAGAGAAGAGAAACAAATGGCCCAGCTTACTGCCTGGAGGCAGTTTCCAAACTGCAGTGCAGTGCAAGGGTGGGAAGTGAAACAGAGCTCAGTGGTCTTGATGAGCAGAGGAGACAGGGACTGGAGTTTCTGGAAGCTGAGGTGGCTAAAATTTGCAAGCTTAGTACCACAAAGGACAAAATTGCATAGACAGAGAGATCCAGAGACCTGCAAAGGGGCCCTCTCATGTGTTTTGCTGAGTATCAATATGTGCATGTATGAGAAAATATCTGAGGCCAGGGAAAAAAATAACAGGAAAGCAGTAGAGCAAACAATTTCCAAAGCTCACGGAAGGCAAACAGCCAAAGTGCAGAGACTTCGTAATACCAGAGGCATTGGGTAGAGTCTTTAGTAGGGATACGCCTTAGTAGTGAGGCTAAAATAGTCCCAGAAAAAAAGGGACTATTAATAACAAACCACACACAACAAAACTTAAAAACAAGCTTCTAAAGGATTAAACTGTTCTTCAAGTTACTTAATTATACACTAGAACAAAAAATCTAGCACTCTACAACATAAAAATTACAATGATTGCATCTAATAAAAAAAAATTACCAGTCATGCAAAGAGGCAGGAAAATATGATACATAACCAATCAATAAAACAGACCCAGAAATAACAAAGACAATGGAATTGGCAGACAAGGGTTTTAAAACATCTATTACAAATACTGTCAATATAGCCAAGAATATAAAAGAAAACAAGAACATAATGAGAAGAGAAAGAGAAGAAATAAGACTAAAATGCAAGTTCCAGAAATGAAAAATGTAGTATCTGAAATGAAAAACACATTGAATGGGTTTAATGACACATTAGAAGATACTCAAGTAAAGATCACTGAATCTGAAGACATAACAATAGAAATTATCAAAACAAAACATAGTAAGCAGAAAGGCCAGAAAAATAAAAAGGAAAAGCCTCAGGGAGCTATGGTACCATATCAAGTGGTCTAGCATGTAATTAGTATCCCAGAAAAAGGCAAGGGGAGGCCAAAAAAATTTAAACAAATAATGGATGAAAATGTCCAAGTTTGATGAAAACTGCACACCCATAAATCTAAGGTAAATAAAACCCAAGCAGAAGGCTGGGTGCAGTGGCTCCCCACCCGTAATCCCAGCACTCTGGGAGGCCGAGGCGGGTGGATCACCTGAGGTCAGGAGTTCGAGACCAGCCTGGCCCACATGGTGAAACCCCATCTCTACTAACAATACAAATTAGCCGGGTGTGGTGGCGCATGTCTGTAATCCCAGATACTCAGGAGACTGAGGCAAGAGAATCGCTTGAACCCAGGAAGCGAAGGTTGCAGTGAGCCGGGATCATGCCACTGCACTCCAGCCTGGGCGACAAGAGCAAAAATTTGTCTTAAAAAAAAAAAAAAAAAAAAAAAAAAAAAACCAAGCAGAAGAAACATAAAGAAAACTGTGACAAGGCACATAATAATCCAATTGGTGAGATCCAGTGATAAAGAGAAAATCTTAAAAAGCAGCTAAAGGAAAAAAGGCACATTATATAAAGAACAGTAAAGATAAGAATTATAGCAGATTGACATCAGAAATTAGGCAGGCCTGAAGACAATGGAATGACATCTTTAAAGTACTGAAAAAAAGGTATGAAACTAGAATTCTATACCTACTGAAAATATCTCTCAAAAATTAAGGCAAAGTTAGGACTTTTTTTTAGAACAAGAAAAGCAACAATAATTCACTGCCAGCAGAACTGTACTACAAGAAATGTTAAAGGACGTTTTTTAGACAGAAATTGGGATCTAAATAAAAAGATTACCAGAAATGGCAAACACATAGGTAAATATAAAATGATTTTTCTCATTTTAAATCTCTTGAAAAGATAAATGATTGCTTACAGAAAAAAAAAATCCCAATGCATTAAGGTAGAAGTGAAATGTTTGACACTAAAGGATGGGAGGAGGGAAGTGGAAATACTCTGTTGTAAGGGTCTTACTCTATACAAGTAATGGTATATTATTAGTTGAGGTAGAATGAGAAAAGGTAAAGATGAATACTGTAAACCCTAGAGCAACCACAAAAAAACACAGAGAGGTATAGTTAATAAATCAACAGTGGAGATAAAATGAAATTATTAAAAAATTCTTAATTAAGCCTGGGCATCACTGCAAGACCACGTCTCTAAAAAAAATTTTTTTTTAATTAGTTGGCTGTGGGGGTATTTGCTTGTAGTCCTAGCTACTAGGGAGGCTGAGGCAAAAGGATTGCTTAAGCCCAGGAGTTTGAGGTTACAGTGAGCTACGATCATGCCACTGTACTCCAGTCTGGGTGACAGAATAAGACCCTATGCCTTAAAAAACATAAAACAAACAACAACAACAAAAAATTCTTAATTAATCCAAAAGGCAGGAAAAGAAGAAAAAAAGAAAAAACAAGAGATGAGACATGTAATAGCAAGATGGTAGATTCAAACCCAACTATACTGATAATTATGTCAAATGTAAATGGCTTAAACACACGAATTAAAAGGCAGAGATTATCAATTAGATGTTTAAAAATCAACACCCAATGACATACTAACTACCAGAAAACACTTTAAATATAAAGACACAGATAGGTCAAAAATAAAAGATTGGAAAAAGATATGCTGTGCAAACATCAATAAAAAAAACTTGGAGTGGCTATATTAGTATCAGACAAGTAGAAACAGCACGAGGAGAAAAAAGTGACATTAGATAATGATAAAGGAGTCAATTTATCAAGAAGACAAAATACTGTAAATGTTACACACCTAGTAATAGAGCTCCAGTAACAGAAGCAAAAACTGATAGGATGTGAAACAAAAGTTGCAATCATAGTTGGAGATTTCAAAACTCTTCTCTCAGTAATTGATAGGATGAGTAAAAATTAGTATTTGAATGGTTTCAGATCAAAGAGCAAGTAAACATAACTCATTTCACCTCTTAATTTACAAAACTTGTCTCAAATTGTTAAAACTTAAAAGAGGAAGGAAACAGTTTAGATGTGATACAATACTGAGAAAATAATATTTCAGGTTGAAACTGTGAATTGCCGTCAGAAATAAATGCGACTATTATAGTTGTAGGTACTTCTTACCACACTCCCCATAGGTGGGCAATATAAATCTTTTTTTTTTTGAGACAGAGTCTCACTCTGTTGCCTGGCTGGAGTGCAGTGGCACAATCTCGGCTCACTGCAACCTCCGCTTCCTGGGTTCAAGCGATTCTCCTGCCTCAGCCTCCCGAGTAGCTGGGACTAAAGCTGTGCGCCACCACGCTCAGCTAATTTTTGTATTTTTAGTAGAGACAGGGTTTCACCATATTGGCAAGGATGGTCTCAATCTCCTGACCTCGCGATCCGCCTGCCTCGGCCTCCCAAAGTGCTGGGATTACAGGCGTAAGCCACTGCGCCTGGCCGGCAATGTAAATCTTAACTGAAGGAATGAGCTAGGCTTCTGGGCAATGTAAGCCACAATGGCTATTATAGAAACAGTCTCTTAATTTGGTGTATTATATCTCTCTCTCTCTTGCAGTCCCCTAAACATTTAGTAATAATGGGATCTATTACTATTTGAAAGAACACATAGAAGAAATTTTTGAAAATAATTACTTTTAAATAGTGAAATTTGAGTGTCTATGTGAGTACATTTAAAATGAAACTAAACCTCTTAAAAAGGAAATTACTGGTTAGATACCATTTCCAAGCATATAAACTCAGCACAGGAAGCAATATCTTTTGCAAAAAGTTGAATACATGGTAACTGAAATTATAAAATACCACCATGAGAAACAAGATACATTATCCTTTCCCATATCCATGGACTTCCTCGAACCTAATTTGAGAAAACCTAGAAATGAAGGAGCGAGTATAGCTCAGAAGTAGAGCACTGGACTGCAGATCAAGAGAAAATCTAGAAATGAACACATTCAAAAGTTAACAGAATCTTAAAATGGAAACTTAATTTTCCAAAATGGTATGTCTTTTTTTTTTTGATCCAAACAGCTTGATTACCCTCTTAATCCCTATCTTGCGGGAAAAGTTTTTCCAGTCTGGAAGGGAGCCTATTGCCATTTGAATACGTCAATATGTCTGCATTTTGAATATACTACCTCAAATAATCCTCATGAAAAATCCTAATGAAGAATAGGTTTACTTATTCCCAAGTCATATTTCTTCTTAGGTTTGTTTCCTTATTGGAAAAATAAGAAAAGTGGACTAAATGATTTCCAAATTTCCCTCCAGCTTTAATAATCCATGATTCTACATAAAATATTCTGATGTCTGTTCCTGAGGAGCTTATAATTTGGTTAGTGAATTAAAGATAACATGATGATTTCAGGCACTAGGAAAATATACAAATAACCTTAACTAAGCAAAAATTATCAATATAACTTGAGTAGTGAATAGCTCTGAGAATTGCTGGAGATTAAGGGAGAGAAGGACAAAGTGGGGGGGGGCGTGGGGAGAAAGAAGGGAGACATACAGAAGAAAGACATTGTTATTAACCAAGACAAAGCTGATAGCTAATGCAAAAGTAGTAACTTAGTTCCACTAGTCGCTCTAGGAAAACTGAATAACTGTGAAGACATAAAGATTCACACCTAGAATGAGGGAACCAAACGTCCAAGCTTGCTTTCTGCTCTCCAAATCTATTGGAATTGCTCCCACTCAAGTTGTTCTAAGGGTGAAACCAGTTTTGCTGTAAAAATCTAATGCTTCTACAAATCACTCATAATGACTCACATTCAAAATAAACCATGAATTAACTACATTTATGCAATATCCTTTACAGTTTTTCATGTGGAGGATCAATTATTCTTTCTGTACCAGTGTCACCTTCTATTTGTGTCATGTATAGTTTACAAAGTTCTTTGACATCTGTGATCTCATGTGATCCCTGCTAAACCTCTGCATGATAAACAGTTCAGCTGATATCCCAATTTTACATATAAAGCAGACACCTCAGACAGACAGAATGCCTCGCCAAGGTCACACAGATGGTAATCTGACTTAGAACTACAGTATTTAGGCTTTTTACTCACTGTATCATCTTTTAGCCTGTTTGCCTACTTTTCTGCCCTTCTCACTATCCTAGTTCTCCAAAACACTTAAATAGGTTCTACGAAGATATACTAAGAATTTGTTACACTATACTTCTACAAAGTACTAATTTTGGAGCGCTGAGCCAGAAGGAAATGGACAACTAGAAATACAGTTGAATATGCATGGAACATACCATAACATTTTATCTCAGATTATTAAATATTGGCAGAATTTGCACTGAGTTAGAATGTGGGTCACTATGAATGATTTAGAGTGGGAAGCTCCTCTCTGAGGGCAGGTTGTCCTGAGAGCACAAGGATGCCCACGTCCACAGCTGTGGCTTGGGTGGCTGCAGCAGCACCCAGGGAGCTCCCACCCCAACTCAGAAGGGATGACCAGCTTTAGAGAGAAGCAACCCACTCCAGGGCCCCCTCTCTGCTGAGAGCTGGGAAGACAATGGGATGCAGAGAGGAATAACCTACTCCAGGGCCTCCTCTCTGCTGAGAGAGCTGCAAAGACAATAGGACGACCTGCCTGCAGACAGGAGCTTCCCATTCCAGAGTCTCCTTTCTGCTAGGAGCTGAACGCTCATCAGGATACCCTGGCTGCAGAAAGGAGCTGCCCGCTGTGGGAGACTGAGCTGTTCTGTCGCTCAATAAAGCTCCTCTTCATCTCGCTCACCCTCCACTTATCTGTGTACCTCATTCTTCCTGGTTGCAGGACACGAACTCAGGACGCACAGAATGGCAAGGCTAAAACAGTTGTAACACAAACAGGTCTGAAACATGCCCCTTGCTCGCCATGTTGTGGGCAAAGAGAAGGAAAGAAGAGCTGCGGTCCTTTGGGGAGTCCAGACCTGGGAGCTCCTCGAGCCAGGGCTGTGACTCCCTCTTTGAGGCCCTGTGGTTCCTGGCATCTCCAAGCTCCCAGGTACCACCGTGTTCCCCAATGCCAGCTGCGGAAACTGCTTGCAGCGCGACTGGTCCGGTCGCAGCCTCGCGGATCGCTGGCAATCATGCTGGCACCTGGAACTGCCTGCCCCGCTGCAGCAGGTGGCATATCTGACTGGCCAGACCCCATGCTTGCTCACACATCCATCACCATTCCATGCCTGACTTGCCCTTGGCAGGCATGAGACCCAGGCCGGTAGCGTGAGCCAAGCACAGCCTGCCAGGCGGAGTGGGCGAAATGAGCCTAGTGCAAAACTTGGGCAAAGATGCCACCGGCCACAAAGGTTTTCCAGCCAGAAAAACGGCACCCCAAAGATCCCGCAACAATATGACATCCTTCCTATTGCCTTTGATATTATAGCATAACTACAAAGAGAATTATTTTACAAAATATTCAGGGGCTCTATCAGCTTTGCCAGGGAGTACTCTTAATCCTTTGACATTCAAATTTTCCCTTTGGAAGCACCTATTGTGCCATCCTCATTATTGGTTTTCTCTTCTTCAACTTTAAATTCTCTGCCAGCTCTGTGTTTGTCAATGGATTTGCAAGCAGTTCTCCTACATTAATTTCAAAGATAACATGAAATGCTGAAACTTCCATAAAATTTGCAAATTCACTTTATGTCTGCATTTATTAACACTGACAGGCTGGAAAGGGATAAACCTCAACATTAAGTTGAACATCAAAGGGTATCTGAATAGAGGTTACCCTTCATCAAAGTCAGGCCACTATTAAACAGCACTTAACAAATGACTCTTACACCGCCAACAATGTCAGGGTCATGAAGTTCTATGAAAATGATTCCTTAAGTAGGTGAATGGAGGAAAATCTTTAACATTTAGTACATCAAAAAAAACTTCTGATGAGAACCAAGGGGAAATAACCTTTGAGTACCACCAATAGTGACACAAACTCATAATCAAAGGACAGAAACCCTTCCATTGGAGACATCTGAAAACAGATCTAGAAAAAGACAAACTAACATAAGTGAAGAACTTAAAATAGTACCTTTAGAAACACGGTAATAACTTTCTTCTCTTTCTTCCATAGCAATATAGTGTGCAAATAACAACAACAAAACACATATTTTATTTTTAAAAAATTGAAATTACCTAAAGGTCTCTAGATAAAAGTTCTCAAGTTTAGTCTCAACAACATACCTATCTGCAATGCACACACATCACACTACAGCTATATTTTGAGGATAACCTAAAGGATTAGAGGAATCCACATAAGGAAAATAAAAAATAATAAAATTCTACTCTTCGTTAAATTATGACTGATGTTCCATATTGGGATAAAACACAAAACACCAAATAATAAGTCAAGCAAGAAATAGAAATTATCATACCACTCTTGTGCCTTATCAGAGACTAGAAAGTAAAAAAGAAAATAACTTACCTCTATACCAAAGATTCCTCTGTCACGTCCATATAATTTCATCTGTTCTGGAAAATGCTGAAAAGCATTTATGTAAGGAATATGGTCCTCTTCAACAAACCTGTATTTTTAAAAAGAAAAAGGTTTAATGAGAGTTATATACTGATATAGCAGAGTAAATGCTTTAAGAAAAATCTCTTAATTCAAAGACAAGGTAAGAATTAGTTAAGCATATTCTATTTCCCACGATTTTAAGGATAATAAATCTAATCATATCTATTATTCTCTTTACCCATATGTTGGCCTATTTAGCCAATTACTGAATGATTCTCTTAAGTTCCTGTCTAAATAAATATGTCTAAGAAGGACTGCACACAGTGGCACATGCTTGTACCCCTAGCTATTTGGGAGGCAGCAGCAGTAAGACTGCTTGAGCCCTGGAGTTTCAGAACTGTAATCCCAGCACTTTGGGAGGCCAAGGCAAGCGGATCACGAGGTCAGGAGTCCGAGACCAGCCTGGCCAATATGGTGAAACCCCGTCTCTATTAAAAATACAAAAATTAGCTAGGCATGGTGGCTTGGCCTGTAGTCCCAGTTACTCGGGAGGCTAAGGCAGAAGAATCGCTTGAACCTGGGAGGCGGAGGTTGCAGTGAGCTAACGCCACTGCACTCCAGCCTGGGCAACAGAGCAAGACTCAGTCTCAAAAAAAAAAAAAAGTGTTCAAGAAGTGTGTATCCTACTTGTTAGTTCACCACTAGGCTTTCCAACATGGCATTCCCTGTATCCCTAGCTCCCCTCGCATGATAGGCTCCTACTCATAAATCACTCCTTCAAGGAGGTCTACCTTGATCCCCATTTTCTGTGACAGCCTACCTCCCTTGTCTACCCTTCTGTCTCCAATACCTATAATGGTACATGTTAGATGTTTGTTGCTGAAAGAACCATTAAGGAGTGGGACCTTGCCTGTTTGCTCACCACTCCACCCCAATGCCTGGTACACAGTGGATCAAATATTTTGAGTCAATTATTGAGTTTGAAGAAAATAACACATACACATAAATAGACAAATATATTTATTTAGGATTCATTAATTTAACAACAATGTATTGAATACTATATACCTAGTCCTATTCTAGACTGCAGGGAAACAGCAGTGAACAAAACAGAAGAACATTCTTGTTCCTATGGAGTTTACATTCTAGTGAGAAAAGAAAGATACAAAACAGATGAGTAAAATCTATAGTATGTTAGGTAGAGTGAAATGTTAAGGAGAAAAATAAAGGAGAACTGAGAATGAGAAATGGGGGTCTTGCAACCATGTCAAATATATACTTATACCTATATATATTTAAAATAAGAAAATTAAGGAAAGTGAGCTAAAGACAGGAATAAGTACACAAAATGCATTGCCTTGAAGAGCTGGGCTGACATTTGGCTTTCAGCTTTGTAACACTTAAAGGACAAAACTGATTCAACACTTTTTTTTTTTTAAGACAGAGTCTCACTGTCGCCCAGCCTGGAGTGCAGTGGCATGATCTCAGCTCACTGCAGCCTCCACCTCCCAGGTTCAAGTGATTTTCCTGCCTCATCCTCCCAAGTAGCTGGAATTACTTACAGGCACCCACCACCATGCCTGGCTAATTTTTGTATTTTTAGTAGAGACAGGTTTTCACCATGTTGGCCAGGCTGTTCTTAAACTCCTGACCTCAAGTGATCTGCCTGCCTTAGCCTCCCACAGTGCTGGAATTACAGAAGTGAGCCACCAGGCCCAGCCTCAAATTTAATTTCAATTAAAAATGTGTTTTAATTTTTACTCTACTGAAAGTTGAGAAATATTTACATAAAAATGGTGTTAAAGGTTCCCCAGCTAAGTTTTTATTAGTATATTTCGTTTATATGATAGTATTTATGTGCAGTAATCAGTATTTGTATTATTGTGAAATTATATTTTTGGTTTAATATTATTTTATATACAAGATGTAATGTATACCTGTCACTTTTTAAGCTGCCTAGTATTCCACTATGTTAATGTGCTCATTATTTATGTAGTCTTCACTCCTATGTGATAATACATGCCAGCACTATGTGGAGTGTTAGGAGTCTGCAGAGATAAGTAAGAGATGAAGGGTCTTCCACACTCCCACCCTAATAGGTCAGACAAACAGCCTGCACATGAGTCAGTAGAGACACTGTCTCAAGCAGCACAACAGAGGCACAGTCAGTTCTGTAGGAGCAGAGGAAGAAATGAGAGACCTGACTAGGGGAAGCAGAAATGTCCGCAAAGAGCAGGTCTTCGGCATCTGGAGTTCTAACAGTTTTTCACCATTTATAAATAGTTCTTTGAATCTCCTTTTAGAAAAGTATTTGTTTTTCCAAAAAAAAAAAAAAAAAAAAAAAAAGCTGCTTACTCAAAGTTCTGAACAATCTATTTCCCTTCCTAGGTATTATCAGCTAGTTCTCTAGATCAATCCAGGAAGTTGACAGAAAAACTGGTGTAGACTAAAAGCATCTCATATGCCTCTCCTGACCAACAGAGTTTAGCCATGTCCCCTGGAAACACTGTCTCTACTTATAATTATGTAATTTTCCAAAGTTTCAATCTATGATGGGTTAGAAATTTAGTAAACTCATCCTTTGTCTCAGATCACTGAAAAAAACCACTGCATTAGAATTAAGTCGTGTCTACCTGTAAAAACAGATCCTGAACCCAGTCACCATTACCACTGCCATAATCCAAGCCACCATCTCTTGCCTGGAGGATAGCAAAAGACCACCTGGTCTCCGTGCTTCCACCCTTCCCAGAACTCATTTTCCACAGCTGCCTGAATGATCTTTTAAAAACATCAATCAGATCGTATCTCTCCTGCTGCAATCTTCCAGGGGCTTACTCTCACACTGGAAACCCGCAGTTCCCCTGGGTATGAGGTTTCCTTCCAGAGTGATATGTCCTGAAAATAGAGACTGCACAGCTTTGCAAACTTTGAAAACATATTGAAAACCACTGAATTGTATATTTTTAAAGGGTGCATTTTATTATATATAAATTATACCTCAATTTTTAAAAATCCAAATTCCTAACTTGGTTTACAAAGACAGATATCTGCCTCTGATGATCTGTTCACTCTCATCCTCCTACTCCGCCCTAGAATTCTCTGACTCCAGTCACACGAACTCTCCTCTGCTCCTTCATCACACAGCTCTTGCTTTAGGGCTTGGCACTAGCAACCTCCTTCTACCCGGAATGCCAGTACAGCAGTCCCCACTCATCCTCTTTTTTGTGTTGCATGGTTTCAGCTACCTGTGGTCTGAAAATATACAATGGACAATTCCAGAAATAAACAAGTCATAAGTGTTAAATTGTATGCCATTCTAAAGAACATGATGAAATATCATGCCATCTCTCTCTGACCCACCTGAGATGCGGGTCCTCTCTTTGTCCAGCACAGCCAAGCTGTAGCGCCACCCAGCCATGAGTTACTTGTAGTTCATTGGCTCATTCTCAGATCTACTGTCAGAGTGTTGCAGTGCTTGCATTCAAGTACCCCTTATATTTTACTTAATAACAGCCTCAAAGCTCAAGAGTAGTAGTACCAGTACACTGTAATAATTATTCTATTTTATTATTAGGTATTGTTGTTAATCTCTTACTATGCCTAACTTATAAATTAAACTTTATCATAGGAATGTACACATAGGAAAAAACATAGTGTATATAGGGTTCCGTGCTATCTACATTCTCAGGCATCCAATGTCTTGGAACATATCTTCTGTGGTAAGTGAGGTCTATTGTACTCCTGATATTCACACTGGCTCTATTTTCATTTAAGGTGCAGAGTAAATGCCACCCTCTTGGTGAGGCCTTCCCGAATAACCAATCTAGAGTAGCCATCTAGTCATTTTCTATCATACCATCCTATTTCAATCTTCTGAATAGCCTTTCCCTGTCTGATCCTTTTCTTATTTATCAGGTTAGTGCAAAAGTAATTGTGGTTTTTGCCATTAACTGCAATGACCTTTGCACCAACCATATGTATGTGTTTGTTTTTTCCTCCTCTGGTCTTGAAATTTGTGAGAGCAAGGACTTGACCTATATGATTCACAACTGCATCGCAAGGGTCTAGATGCCAGAACAACACCTGCATATAGTAGATATTCAATACAAATTTACAGAATGAATAAGGGCTGGCTATTTTTATTCATTAATGCCATTATTGCTAGGTAGGCAGGGTCCCTTACAGGCTATTTGCAGGGTAATGAATTTATCCTAAGGACTATGGATGCTGCTAGAGGACTTAAAAAGGGAGTGACATGCACAGTGTTAAGGTATGTGGGTACTTTGGCCAGGCTAATAACATACTCCCTTAAAACTGTGTTCTTTACATATTTTTTCAAAGTTTGGCAGTGGTTCTCAAACTTTGCCATCCATAAGAATCCTCTGGGCCAGGCATGGTGGCTCATGACATAATCCCAACATTTTGGGAGGCCAAGGCAGGAGGCCAAGGTAGGAGGCTTGCTTGAGGCCAGAAGTTTGAGACCAACTTGGGCAACATCACAAGACCCCAGCTCTACGAAAAAATAAAAATAAACAATTAAAAAAAAAAAAAAAGAAGAAGAATCCCCTGAAGGGCTTATTTTAAAGCAGAGATTATCAGGTCCTACCCCAGGGTTTCTGATTCAGAAGGTGTAGGATAGGTCTAAGAATTCACATTTCGAACCAGTTCCCAAGTGATACTGAAGCTGTAAGTCAGGAGGCCACATTTTGAGAACTTATGACTTAGAGCTCTTTCTGGGAGAAAAGCAAAGGAAGAATATCAATGGTGACAGTCTCTTCTCCTATAGCCCCAAGCAACTAAGCTCTGTTCCCAAACTTGTGTATTCCACAGAGCAAAACAAAAGCCCCCTAGCTAACTAGATTTAATCTCCTTGAAGGCATTTTAGAATTCCCCTTGGTGGGGGAGGAGAGGGAAAGAGAGAGAGAGGAGAAAAGAGGGAGGGAGAGAAGAGGGGTGGGTAGTATCTTACCCCTATTATTCCAACCACATATAATATTCTCCCTGAGAAGAATTCCAGGTAAATACGACTTTCTCCACCTTGTTAGATTTCTAGGAGAGTTCTGTTAGCCCCTTATAGATCGTCCTGGGTAGGATGGCTAGCCCCTTTATCCAGCTCTAATGACATGATTAGGTTTATGTTTTTGTAAGATCCTTCTGGTTATCAGGAGGAAAATGGATAGAAATGACACAAGATTACAGACACAGAGCTCATCTGGGAGACTGTTAAGCAATCCAAATGAGGGTAGAGAGGACAGAGAGAGAGAGGGAATGCAGAGAAGAATGGTTCTGTGAGTTTTTGGACATATAACTGAGTGGACAATTGACCAACAGTGTACGTAGAGGGGAAAGAGTCAAGGATGATTCCTAGGCTTCTGGATAGGATGCAACAGGGTGGATGGCATTTACTAAGAAAGAGAACACTGGAAAAGGAGCTGGATCAAGGAGACAGATGATGAACCTCTAGTCATGCTGATTCTGAGATACCATAAAGACATCTAAGTAGCTGTGTCCAGCAGACAGCTGTATATATGAATCTATGGGTCTGGCCCTCAGTAGACAAGTCTGGGCTAGAGATATAAATTTGAGAGTCATCAGTATAGTGGTAATTAAAGCGTTGGGAAAAGATGAGATCACCCAATGGGGGCATACAAAACAAGATCAGGTTTTTAAATTAATAGTAAAATTCACTGAATCATGGGCTATCTGCTTGTAGAGTTAATCAGACCTGAGGAAAGCGTTTTTATTTGGTTGATGTGGCCAAATTCAAAGGCACTATCATCATTTACTGGAGGCATTACATTTAATCAAAGGGGCTGAGCCAATAATGACGATGATGGTGGTGATGATGAAAACAAAAACAGTAATGACTAGCACTGAGGTCTTATTATGTGCCAGACACTGCTCTACGTGCTTTCCATGTAGCGCTAATTATTGAAAGTAGTTACAACCCTATGAGGTAGTTATTATTAGCCCCATTTTACCAACGAAGAAACAAAAGCAGAGACAAATTAAATGACTTACTCAAGGTCATATAATAAATAAGTGGCAAAGCCAGGATTCAAACCCAGCAGTTTGGTTCCTAATTTGTGCTGTTAAAAGCACCCTACATATTGATTAAACCCAAATGTTACTATTCAGAACACATATAAAGCAAGGAGAAAAAAATCAGCACATAAGAATTTTGGCACGTCTATTAAGTGAGAAATTCTTACACATAAAACTGTAATTTATTCATTAACCAAAACACTCTGTAGATTATCCTGAAAAATATAAACGCTTACTATCTGGATAACACATCCTTTCAACAGTTTTGTCTTCAACTTTTCCTTACAAACATAGACAACCTATATTTTAGCTCTTAACACCAATATATGCTTTTGTGTAACTACAAATAACCATTTTGCTAATGTAAAGATCACCTGTTTATCTTTTCTTAGAAATGAAAAATATTTACTAATATTACTCAGGTACTTAAATGTCACTTTTCTCTTCAAAAGATTATATTAGATAATTAATTTTCCAATAGCCCATGTGTGGTAAGTACTATAATTTCTACTACATAAATAAGAAAATCAAGAAGATGAATTACTAGCCCAGGGGGGATTACATTTCAGAATTAGAATTCAGGCTACTCAACCTTTCCAGTTCCTTCCTCAAGTTAAGCCTTCTTATAAAAATCAAAATATCCGAAGTTTGTCTACTTAGTTCATGTAGTAACCAGCAAAAATATTATCATACAAGAGGTCTAGCTAACCTCAAAAGATCTGAAAGTGTTATTGCTTCTCTCTGCCAAAGTAAGGACAGATAACAGAAGGCAAGTGTCTGTGGCATGGTCATCTTCACGATTCCCTTCTCCTTTCGTTGTGAGTATTCAACTCCATCCAGAGATCCAGAGCAGACAGACGTTTCTTAGGAGATAAATGGAGATTTTTAAAAATCCAGTGAACTATTTGGATAACAAAAGAAAAACAGCAAAAAATCTAAACAGGCATTTTAAATATTGACATGGTTTGGCTGTGTCCTCACCCAAATCTCATCTTGAACTGTAGTTCTCATAATTCCCACGTGTCATGGGAGGGACCTGGGGAAAGTAATTGAATCATGGGGGCGGGTTTTTTCCATGCTGTTCTCATGAGAGTGAATACATCTCACGAGATCTGATAGTTTTATAAAGGGTAGTTCCCCTGCACACGCTCATCTTGCCTGCTGCCATGTAAGACGTGCCTTTGCTTCTCCTTCACCTTCTACCGTGATTGTGAGGCACTCCCAGCCATGTGGAACTGTGAGTCCATTAAACCTCTTTTTCTGTATAAATGACCCAGTCTTGGGTATTTCTTCATAGCAGTAAGAAAATGGACTAATACAATTATCTTAAAACTAGTTATAAAACCTTTACAAAGAGCAATTTGGCAATAAAGAGTAATAAAGGACTAGAATAAAATCAGCCAAAAACGTAATCATGGGATATCTGTAGGAGTGGGATGGGACAGGATTCTAAAGACGGATTTGAGCCAGGCACAGTGGCTCACGCCTGTAATCCTAGCACTTTGGGAGGCCAAGGAGGGTGGATCACTTGAGGTCAGGAGTTCGAAACCAGCCTGGTCAACATGGTGAAATCTTGTCTTTACTAAAAAATACAAAAAATTAGCCGGGTGTAGTGGTGGACGCCTGTAATCCCAGCTACTTGGGAGGCTGAGACAGGATAATTGCTTGAACCTGGGAGGTTGCAGTGAGCCGAGATCGTGCCATTGCACTCCATCCAACCTGGGTAACAGAGCAAGACTCTGTCTCCAAAAAGAAAAAAAAAAAAAGAATTTGAACGTTTGAATTTTTTAATAGTGAACATAAACCAATTTTTTAAATAAAGGAAAGGATACACAATTACAATGCACAACAAAAGATGTGTAACTGCTTTGACTCTGACCTCAACTCCCATGTCCCCTTCTCTACAAGGCCTCTCCAAAACTCCAAAACTTAGCTAGAGCAGCACCTTCTTCTATCCCCATCTTTCAGGTATCCTCTACCATATGACATTATGGTATCTTCATTCATTCACCAGATGCTTATTCATCTCATTCTTTGTGCCACTCTTCTATGTCTCAGGAAATGACAAGTGAATAATGTCTCATCTCTCTTAGAACTTATATTCTAGTAATGGGAGACAGACCAATAAACAAACAAACAAGAAATACAATTGGCAGAGCCAGGTGCCATGGTGTGCACCTGTAATCCCAGCTACTAGGGAGGATGAGACAGGAGGATCACTTGAGCCCAAGAATGCGAGACTAGCCTGGGCAACACGGAGAGACTTTCTCTAAAAAAAAAAAAATTACATTTGACAGATAGTGATGCTACATAGAAAAATAGCAATGTAGAGTCATAGTAAGTGATGGGAAGGGAAGAGAGATGCGCTACTTTATATGGGTGTCAGAGAAACCTCATTGAGAAGGTGATATTTGAGCAGAGACCTGAATTAATTCAGAAAGTAAGTCTTAAGGATGTTGGGAAGAATACCAAGTATATTAGCAGGAGTGAACTGCAGGAACAGCAAAAAGGCCAGTGTAGTGAGAGCATCATGGGATGCAACATAATATAGTTTCTACGTAAATCTACCAAGATTGTGAGGCCTCCCCAGCCATGTGGAACGATGAGTCCATTCAACCTCTTTCTCTTTATAAGAACAGAAATTTCTGAGGGAAAGTGGTGGGAATGATACTGAAGAGAGATTAAGAACTACATTATGTAGAATTTTGTAGGTCATTATTTGTACTTTGGATTTTATTCTAAGAAGTTTCTGGAGAGTTTTAAAACATGGAAGCAACAGGACCTCATTTATGTATTTAAAAAGGTCACTCCAGCTGCTGAGGGAAGAATGGAGTTACGGGAGGGCAGGAGTAGAAACAGAAGACCACTCTTCCAGGAAAGCCATGACTGGTACTTGGACTGGAGCGGTAGCATTGCAGCTGGTGAGAAATGGTTGCATTCTAGATAGATTTTAAAGGCAGAGTCAAAGGATTTGCTGATAGATTGGATGTAAAGCATGAGAGAAAAGAAAACAAGTATGATTATAAGGTTGTTGGCCTGAGCAACAAGTAGAATGCATTGCCATTTACCAAGACAAGGAAGATGGCCAAAAAAAAAAAAAAAAAAAATCCAGTTTGATGAGCGAAATCAATGTTAGAATTATGTGTGTTAAGTGTGAATCTTATTAAATACACCAACAGAAATGTTGAGTCAGCAGCTGAATATAAGAATCTATACTTTGAAGGAGAGGTGGGACTAGAGATAGGAATTTTAGTTTCAGCATATAGTTGGTGGTTGGTTAAAGCTATGGTATTAGGTGAAGTCACATAAGGAGTAAGGGTAGAAAAGCAGCAGGACTAGGAATGACCCTGAGAAGCTACACTTTCTTAAACACAAAGTCTCAAAATAACTCCTCAAAATCCCTTTCTCCAAATTCTGTAAGTCCTTTCTTCATAGCACTTATCAGTGACTAAAATGTTCTTTATTTGGTCGTTTATTGCCTATCTCCTCCTACTACAATATAAACACCCTGAAGGCGGACAGTCTTGCCACCATTATGTCCCAGTGCCCAGAACAGTCTCTAGCACAGAGTAGAAACCTGATGTGCAAATAGGCCCAACAGTTCTACTTTGAAGATTTCATCCCAGTGAAATGATTTGAAAGCCATGCAAAGGTTTCGGGTCAAGGAATGCTGTGGCAGCACTGTTTATAATATAAAAATTTAGAACAACCTAAATGCCAGGAATAGAAGTTTAATTAAGTAATTCCATGCAATGGTATACTACAAAACAATGTCCATAGAACTTTAAGATCAGTGGTTCTCAAAGTATACTCCTGGACCAGCAGTATTAGTATCACCTGAGAACGTAATGGAACTGCAAATTACTAAGGTTTAACAAGCTCTTCAGGTGATTCTGATGGATGCTAAAGTTTAAGGACCATCGGTTTTAAATGAATATATAAAGTCACAGATTTCCATAAAATAAATGTGTGTTGTGTACACACACACAATTTTTTGTATATTCCTTATAATATGTAAGGACTTCCAGTTAAGGTGGCAAATTGAAAACACGTTAGCCTCTGCTCTCTCCTGCTACAACAATTATAAAGAGAATTTTTTAAACATGTAAACCTGAGGACAAATAACATGAAAAAGGTGACAAGAACAATAAAATTTTAGAAGTCAGAAAGCATACAGATAGGTGATTATTGGCTTAGCAGTCCTGGGAAAGCTAGATTCAAAGTCAGCAGTGGGGAATATGCCAAAAAGCAGTTTTCACTGGGGATCCCTAAAGAAGGCTCAGGAATTGGAGAAACTCATACCCCTAGAAACTGGATGAAGGCAGGCCTAACACCAGGATGACTGCTTAAAATCCAGATTAAGAAGCAGTTAGACATCCAGATTCTTTTTTTTTTTTTTTTTAAGATGGAATCTCGCTCTGTTGCCCAGACTGGAGTGCAGTGGTGTGATCTCAGCTCACCACAACCTCCAACTCCCGGGTTCAAGCCACTCTCCTGCCTCAGCCTCCTGAGTAGCTGGGACTACAGGCGTGCGCCACCACACCCATCTAATTTTTTGTATTTTAGTAGAGACGGAGTTTCACTACGTTGGCCAGGATGGTCTCAATCTCCTGCCCTCGTGATCCGCCTGCGTCGGCCTCCCAAAGTGCTGGGATTACAGGCGTGAGCCACCACACCCAGCCAGACATCCAGATTCTTATCCCAAATCCATGCAGCCAAGTGATGCCCCTCCCTAGTCTTGGCCAAAAACTGGAAATTTCTTCTCCAGAGAGAAGGGTCTCTAGAATAAGGCATGCCACTCACATGCACTGTTGAGAAGTGAAAACAGGAGGCTTAAGTGAAAGTTTACATACTGAATACTAAAACAATCCCCCATTCCCCTCCGGTCTTCTTCTTCCTACCCAGTTTCCAGAACAGTGACAGCCAAGATTACAAACCCGCCAAACAGAAGACTCAAAGAGATTTCTCTGAGGAATCTGATCAGCTCGGGGGGAAAAGATTTAAAGATGATAATGCTGGGGTTCACTGAGAAAATAACCTTGCAAGCAGAGCAGAGCTGACAAGACTAACCACGGAAACAAAGCCTTTTATCAACTTTTTAGTCTCCCATGTTTAAGTAAGAATAGCTATCTTAGGCTCACTAAACATTTGAAGCCTTTCATGTAAAAAGCAGAGGCCAAAACAATCAAGTCAGGCATGAAATATCGTTAATATTCTCTGTGAAATAAAAGATGCTCCACAAAAATGAGAGGGTAATCCAGGAAAGAAGAAATGGGATGCAGAAAATAAAAAATTCCAACAAAAGAAAAATGACAGAATCTCAGGATGGTGGTAAAGAGAGATCCTGGCCAGGCACAGTAGCTTACGCCTACAATCCCAGCACTTTGGGAGGCCGAGGTGGGCAGATCACAAGGTCAGGAGATCGAGGCCATCCTGGCTAACACGATGAAACCCCGTCTCTACTAAAAATACAAAAAAAAATTAGCTGGGCATGGTGGCGGGCGCCTGTAGTCCCAGCTACTCGGGAAGATGAGACAGGAGAATGGCATGAACCCAGGAGGTGGAGCTTGCAGTGAGCCAAGATCGTGCCACTGCACTCCAGCCTGGGCAACAGAGCAAGACACCATCTCAAAAAAAAAACAACAACAAAAAAGGAGAGATCCTAAAGTCAGCCAGGCCACAGGTCTAGAGATATCATTCTAGATCAGAGCAGATCAGAGGCTCCAGGGAGACTTCTTCCAGAAGATGAAACTGATAGAATGCATAAGATATTAAGAGATTATAAGAACTGGAAGTGTGGAGATACATTAGTAATAAATTATGGATTAGTAATAAACAGAAAACTAAATAAATAACAATTATCAACTCCAAGAAAACCACAGGATATACAGAAAAAGTAATCATAGTAAGCTATACAGCTCAGTCTAAATAATGTGTATACATTTATAATAATTTAAGCAGTAAATACTGATCTAGTAAAAAATTACAGCAATTATATTGAGAAGAGAGAGAATGAGAAATGCACATGCATGTACTGGGGACTATGTGCAGATAAGGGACAGTGAGGAATGTGTGAAAGAGCTAAAACAGAATTGAATAGCTAATGTCCCAAACTAGAAATCAAGATGTAATACTAGAAGCACGTGATACGGAAATATGAAAGTCACAAAAGAGTTGAAAATGAATGCCCCTTGGGAACAGGACATTAGCTGAAGGTAGACTACAAATTTTATTTTTTTTTAAGACAAGGTTTTGCTCCGTCGGCCGGGCTAGAGTGCAGTGGGATGATCACAGCGCACTACAGCCTCGACCTCCTGGCTCAAGCACTCCAGCAACCTCAGTCACCTGAGTAGCTGGGACTGTAGGCATGCACCACCATGCCTAGCTAATTTTTATTTTTTGAGAGATGGAGGTCTCACTATGTTGCCCAGGCTGGTTTTGGACTCCTGGGTTCAACTGATCCTCCCTCCTTGGCCTCCCAAAATGCTGGGATTACAATAGGTGTAGTCCACTGCCGTGACTGGTGGACTACAACTTAAAACAATTTTTTATTTTTACGATTTTTTTATAACAAGACTTATAGAATGATTTGTAGAGTTTTGATTTAAAAATTTATTTATTATTATACTTTAAGTTTTTAAAAATTTAAAGAATGAAGAAATAATTCAAATTTTTACAAAAACAAAATAAATTCTTTCCGTATACATACATGAAGAAAAACTTTCTGGAATGATCTACAATAGCAGTAGCGGTAATTTCTAGTTGGTACAGTAACTGGTGATTTTATTTTCTTCGTGACTATCTGCATTTTATAGTTTTATATTGAGTTTCACTAATAATTACTTCTTTTTTTTTTGAGATGGAGTCTTGCTCTGTCACCTACACTGGAGTGCAGTGGTGTGATCTTGGCTCACTGAAACCTCTGCCTCCCGGTTCAAGCAATTCTGCCTCAGCCTCCCAAGAAGCTGGGACTACAGGTGCATACCACCACGCCTAGCTAATTTTTGTATTTTTAGTAGAGATGGGGTTTCTCCATGTTGGCCAGGCTGGTCTCAAACTCCTGACCTCAAGTGATCTGCTCGCCTCAGCCTCCCATAGTCCTGAGATTACAGGTGTGAGCCACTACGCCCGGCCATTGATTACTTTTAATGTAAAAACTAAAAGAAAGCTCTAGGGATCATCATTTATTAAAAAACAAATAAGCAGGCCGGGCACGGTGGTTCACACCTGTAATCCCAGCACTTTGGGAGGCTGAAGCAGGCAGATCACAAGGTCAGGAGTTTGAGACCAGTCTGACCAACATGGTGAAACCCCATCTCTACTAAAAATACAAAAATTAGCAGGGTGTGGTGGTACATGCTTGTAATCCCAGCTACTCAGGAGGCTGAGGTAGGAGAATCACGTGAACCTGGGAGGCGGAGGTTGCAGTGAGCCGAGATTGCACCACTGCACTCCAGCCTGGGTGACAGAACTAGATTCCATCTCAAAAACAAAACAAAACAAAACAAAAAAAAATAAGCAAACAAAACTGTTACACATAGGTAAACAAAACAATCATGATGCTTTAAAAGGAGCTAATATCTTCTTTCAAAAAGGTTCGATGGTTTTACAGTCATGGTCTTCTGGGAATATTTGAGCTCAGGCTTGTCTGAAAAGGTGGAGAAGAAAACTCCAGAAATTCCTTGTTGCCCAATTAGTCAATGATCCTAACACTTTACACCAAAAGTAACTTATTTGATATCTGTGTCACTGTGCAGTCCAGGAAGAGATGTGGATACACTGATAAAGGAATGAAGGCCTATATTTTAATCTTAAATACATTCCTTATTTATTTCAAGTTATGGAATTATATCAGAAAGTAAAACACACATGTAACAAGGTAAATTTTACTCAGCTTGATTTAGTCTATGCTTAGAAACTGGACATACCATCTTTGTCTATTTTACTATATGGCTACATAATAACATTTTTCTGCTACAACTTTTCTTTGAAGACGCTGAGCCCACACATATAGATCTTTCTGAAGCAGCCTCCTTCTTTCTGGATCCACTTGAACTTTATGTCCCTTTAAAATCACACACAAAAAACTCACATGGAGACAATGTGCCTTTTAAAAAATTGCGCTAAGATTTCACTTAGTTTGTCTTAGCCATATGATTCAGCAAGTCATTCTTCCTTGCTAGATTCTTCCTCGCTAGACCAAGTTCCCTTTCCTTGGATTATCAGAAGATTAGACTAAATTATTTTTAAGGGGCATAACAGCTTTAAAATTCGAAATGGTTTGGTTCTCATTTTTACCTGATTGTGATGCTTTGCTGACGGGGAAAGGTTTTCGAGTGTGGATGTCAGACTGAGACTCCGCTCCACTTTCAAGAAAAGGAGGACAGCTGACATCACTTAGCAGCTCAGGCTCACTAGCCCAGTCTGAATGACTTAGATTATCTTCTAATACCTGTTTGCAAAACAATATAAATAAAATTATTGTGTAACAGTTTTAAACAGTTAATTTCTGTGAACTTAAACAACTCCTATCACAAACACCCTAAAAGAAACCACTCTAGAAAACTGCAACTGCCTGCCAAGTCCCTTTACTTCTGAAACACGCTCCTGACAGCTCCCAGCAGTGCTTCTTGGAGAGGAGTCACAGACAAGGATGGGCGAGGAAACCGGCTGCCAGCCCTGCCATCAGGTCTCCTTCTTCCATGAACATCTCTCTTACAGCGCTAATATCTTCACCACTGAAAACATCGCGCATCAATGACCCCACACATGCTGGCTGGCTTCTTTTTACCAAACCTACCTGGGGAATTTTTGCTTTGTATCTTTGTTAATTCTGGTTCTCCTGCCTGAACTACGCCTTTTCCTCCCTCTCCCTAACTCATTACTTACTCATCATGCCATCTTTCCAACCCACTCTTCAGTGATTTCTCCTTTCCTTGAACTCCTGTAGCATATACGATTTGTAACATGTAATCAACAAGGATATACTATCTCATACTACTGTTTAACTGTTCACACATGTACTGTTGAAACAACAGAGTGTCCCTAAAAAGGTCAGCTGGCTGGCTACCTAAAGACCTCATTAGCTGACATTACCCAGGCAAACCGATCACAGTCAAAAAGCCATGATTTCAACCCTGCAGGCCAAGAAACTTGATCTTATTACAGGAAGATAAGACTAAGACTCCTGGTAAAGAGGCTCACAAGACAATGAAGCAAGAAAACCCAAAAAAACAAAAAAACAAACAAAAACCTCAGAGAATGAAGTAAGATGCTTGTGTCCTCTGTCAAGCATATCCCCTCCCTATAGGGAAGCCCTGTGAGAAGGAGGCTACACCAGAAAGCTGGCTGATGAGCATGAACACAGAGAAAACTTCCACAGGTTCCCACAGGTTACCACTGCCAGCAACTCTACCACATACTCTGCCTCTGCCTGATTCTTCTGGACGATTCAAACTCCTGTTTAAAGCCAGTTTCTCTATTTGTGCACTTGATCCCACCTCTCTGTACACTCAAAGATATCTGTTCAAAGATTCACATCTACTCTTTCTCTCCATTGCAAATTTTTCTTCTCTCCTGCATCATTCCTATCACTACACAAATATGCTATCATTTATCCCACTTTATTTAAAAATTTTTTTATTATACTTTAAGTTTTAGGGTACATGTGCACAACATGCAGGTTTCTTACATATGTATACATGTGCCATGTTGGTGTGCTGCACCCATTAACTCGTCATTTAGCATTAGGTATATCTCCTAATGCTATCCCTCCCCCCTCCACCCACCCCACAACAGTCCCCGGTATGGGATGTTCCCCTTCCTGTGTCCATGTGTTCTCATTGTTCAATTCCCACCTATGAGTGAGAACATGCGATGTTTGGTTTTTTGTCCTTGTGATAGTTTGCTCAGAATGATGGTTTCCAGCTTCACCCATGTCCCTACAAAGGACATGAATTCATCATTTTTTATGGCTGCATAGTATTCCATGGTGTGTATGTGCCACATTTTCTTAATCCAGTCTATCATTGTTGGACATTTGGGTTGGTTCCAAGTCTTTGCTATTGTGAATAGTGCCGCAATAACCATACGTGTGCATGTGTCTTTATAGCAGCATGACTTATAATCCTTTGGGTATATACCCAGTAATGGGATGGCTGGGTCAAATGGTATTTCTAGTTCTAGAACCCTGAAGAATCGCCACACTGACTTCCACAATGGTTGAACTAGTTTACAGTCCCACCAACAGTGTAAAAGTGTTCCTATTTCTCCACATCCTCTCCAGCACCTGTTGTTTCCTGACTTTTTAATGATCGCCATTCTAACTGGCGTGAGATGGTATCTCAATGTGGTTTTGATTTGCATTTCTCTGATGGCCAGTGATGATGAGCATTTTTTCATGTGTTTGTGGGCTGCATAAATGTCTTCTTTTGAGAAATGACTGTTCATACCCTTTGCCCACATTTCATGGGGTTGTTTGTTTTTTTCCTGTAAATTTGTTTGAGTTCATTGTAGATTCTGGATATTAGCCCTTTGTCAGATGAGTAGGTTGCAAAAATTTTCTCCCATTCTGTAGGTTGCCTGTTCACTCTGATGGTAGTTTCTTTTGCTGTGCAGAAGCTCTTTAGTTTAATTAGATCCCATTTGTCAATTTTGGCTTTTGTTGCCATTGCTTTTGGTGTTTTAGACATGAAGTCCTTGCCCATGCCTATGTCCTGAATGGTACTGCCTAGGTTTTCTTCTAGGGTTTTTATGGTTTTAGGTCTAACATGTAAGTCTTTAATCCATCTTGAATTAATTTTTGTATAAGGTGTAAGGAAGGGATCCAGTTTCAGCTTTCTACATATGGCTAGCCAGTTTTCCCAGCACCATTTATTAAATAGGGAATCCTTTCCCCTTTGCTTGTTTTTGTCAGGTTTGTCAAAGATCAGATAGTTGTAGATATGCAGCATTATTTCTGATGGCTCTGTTCTGTTCCATTGGTCTGTATCTCTGTTTTGGTACCAGTACCATGCTGTTTTGGTTACTGTAGCCTTGTAGTATAGTTTGAAGTCAGGTAGCGTGATGCCTCCAGCTTTGTTCTTTTGGCTTAGGATTGACTTGGCAATGAGGGCTCGTTTTTGGTTCCATGTGAACTTTAGTTTTTTCCAATTCTGCGAAGAAAGTCATTGGTAGCTTGATGGGGATAGCATTGAATCTATAAATTACCTTGGGCAGTATGGCCATTTTCACGATATTGATTCTTCCTACCCATGAGCATGGAATGTTCTTCCATTTGTTTGTATCCTCTTTTATTTCATTGAGCAGTGGTTTGTAGTTCTCCTCGAAGAGGTCCTTCGCATGCCTTGTAAGTTGGATTCCTAGGTATTTTATTCTCTTTGAAGCAACTGTGAATGGGAGTTCACTCATGATTTGGCTCTCTGTTTGTCTGTTATTGGTGTATAAGAATGCTTGTGATTTTTGCACATTGATTTTGTATCCTGAGACTTTGCTGAAGTTGCTTATCAGCTTAAGGAGATTTTGGGCTGAGACAATGGGGTTCTCTAGACATATAATCATGTCATCTGCAAACAGGGACAATTTGACTTCCTCTTTTCCTAATTGCATGCCCTTTATTTCCTTCTCCTGCCTGATTGCCCTGGCCAGAACTTCCAACACTATGTTCAATAGGAGTGGTGAGAGAGGGCATCCCTGTCTTGTGCCAGTTTTCAAAGGAAATGCTTCCAGTTTTTGTCCATTCAGTATGATATTGGCTGTGGGCTTGTCATAGATAGCTCTTATTATTTTGAGATGTGTCCCATCAATACCTAATTTATTGAGAGTTTTTAACATGAAGCGTTGTTGAATTTTGTCAAAGGCCTTTTCTGCATCTATTGAGATAATCATGTGGTTTTTGTCTTTGGTTCTGTTTATATGCTGGATTATGTTTATTGATTTTTGTATGTTGAACCAGCCTTGCATCCCAGGGATGAAGCCCACTTGATCATGGTGGATAAGCTTTTTGATGTGCTGCTGGATTCGGTTTGCCAGTATTTTATTGAGGATTTTTGCATCAATGTTCATCAAGGATATTGATCTAAAATTCTCTTTTTTTGTTGTGTCTCTGCCAGGCTTTGGTGTCAGGATGATGCTGGCCTCATAAAATGAGCTAGGGAGGATTCCCTCTTTTTCTACTGATTGGAATAGTTTCAGAAGGAATGGTACCAGCTCCTCCTTATACCTCTGGTAGAATTCGGCTGTGAATCCATCTGGTCCTGGACTTTTTTTGGTTGGTAAGCTATTAATTATTGCCTCAATTTCAGAGCCTCTTATTGGTCTATTCAGAGATTCAACTTCTTCCTGGTTTAGTTTTGGGAAGGTGTATTTGTCGAGGAATTTATTCATTTCTTCTAGATTCTCTAGTTTATTTGCGTAGAGGTGTTTATAGTAGTCTCTGATGGTAGCTGTGGGATCGGTGGTGATATTCCCTTTATCATTTTTTATTGCGTCTATTTGATTCTTCTCTCTTTTCTTCTTTATTAGTCTTGCTAGCGGTCTATCAGTTTTGTTGATCTTTTCAAAAGACCAGCTCCTGGATTCACTGATTTTTCGAAGGGTTTTTTGTGTCTCTATTTCCTACAGTTCTGCTCTGATCTTAGTTATTTCTTGTCTTCTGCTAGCTTTTGAATGTGTTTGCTCTTGTTTCTCTAGTTCTTTTAATTGTGATGTTAGGGTGTCAATTTTAGATCTTTCCTGCTTTCTCTTGTGGGCATTTAGTGCTATAAATTTCCCTCTACACACTGCTTCGAATGTGTCCCAGAGGTTCTGGTATGTTGTGTCTTTGTTCTCGTTGGTTTCAAAGAACATCTTTATTTCTGCCTTCATTTCGTTATGTACCCAGTAGTCATTCGGGAACAGGTTGTTCAGTTTCCATGTAGTTGAGCAGTTTTGAGTGAGTTTCTTAATCTTGAGTTCTAGTTTGATTGCACTGTGGTCTGAAAGACAGTTTGTTATAATTTCTGTTCTTTTACATTTGCTAAGGAGTGCTTTACTTCCAACTATGTGGTCAATTTTGGAATAGGTGTGGTGTGGTGCTGAAAATAATGTATATTCTGTTGATTTAGGATGGAGAGTTCTATAGATGTCTATTAGGTCCACTTGGTGCAGAGCTGAGTTCAATTCCTGGATATCCTTGTTAACTTTCTGTCTCATTGATCTGTCTAATGTTGACAGTGGGGTGTTAAAGTCTCCCATTATTATTGTGTGGGAGTCTAAGTCTCTTTGTGGATAACTAAGGACTTGCTTTATGAATCTGGGTGCTCCTGTATTGGGTGCATATATATTTAGGATAGTTAGCTCTTCTTGTTGCATTGATCCCTTTACCATTATGTAATGGCCACCTTTGTCTCTTTTGATCTTTGTTGGTTTAAAGTCTGTTTTATCAGAGACTAGGATTACAACCCCTGCCTTTTTTTGCTTTCCATTTGCTTGGTAGATCTTCCTCCATCCCTTTACTTTGAGCCTATGTGTGTCTCTGCATGTGAGATGGGTTTCCTGAATACAGCACACTGATGGGTCTTGACTCTTTATCCAATTTGCCAGTCTGTGTCTTTTAATTGGAGCATTTAGCCCATTTACATTTAAGGTTAATATTGTTATGTGTGAATCTGATCCTGTCATTATGATGTTATAGCTGGTTATTTTGCTCGTTAGTTGATGCAGTTTCTTCCTAGCCTTGATGGTCTTTACAATTTGGCATGTTTTTGCAGTGGCTGGTACCGGTTGTTCCTTTCCATGTTTAGTGCTTCCTTCAGGAGCTCTTTTAGGGCAGGCCTGGTGGTGACAAAATCTCTCAGCATTTGCTTGTCTGTAAAGTATTTTATTTCTCCTTCACTTATGAAGCTTAGTTTGGCTGGATATGAAATTATAGGTTGAAAATTCTTTTCTTTAAGAATGTTGAATATTGGCCCCCACTCTCTTCTGGCTTGTAGAGTTTCTGCCGAGAGATCAGCTATTAGTCTGATGGGCTTCCCTTTGTGGGTAACCCGACCTTTCTCTCTGGCTGCCCTTAACATGTTTTCCTTCATTTCAACTTTGGTGAATCTGACAATTATGTGTCTTGGAGTTGCTCTTCTCGAGGAGTATCTTTGTGGCATTCTCTGAATTTTCTGAATTTGAATGTTGGCCTGCCTTGCTAGATTGGGGAAGTTCTCCTGGATAACAACCTGTAGAGTGTTTTCCAACTTGGTTCGATTCTCCCTGTCACTTTCAGGTACACCAATAAGACGTAGATTTGGTCTTTTCACATAGTCCCATATTTCTGGGAGGCTTTGTTCGTTTCTTTTATTCTTTTTTCTCTAAACTTCTCTTCTCGCTTCATTTCATTCATTTCATCTTCCATCATGGATACACTTTCTTCCAGTTGATTGCATCAGCTAGTGAGGACTGTGCATTCCTCACGTAGTTCTTGTGCTGTGGTTTTCAGCTCCATCAGGTCCTTTAAGGACTTCTCTGCATTGGTTATTCTAGTTAGCCAATTGTCTAATTTTTTTTTCAAGGTTTTTAATCTTCTTTGCCATTGGTTTGAACTTCCTCCTTTAGCTCGGAGTAGTTTGATCTTCTGAAGCCTTCTTCTCTCGACTCGTCAATGTCATTCTCCTTCCAGCTTTGTTCTGTTGCTGGTGAAGAGCTGCGTTCCTTTGGAGGAGAGGCGTTCTGATTTTTAGAGTTTACAGTTTTTCTGCTCTGTTTTTTCTCCATCTTTGTGGTTTTATCTACCTTTGGTCTTTGATGATGGTGACGTACAGATGGGTTTTTGGTGTGGATGTCCTTTCTGTTTGTTAGTTTTCCTTCTAACAGTCAGGACCCTCAGCTGCAGGTCTGTTGGAGTTTGCTGGAGGTCCACTCCAGACCCTGTTTGCCTGGGTATCAGCAGCAGTGGCTGCAGAACAGCGGATATTGGTGAACCGCAAATGCTGCTGCCTGATCGTTCCTCTGGAAGTTTTGTCTCAGAGGAGTACCTGGCCGTGTGAGGTGTCAGACTGCCCCTACTGGGGGGTGCCTCCCAGTTAGGCTACTCAGGGATCAGGGACCCACTTGAGGAGGCAGTCTGCCCGTTCTCAGATCTCAAGCTGCATGGTGGGAGAACCACTGCTCTCTTCAAAGCTGTCAGACAGGGACATTTAAGTCTGCAGAGGTTACTGCTGCCTTTTGTTTGTCTGTGCCCTGCTCCCAGAGGTGGAGCCTACAGAGGCAGGCAGGCCTCCTTGAGCTGTGGTGGGTTCCACCCAGTTCGAGCTTCCCAGCAGCTTTGTTTACCTACTCAAGCCTCGGCAATGGCGGGCGCCCCTCCCCAGCCTCGCTGCTGCCTTGCAGTTTGATCTCAGACTGCTGTGCTAGCAATCAGCGAGGCTCCATGGGCATAGCACCCTCCAAGCCAGGTGTGGGATATAATCTCCTGGTGTGCCGTTTGTTAAGCCCGTTCGAAAAGCGCAGTATTAGGGTGGGAGCGACCTGATTTTCCAGGTGCCGTCTGTCACCCCTGTCTTTGACTAGGAAAGGGAATTCCCTGACCCCTTGCAGTTCCCGGGTGAGGCGATGCCTCGCCCTGCTTCGGCTCATGCACGGTGTGCTGCACCCGCTGTCCTGCACCCACTGTCCCGCACTCCCCAGTGAGATGAACCCAGTACTTTAGTTGGAAATGCAGAAATCACCCGTCTTCTGCGCTGCTCATGCTGGGAGCTGTAGACTGGAGCTGTTCCTATTTGGCCATCTTGGCTCCACCCCTCTATCCCACTTTTTAAAAGCTCTCCCTTGACCCCAGCAACCATGCAATTTCTTTGTACTTGTTGCAGCAAAATGCCTTGAAAAAGTCCAAATTTGTTGTCTCCAATTTCTCTCCTCTCAGTCTACCTTATATTCCATTCCAATCAAGGTTTTGATCCCACTGCTCCACTAACCACTTTGCAGCCCTCTTCCTTCTTGACCTAGTGACAGCATTTATCACAGCTGATCACTGCCCTCTTCTTGAAACACTTTGTTCCCTTGGTTTCCAGAGTGCTCATTCTCTCAGCTGTCCTCTTACTTCACATTGTTCCCAAGAATTTTTTTGCCAGTTCCTCTTTTATCCCAAACATCTTAACCGTAGAATGACCTAGGGCTAAGTTATTGGTCCTCTCTCTGTCTTCATACCTTGGTGATGTCATCCGGTCTTACAGTTTTAAATACTAGCTACTATCTTCAAATTTTAAAATGTCCCCTCCCATACCACATTTTAACATCCTAGAAATCAAGATTTATCTTACAATCACTGGCATGTCAAAATTGAATTTGTAGCACTCTTTTCTTTCTTAGCAGTACTTAAAATAATGGCGTATGTTACAAACAATAGCATGTTAGATTTCATGATTATAATATAAACTAACAGCTTCGAAATTTATGTCTCCGGCTCAGACCTCTCTCCTGAACTGCAGACTTTTACATCTAACTGCATGCTTGAAATTTCCTCTTGGATGCTGATATGGTTTGGCTCTGTGTCCCCACCCAAATCTCATCTTGAATTGTAATCCCCATGTCTGGAGGGAGGGACCTAGTGGGAGGTGACTGGATCATGGGGGCAGTTTCCCCCATGCTGTTCTTGTGATAGTGAGGGAGTTCTCATGAGATCTGACTGTTTTAAAAGTGGCATTTCCCCCTGCACACTCTCTCTCTCTTGCTGCCATGGAAGACATGCCTTGCTTCACCTTTGCTTTCCACCATGATTTAAGTTTCCTGAGGCCTTGCAGCCATGCAGAACTCTGAGCCCATTAAACCTCTTTTGTTTATAAATTACCCAGTCTCAGGTAGTATCTTCATAGTAGTGTGGAAACAAACTAATACAGGAAATTGGTACCAGGAGTGGAATACCACCATAAAGATACTGGAAAATGTGGAAGCAACTTTGGAACTGGGTAACAAGCAGGGGTTGGAACAGTTTGCAGGGCTCAGAAGAAGACAGGAAGATGAAAGAAAGTTTGGAAATTCCTAGAAACTTGTTGAATGATTGTGATCAAAATGCTGTTAGCGGCCAGGTGCGATGGCTCATGCCTATAATCTCAGCACTTTGAGAGGTGGAGGTGGGCCTGACCTGTGGTCAGGAGTTCAAGACCAGCCTGACCAACACAGTGAAACCCCATCTGTATTAAAAATACAAAAAAGTAGTTGGGCATGGTGGCATGCATCTATAGTCCCAGCTACTCGGGAGGCTAAGCCACAAAAATCGCTTGAATCCAGGAGGCGGAGGTTGCAATGAGCCAAGATGGTGCCACTGCACTCCAGCCTGCGCAACAAAGCAACACTCTATCTCAAAAAAAAAAAAAAAAAATGCTGATAGTGATATGGACAATGAAGTCCAGGCTGAAGTGGTTTCAGATGGAGATGAGGAACTTATTGGGAACTGGAGTAAAGGTTACTCTTGCTATGTTTCAGCAAAGAGACTGGTGGCATTTTGCCCCTGCCCTAGAGATCTGCAGAACTTTGAAGCTGAGAAAGATGATTCAGGGTATCTGGCAGAAATTCTAAGCAGCAAAGCATTCAAGAGGTAACCTGGCTGATCCTGAAAGCATTCAGTCATGTGTGTTCACAAAGAGATTATCTGAAACTGGAACTTTTATTTAAAAGGGAAGCAGAGCATAGAAGTTTGGAATATTTCCAGCAGGACGACAAGGTAAAAAAGGAAAACCCATTTTCTGGGGAGAAAATTCAAGCCGGCTATAGAAATTTGCATTAGTAATGAGGAGTGAATGTTAATAGTCAAGACAATGGGGAAAATGTCTCCAGGGCATGTCAGAGATCTTCGAGACAGCCCCTCCCATCACAGGCCCAGATGCCTAGGAGGGAAAAATGGTTTTACGGGCCAGGTCCAGGGCTCAGTTACTTTGTGCAGCCTCAGGATATGGCGCCCTGCATCCCAGCCACTCCAGCTCCAGCTGTGGCTAAAAGGCACCAAAGTATAGCTCAGGCCATGGCTTCAGAGGGTGCAAGCCCCAAGCTTTGGCAGCTTCCACGTGGCGATGGGCCTGTGGGTGCATAGAAGACAAGGGCTGAGGTTTGGGAACCTCTGCCTAGATTACAGAGGATGTATGGAAATGCCTGGATGTCCAGGCAGAAGTCTGATGCAGGGGCAGAGCCCTCATAGAGAACCTCTTCTAGGGCAATGCAGAGGAGAAATGTGGGGTTGGAGCCCCAACAGATTCCCACTGGAGCACTGCCTAGTGGAGCTGTGAGAAGAGGGCCATCGTCTTGCAGATCCCAGAATGGTAGAGCCACTGACATCTTGCACCATGCACTTGGAAAGCCAGACACTCAACTCTGGCCCATGAAAGCAGCCTTGGGGGCTGTACCCTGCAGAGCCATAGGAGCAAAGCTGCCCAAGACCTTGTGAAACCACCCCTTGCATCAGCATGCCTGGATGTGAGACATGGAGTCAAAGCTTATTTTGAAGCTTTAAGATTTAGTGAATGCCCTGCTGGGTTTCGGACTTGTATTGGCCCCTTTGTTTTGGCCAATTTATCCCATGTGGATTGGGAACATTTACCCAATGCCTGTAACCTCATTTCATCTTGGAAGTAACTAACTTGTTTTTGATTTTACAGGTTCATAGGCAGAAAGGACTTGCCTTGTCTCAGATCAGACTTTGGACTTGGACTTTTGAGTTAATGAGTTAATGCTGGAATGAGTTAAGACTTTGGTAGACTGTTGGGAAGGCATGATTGATTTTGCAATGTGAGAAGGACATGAGATTTGGCAGGGGGCAGGGGTGGAATGATATGGTTTGGCTCTGTCCCCATCCAAATCTCTCATCTCGAATTGTAATCCCCACATGTTGCGAGAGGGACCTGGTGAGAGGTGACTGGATCATGGGGGTGGCTTCCCCCATGCTGTTCTCATGATAGCGAGGGAGTTCTCATGCAATATGATGGTTTTTAAAGTGGCAGTTTCCCCCTGCATGGGCTTGCTCACACGCACGCACTCTCTCTGTCTCTCCTGCTGCCATGTAAGACATGCCTTACTTCCCCTCTCCTTCGGCCATGATTACATGTTTTCTAGGGCCTCCCCAACCATGTAAAACTGAGTTAATTAAACTTCTTTTGTTTAGAAATTGCCCTGTCTCAGGTAGTATTTTTATAGCAGTGTGAAAATGGACTAATAGATGCTAACAGCTGTCTCAAACTTAACATGTCCAAAATGGAACCACTGACCTTCCTGGCCCACTTACCCTTCAGCTGATGGCAACTCTTTCCTTCCAGCTGCTTAGGTCAAAATCCTTAGAGTCATCATTGACTCCTATTCCTCTCTTTCTCTCACATCCAATCCGTCAGGAAGTTCTGTTGGCTCTATCTTCAGACTTTATATAGAATCCTATCACTTATCACCTCCAGTTCTACCACCTGGTACCAGCCACCATCACTTCTCATCTACACCAGTGCTTCTCAAACTTTAGTGTACTGTGTATAGGAAGCATCTACGGACTTCTTAAAATGCGTATCTGCATTCAACTGGTCTTGGTAAGACCTGAAATTCTGCATTTCTTGCCCTAGATATCCCATGGTTTACTCTCTCACTTTCTTCATCACTTCAGCTCCCACATCAGCAAGGGCCTCCATGACCACCTTTTATTAAATAGCACCCTTCCCCAGTGTCCCCCTCTCTATATTTGCTTGTTAATTTGCTTCTTCTGCACATTTTCAGTAATTTACCTCACCCAAGATAATACAGCTCAAAAGCAGGGACCAGGCCTCTTACTGTTCTCAAAACAGTTATCTCCAAAGCACTAAGGAAATATTTAATGGATATACTTGAGAAAACTATGCTTCTAATTAAAAGTAATTGTTTCCATTTCCTTTCAAAATAGAGTATAGCTGTACTCTTGAAGTAGAAATTACCTTACTAATTCATACATCAGCTTAATATTTTACTTATTGCTTATTTATTCACCAAGATTTTAGCGTGATGCTAATATTGCTTTACACGAGAATTTACTCAACTCTAGAAAAACCTTTTTTTAAAAAAAACTTAAGTTAACCCAAAAATATTTAAATGTCAGAGAATCCCAGGTTCTGATGCATATTTTCTATGTGTTAGGCAAACTCCCAGGGCATAAATACAATCAACAAATACCTTAGATATGAAATTTTAAAGATCAGGTTCTTAGTAGTTTAGGCAATTCTTTCCTTTCTTTTTCAAAGTGTTACCTTAGAACCATATAGCATCTTCCGATTTTCTTGGGAAGTATCTCTCTCATGTATCAAGACAGTATAATGTTTCATAGTTCTATGATTATAAAATATTATCTTTTCTAGTAAATTCAAGTTATTTCTCTTGAGTTTATTTAAATTCATTATCTCATATTTTAAAACATTCTCCAAACGAACCCCTCAGGTTATTCCCCTGCCTTTTTTTTTTTTCAGTTAGCTTTCTCAGGTTGGCCCCCACAACTGCCCGCCAGGATAACATTTAACCATCACTATCCCGTACGACTTGACTACTCTAAACTTCTCATTCTTAGGATTGGTATCACATGAGGATACTGAAGGAGCTCAGAGGTTATCTCTTTTGCTCATCTCTGTAACCTACTCTTCACCCAGACCTGGGTTTCTCAGTACTGGGTCTCTCAACTCTGGATGTGAAACCTATGAGAACCCAAGCAAACAAGGAAACACTGGGCCAAATTCCCAAGCCCTTAACAAATGTGTATCAAACAGATTCAGAATCTCTTCTAGCCATATGAAGAGTAACTATAGATGGTCCCTTACTTGTGATGTTTTGACTTTACTACGGTGCAAGCAATATGCACAAAGTCAAAACTATACTTCAAGCACCCATACAACCATACTGTTTTTTACTTTCAGTAAAGTAATCAATAAATTACATGAGATATTCAACCCTTTATTATAAAATAGGTTTTGTATTTGATGACTTTTGCCCAACTGTAGTCTAATGTAAGTGTCCTGAGCATGTTCAAAGTGGGCTAGACTAAGCTATGATGTTCGGTAGGTTGGGTATATTAAATGCATTTTCTTTTTTTTTGAGACAAGTCTCACTCTGTTGCCCAGGCTGGAGTGCAGTGGTGTGATCACAGCTCACTGCAGCCTCAACCTCCTAAGCTCAAGCAATCCTCCCACCTCAGCCTCCCAAGTAGCTGGGACTATATAGGGCATGTGTCACCATGCCCAGTACGTATTTTTTAATTTTTTGTAGAGTTGGGGTCTCATTATGTTACCCAGGCCGGTCTTGAACTTCTGGGCTCAAGCAATCCTCTTGCCCTAGCCTCTCAAAGTGTTGGGATTACAGGTATGAGTCATTAACACTCAGCCTGCATTTTCAACTTAATGATAGTTTCAGCTTACAATGGGTTTATCGGGATGTGACCCCATGGCAAGGGGCATCTGTACCACACATCAAAAATTATCCAACTGGCTGGGCGCAGTGGCTCACGCCTGTAATCCCAGCACTTTGGGAGGCCGAGGAGGATGGATCATCTGCGGTCAGGAGCTCAAGATCAGCCTGGCTAACATGGTGAAACCACATCTCTACTAAAAATACAAAAATGAACCAGGTGTGGTGGCGGGCGCCTGTAATCCCAGCTACTCAGGAGGCTGAGGCAGAAGAATTGCTTGAACCAGGAAGGCAGAGGTTGCAGTGAGCCAAGATGGCGCCATTGCACTCCAGCCTGGGCAACAAGAGTGAAACTCCGTCTCAAAAAAAAACCAAACAAATGAACAAAAAAAATTATCA
Organism: Homo sapiens; assembly: GCF_000001405.40. Taxonomy (NCBI): domain Eukaryota; kingdom Metazoa; phylum Chordata; class Mammalia; order Primates; family Hominidae; genus Homo; species Homo sapiens. The sequence goes on along the minus strand of NC_000002.12, from coordinate 9,854,974 downwards.
AACTTGCTTTTCTTAGAAGTAGAATCATCCTCGACCCCAAATAAAATGTTACATGGCACATTTATAAAGCAGTTACAAAGAAACTGCTAAAAACAGCTGGTGGATATGGGAGAATACCCAGATTTTATTTTTCTTCACATAAAGGCTTCTGAGAAGATATGATAACTGAGCTGAATCTTGAAATGCCACATAAAGTAAGTAGGTATTCCAAGCAAACAGAATAAATACATTATTAAATTAAAAATTATTTTAATAGTACAGTGATAGAAACTATCTTCTATCTAGAAAATCAACCACAAATTCCTTTATGTTTCAACTAGTCTGATAAGATGTCAAAATTAATTCCATACTGCAGGAAAAAAGTGAAGAAAAAACTTTATTCCAACGTTTAAATCAGTGACCCCGTCCTCTAGACTGTAACAGAAGCCTCTTAACTGAAAATCCTCTGACAAGCATCATAATCTCAGATACTCAAACTGGTCATGAACCCATCTTCATCTCTACATCTCAACAGACATGTTTTTTAATCCAACTTTTCAGACTTGTGACTTACCGTAGGTTTCCTTCCAGTGGTATAAACTGGGTTCTTACAATATGCCTGCTTGCTCTTCTGAAGGTAGCGCTTCCAAAAATTATGTAAAACATCGTTCTAAGGTGGAAGGGAAATGAGTGGTGGGTGATTCAGGTTATGACAACAAATGTACAGGCACATCTACACCACAGCTCTCTTGTACTTTAAATATTAACTTACATATAAATTTCCAGTAAATGTTTTATGTGGTATTCACAAGTTGAGAACAAAATCTCTGGGGTCTGTATGTAGCATCTATCAGAACATTGAGTTCCACAAAATGCACACTAGGGATTAGTATGTTGAACCAGTAGTTCTCAGGCTTAAGTGTGCATCAGAATCACCTGGAGGGCTGGTTAAGTCTTCCATCTAAATGTATTCTTACCTGCCTTTCCTTAAAAAGAATTATAATATCATCATAGTGTCAGGTACATGAGAAATGCTGAAAAAATCCTTCTTAATTTTAGATAGAGAAAGACATTAAAATCACCGAGTTGAGTCCTTTTCTTCTGCATATTAAGTAAATTAAGGATCAGAGTACAAAGCAACTGATACATGACTACACTTTTAGTTAGGGGCAAAGCTGTTACCAGGTTTACTAACCAGTCCCAAGTGATAGTGAAACTAAACAAAAAACTTTTCCGGCTGGGCACGGTGGCTCACTACTGTAATCCCCAGACTTCAAGGCAGGAGAAACTGCTTGAGCCCAGGAGTTCGAAACCAGCCTGGGCAACATGGTGAGACCTCATCTCTACAAAAAATCAAAAAGTTAGCCAGGTATGGTGGCACATGCCTGTAGTCCCAGATACTTGGGAGGCTGAGGTGGGAGGATTACTCGAGTCTAGGAGGTTGGGGCTGCAGTGAGCCATGATCAGGTCACTGCACTCCAGTCTGGGTGACAGAGCAAGACCCTGTCTGAAAAAGAAAAAAAAAAAGCAAACAGAAAGACTTTTCCATTTATTCGTCATCTACTAGGTACCAGGTATCCCTTAGCTCCAACACAATATTGTAAGACAGCTATTAGCTTCATTTTACCATTGAAGAAACTGAATAACTTGTCCAAGATTACCCAGCCATTAAGCAGAAAAACTATCAATAGGATTTGGAGTCAGTTCTGATTCTGGAGCCTGTGTACATGGCATAATGCCACTCAACTGATCAGGTCTAAACAGTTATGCTCATTGGCTAATTTCAGAAAAATTGTTTTCAGAATTAACCCCTAATGAGGTGAGCATAAAGCTACATAGGAACAAACCCTGCTACAGCTATATAGTGTAACTATATAAAACTGTTTCTAAACATTTATACATAAAATGACTATGTAAGCAGAAATCAGATCACAACCCCCCCACTATCAGCTATCATACCTAATGCAATGACTATTATGGGTTAGCCTCTGTTGCTTCATGCTTCTGAATTTTTAATTCTTAACGCCTTTCAGGGTAGGCCCAGCATCCATTTAGGCCATGCACTGAAATCGTGGTTGTTCTGTTTGGACTTGCCCCAACCACCAGTTTGAACAGCAAAGGCTCCTCTACAAATCTTTCCTTGGTGACTGCAGCCCATGTTGATCTTTCTCTGTTCTTTTTTTGCCTTTAATATCACTTATGAGGGCCAGGTGCTGGGGCTCATGCCTATAATCCTAGCACTTTGAGAGGCCGAGATGGGCAGATTGCCTGAGCTCAGGAGTTTGAGCCCAGGCTGAGCAACATGGTGAAACCCCATCTATACTAAAATAGAAAAAATTAGCTGGGTATAGCAGTGTGTGCCTGTAGTCCCAGCTACTCGGGAGGCTGAGACAGGAGAATTGCTTGAACACGGGAGGTGGAGGTTGCAGTGAGCGAAGATCATGCCAGTGCACTCCAGCCTGGGCAACAGAGCGAGACTCCGTCTCTTAAAAAAAAAAATCACTTAGCATATCACCATATAAATTCATGTCTATTCATTTCACATATGCATAAATCCCTCTCCCCAACTAGGCTGGACCTCTCAACACTTGGTTTCCAATGAAGCATATGAAGCAAGTGAACAACTTGTTGCTAAATAACTGGCTTTTTAAAGCATTCCTTAAATGACTTTTACTAGATGAAGGAATATGAAATTCAAATAATTGCAGAAATACTGTGTTGCTCCAGGAAGGCAGCAAAGTCAAAGAGTGGTCCCCAGACCAGAAGCATGGGTGTCCCATAAGAACTTGTTAGAAATGCACATTCTTGGGCTCTACTCCAGACATACTAACTCAGAAATTCGGGGATTAAGGTCCAGTGATTGGTGTTTTTTCAAGCACTCCAGGTGATTCTGATGCACTCAGGTGAACGACTGGTTTAGCATATCGCTGTCCAAAGTGCATTCTGTGGAACTCAAGTCCTGATGGACGTTATGTACATACACCAAACGATTTTGTTCTCAAATTGTGAATAACACACAGGACATTCCCTGGAAATTAAACAAGCACATTAACACACAAAAGGTACTAATAAACCCCCAAAGTTATTTGAGTTTTACTTTGTTTAACCTGTTGTTTCCTAAGTATCTGAAGACTAAAACCTTTAAATTTTTCTTTTGGATGTATTGCTTATTTACATCCTGTAGAACACACTTCCAGAACTGCTAACCTACTAAAAGGATTAAAGCAAAAACATCAGAAAAATTATTCTTCCAGTAGCCCTAGTGTTACTACTGATTTCTCCTTAGTTCCACTATAAGTCTTACTGTTCTTTAAACAAAAATATGTAAAGCTAACATCTAGTCACAAATGTACTTACCTTTAACTCTGGGCCTACTCCAAGGTTCTTTAAGGCTTCTGCTTGTTGATAAAGAATATACTGGAAACCTTCACACACATACCAATCCCAGCCTTTTTCTAAATGACAAATAGCATGTTTTAGCATATACATTCCTAATTTACTAACTTTAATGCTACTACAGTTACAATTTGTGTTTTACACATTGCGACTTGAATTTTTCTTTTTTTTTCAATTAACCCAGAACTTAGCAGCTTAGCATCTTGAATTTTTTTGTACCATTCAAGAGGGCTTCCATTCTTATATTCTCTTGTTTCCAACCTGGCAATGTGTACACAAATGCTGAAACTAAATATTTTGTATAATTTCCGATTTCAAATGTTTTCCATTATCTGTATTTTTCTGAAATATTAACCTAAGAGGCAGAAAAATGAATAGTCACCATGTTAAAAAAAAGTGAAACGAGTTTTAAAAATGTCTATTTTCCCGAACAATGCCCAGCAGAATCCTAAATGATGAACGATGCCCAGCAGAATCCTAAATGAAAGGACTAAGTCACTGCTTCCACCACTTTTCTGTTCCAACTCACAAGGGAACAGTGAACTGTTAGTGAATGAGTGAACGAATGTCACGATCTCATGATACCGGAGTATAGAAAAGGGCAGTAAGAACATTCAAAGAAAATAAACTGCTCAATGGCATTCTGCTTTTCCTGAAATGGTTCTAGGTTATAGGGAGAAAATGAAAGCAAGGTACTAATACTGATCTCAGCCTAGGTGCCAAGTGTGTGCCAGGTATCTTACGTGGGTTATTTTCTGGAATACTCAAAACTACCCTAAGAGATTGTGAAGAAACCTGCCACCACAATAGACAGAGTTACATGTTTAATGACAACTACGAGCTGAAGGAAAAGTCTGTGAAGACCCTTATGTTTTGCCCCTCACTGCTGGACAAATACTGTAACTCTTCCAAAAGCTTGTTATCAGTACTTTTTACACAGAGCTTCTGAGGTGTGTTACTGACTTCAAGATCTCTTCTCTGCAGAATGCCAGAGGACTTCAACTCTTCTCCCTTACCTGAATGTCACAAAGTCTCCCCACCTCTGCTAACTAACCCAATTCCTTCCCAGAAAGGGTCTCGAATTGTCTCAAAAGCCAATAATTTTGATGGGTCCATAAGTCGAGGAAGTTTAAACTCTTCAAGCTATATGCATATACTCCCTCTTCCTGCATACTGTTCTTAGAAACTGATAAAGTTGTATTTTAAATTTTGAGTCTGTGTTCCTATTTTCCATAATGGATGGCATTTTATTCTCATTTTACAAATGAAGAAATTAAGGGTGATGAGGTTGACTATAAGATACTTAACACCTAATATAAAGCACCTGAAGTTCCTTAAGAAATGCATGTTTAAACTACACATTTTAACTATTTAAGTAGGTCAAGGCAAAATTAATCAGGTTTTACTCCAATAAAATTTAAAAGTTAATCAGGTTTTAGCCTAATAAAAAGTCACTACTAAAGGCTAAGCAGAAACATGAGACAGCACCTAGGCAGTCACTGTTAGCATCTAAGAATGTCGGTGTATTTCACATATTTCATAAACACACACACACACACACACACACACACATATATATATATATTTTTTAATGTGTGTGTATCCTTAAAGCTATCTCATGTAGAAGAGTCCCCATTATCATCAGCCTGGTTTCAAACTTGGGGATTTGGTCCTAGCTACCTAGTCACAAAAATAAAAACCATCAGTTAGACTTTACCTAAGATCCTTCTCAACAATGGTTAATTATATGTACTCACTGGATTAATGAAATACTTTGCCTTTCAAAGCACACTCATGTTGAGGTCATTTTAAGGGAAAATAATTTTCCCAATTTTAAAAAGGTGTGTTCAAAATTCAACACAAGAAATGGATTTCTAGAAGTTGAATATCATATTTAACTCACCTAACCTAACAATTCCACGGTTGAATTATTTCAGAAAATAAGCATTTTTTCTATAAAAGCACCAGAAATAATATTCACCCACAATGAATACAGACATAGGATAGAAGAACGTATGCCAGTAGATAAAATCTGGCATTTTCTCTAGAACCTACTTAAAATTCCATTCCATGTCCTGACATCATGAAGGTGAAAGATGTGAATAAAGAATGTTAAGTACATATGAAGAAAGAACTTACCAGTATTGTTTTTTTTTTTAAGCCCCCGGTTGAGGGCTTTTATTTGGGTATTAGGAATAAGATCAGTGTTTGTAACTTCCTGATATCTCTGCAGGAAAGAGAAAAAGACCATTAAAAAAGATCGTTTTACATCCCCCTAAGCATTTTTCCAGGTATTTTCTGGAAAGTATAATAAACCAAATTGTGAGTGCCAGGACCAAGGATGGTAAAATCTTGGGAAAATTATAAACATTTAACATTCTAGTTAATGTTGATGTTGTTTTTTCATTCAAAATTTCTCAGTAACTAAAACAGTGCCTGGAATACAGTAACCATAAAGTGTTTGTTAAATGAATAACTTTTATTTTAAATCACTTTTTAACTTTTACAAACCAAGCCAAACTAAAAGTTACATCTACTCACTTTTTTCTCCACACAAAATACACTTTGGTATGAAAACAGTTTTATGTATTTTTTGTAACTGGTAATGCCTAAACTACAGACAGATTAGTTTTGGCCTACTTTTCCATGTCTTTGAATAATACTCTAAAACTGCTTTCATTTCTGAAATTATAAAAGTACGTATTACATTTTATTTTTAATCAAACTTAGAGAACTTTAGAATGACTAAAATGGTTAGTATAATTCATATCAGAGTCTTCAATCTTAACTGCTCTCAAGGGCAAATATCAAAGATTCTGGCTCTCCCACAACTAAAAATAAAGTGTTGAGTCTTTTTTTTTAAATGGGGCCACACTTTATTCCATAAAGTAGAATAAATGTTCCCATTATTGAGTCTTTTTCTTTTTTTTTTTGAGAGGGAGTTTCGCTCTCGTCGCCCAGGCTGGAGTGCAATGGTGCGATCTCTGCTCACTTCAACCTTTGCCTCCCAGGTTCAAGCAATTCTCCAGCCTCAGCCTCCTGAGCAGCTGGGATTAAAGGCATGCGCCATCACGCCTGGCTAATTTTGTATTTTTAGTAGAGACGAGGTTTCTCCACGTTGGTCAGGCTGGTCTCAAACTCCCAACCTCAGGTGATCTGCCCACCTCGGTCTCCCAAAGTGCTGGGATTACAGGCATGAGCCACCGTGCCCAGCCCCCATTATTGAGTCTTAATGCCAGAAGAAAGGTGAGGATTTTTAACCAACAGAGGACATTACTGTTTTTCTAAATTTAGAGATTTGGAATGAAATTTATCTTTAACCCTCCATAAGAATAAAAGAAATGTCTCTACCAACAGGATTTTTGGAACGTAGTCTCTCTAATCACAGAAACCATATTCAAAGCAATTTTGGTATACTGGGTTGGCCACACTGAAAACATAAGACACGTCAAAATAAATACAAAAGCCATTATCTAGCAAAGACAGTAAAACTTGCAAAGGGTAGCCAGGAAAAAAAGACTTAAAATCTGTACTAGACAAAACGTGAAAGAGCAAAAAACCTGAAAAAATGAAACATCCAAAACTAGAGCTATAATTAATTAAATTACCAAATGGCCATTATGGAATATTTACAGTCTATAAAAAATGTCTGCAAATGTTTAGATAAAAGTATTTTTCCAAGTTGTTACGGCAGAAGATTGAACAGCACTCACACATCCCTTTCTCCATTTCACACACAGGAAAAAAGAGACAAATGTAGAGATTACTGGTGATTTTAGCTTTCATCTTCACAATTTCCAAATTTTCTATAGTAAACATGCATTGCTCTTATGATCATAAAAATCTCTTACATTCACACAAGTCTAGCCTACACCTTTTTAAATATCCGTGAAACTCTTGCAAAAATATCTATTGTCTAAATTGAACAGATTTATGACCTTACATTTTTTTTTCCTGGATAAAATATACTAGGATAACATTTTGGTTCCTTTATCAATCTGGAAGGCCTTTCCCAGATTGCAGAGCGTGTCTGGAGCTTGACAGTTACATGCCAAGGAAGAGGGGGCAATAAAAGGGGCAGAAAAATAGGGCAAGTTGCACCATGACTTCCATTCTTCACAGCTGTAACTGTCTCACCTGCCATTCCCCACCCACTGTATTTCAACATCACCATCGCCACACTGCTCAGCTCCAGGGAGCCCCTACCACATTATATTCTCACAGTCCATGTGAAGAACATGCCTGGACCGCCATAAAGCCAAGAATAACTACTGAAGTTGTGCAACACGTAACTTTTTTTTCCTTTAAGCCTGTCGTCTGAAAGGAAGGCACTGAGCTAGGTTCTTGGTCTTTATAAAGATGTTGTCCACCTTCATGAACTCTACATTCTTGACAAATTACTCCACAGGAGTTGACAGTCTTCCAAATGTGGAGCTAGGGAGAAGTATTAGGATCTTTCAAACTAAAAAATGACTGCAGCAGATTTGATCAAACAGAATCAAACGGAAACAGTATCAAAATCAAAAATAGAAAAGCAATTAGTTAATGTAGTTCAATTCCTATAAAAATAGTATGCTGACTTCATCTACTAATGGCAAATACTCCATTAGACATAATCTTTCTTCACTGGGTTTACACCTGCACTATAGTACAAAAGCAACAGTGAGTAAAACTGCTAGCTCCTTACTACACAATGAGGGTGAGGACCAAACTGCACATCTGTCAGGTGCACAATCTGACACACACAGACACACACACAAAATATATCTCCATGAAACCACCACTATAATCAAGATAATAAATATCTCCATCACCCCAACAATTTCATCAAGTGAGCACATATCTTTTTAATATTCTGTATGACTAAACAGGAAGCAGAGATAAGCATTCCAGCTGCAGACTCAAGAACACTGCCTCAAGGAAAAGCACTTGTGTGACACACCTGCAAGCTCAATTCACCAGTTTTGTCAAGGGAAAATGTTTTTCCTTTTACTCATTTAATATATTTTGTCCAGGTTTTTCATTGTTTAGGGGACAAAGGTAAGTCTGGTCTCTGTTAGTCCATCTTAGCCAGAAGCAGAAGTCTACACAGTTACTTTTAATGTCCCAAATTTGCCTTTCTTAAGCCTGTATGGTGAAGGTAACATTTGTTCCTTCCTGGATCTGTAGACTTTGAGGAAATCCTTTTCCACTGAGGAGAGTCCTGGCACATTTAGCCTGTCCAGCAGCAGACTCTCTACACCCTTGATCACTTTGGTGATGCTGGCCCGAAGGTGTGTTCACCACAATAGGACCTAGCACTCACAATGTGAAGGTAGCCTCGTTTACCAAGGTTACACAGGACAATATGACAATCTCTACTTTAAGAGGCAGGTGTGATGGGTAAAATGAACACTGAAGTCAGAAGACTCACATTCAAGTCCTGGTACTTGGGTAACTTTGGCAAACTCACTCAACTTCTGAGCCCTATCAATAGGCTCTCACAGTTAGTGATGAGGAGGAAATGAGATAATGGATCCAAAAACTTTGTAATCTGTAAGGTACTATACAAAGGTAAAAGGATAACGAAGAATAATTCCAATATTCCCAACAGTCCTCAAGCTTTCTTTCTCTTTTTTAGACAGAGTCTTGCTCTGCTGCCCAGGCTGGAGTACAGTGGCGTGATCTCGTCTCACTGCAACCTCCGCCTCCTGGGTCCAAGCGATTCTCCTGCCTCAGCCTCTCAAGTAGCTGGGACTACAGGCGCATGCTACCACGCCTGGCTAATTGTTGTATTTTTAGTAGAGACGGAGTTTCCCATTGTTGGACAGACTGGTCTCAAACTCCCGACCTCAGGTGATCCACCTGCCTTAGCCTCCCAAAGTGCTGGGATTACAGGCGTAAGCCACTGCGCCCGGCCCAGTCCTCAAGTTTTCTAACATTCCATCTTCCAAACCTCTAAGCCACCATGACACATTTAAAAAAATGTAAATAAGTACTAACTGATAAAAAGAAATGCATCATCTTCTAAGTACAATTTTAATTATTTCCCTCAACCACATACTCTGAATAAGAAATCATTTATAAATGTGGCCCAACATAATTTCAAAAACTCATCCTCAATCTAATTCACAAATCCCTTAACCTATGTGTAAGTACCTAAGACCACATGCATCCTTGGAATGTTGGCATTGCATGAGTGACAAAAATCAACCCAATTCTTTGGGACTTAGACTACATATCAGGCTGAAATGGCAATTTTTAAAACATAAGCAAATTCATAAATGATATTTGTTACTTACCTCTGTAACATTGTGGCAAGAAGTGCAATAATATTTGCCTTCATCAGTAAGACCCCATGAGACAGCAGCACACTGAGTACAGCGTTCTTTAAACTCTTCCTATGGGAGAAGAGGACAGAAAAGGTGTTCCCATCAAGCCACATTCAATACATCGTACCTAAACCTTGCAGTTCTATTTAATGGGTTCCTGGCAACTTTATTAATAAAAAATCATAGACAATAAAAAATATGTCAGAGAGATTATCCGCAAACAAGGAGAGGCGCGGTATGAAACCGAATTAAACTACTGGAGAAAATTTATTGAAATATGCAGTGTGACAGGAAAAAAAAAGAAAAGGAGGTAGTAGGGGTAAACTGGAACCAAAGATGAGTAAACAAAGCTCCTTGAAAATACTGTGAGAAGATGACAAACAAGTATAGAGAAGACTTTTAAAAAATGCAAATACAATTTGGAACTCCTCCAGGACACTAAAAGCGCATACCACAGAGGAACTAGATTTGTAATGGTTTCAAGTTTCGATTTATTCACTCGGCAGCATAAGGGGTATCAACTATGTGTGTACCAGGCTTTTTACTAGGTGCTGGGGATTCAATGGTGAGCAAAACAGACCAGACATGATCCCTAGTCTGGGTATACGCTAGCTAATGGTGAGTTACAATTATTCATTTCATCAGCCTAGCATTTACAGAAGTTAGCCAACCATCATCAGTAAACATTTTTTAAGCCTCTACTATAAGACCGTACTGCTCCTGTATATACAGGCCTAATTCTCTGATCCCCAACTCTTTGGAGTTTGACTTGTTGTTAGCATTGATCTAATTATCGAGTATCATTTAATACCATCAAAGCGTGTGCCATTTGGCCGAGGGCGGGGGATCACCCCTATAATCCCAGCACTTTGCGAGGCTGAGGCAGGAAGATCGCCTGAGCCCAGGAGTTCAATACCAGTCTGGACAACATAGCGAGACCCCTGCCCCTACAAAAAATTAAAAAAAAAAAAATTAGCCGGGCTTGGTGGTGCATGTCTGTAGCCCTAGCTCATTGGAAGGCTGAGGCGGAAGGATCTCTCGAGCCCAGGATTCGAGGCTGCAGTGAGCCGTGATCGTGCCACTGTACTCCAGCCTGGGGGAAGAAGTGAGATCTTGTCTCAAAAATAAAAAACAAAAATGTGCCATTTTACGTAGTACCTAAAACAAAACAAAATGCATGCCAAATCAATTTTGGCAACTTGGTAAAGTGTTCAGTGACCCCGTACTAACACTACGATGAATGATAGCTGGACAATTTGGGGAGTTCCCAAACCCGAATTTAGAATCCCTGCTGGAGACAGTGGCAAGGATTCCCGGAGAGACCGACAGGGGTTACCCGGCGGCATCTCAGGTTCCAACCCCTGCCCCTCCCTCACCCACCCCAGCATTAAAGGGAACTTGTGGGTGGTCCAGTCTCGAGGATGAGCCCTGTGGGTGGCCACCCCACAAAACCCACAGCTTCATCCTTAAACACACCCATAACGACAAACACCACACCCTCCCTCCCCCACAACCTCGCCGAGCCAGAAACTCCAGCCTCTTTACCAAAGCCGCGCGCGCATGCGGCCGGCCAGCCCCAGTCCTTAGCCCGCCCTGCAGCCCTCCGCCCCGCCTTCCTCCAGCCGGTGGCGTCGCCGCCCCAACCCGCGGCGTCCTCCGCCGCTCCTCCTCAGCTTCTCTCTCCTCCGGCCCCGGCGATCGTGGCCCGCCAGGTGCACCGCCTCCTTACCGCCTCCTCGAGGTCCATCGCGGCGCCGCGGGAGCTTCCACAGCCGGGACCCGTTACCCGGGTAGCGAGCGCAGCTTCCGGGAAAGGCTGGAGAAGCTTCCGGCCGGAAACGCGAGATCCGCGCCTAGGATTCCGTGCGCCTGCGCGGCAGGGAAACCGCGCGCTCGGGGGCGAGGCTCCGCAAAGCTCGCAGACCCCTCGCGGACTACCTAACTTTCCTACTCTTGAGAACCAAAACCAACCAATAAGAAAGTGGGCGACGCCTACTGCTGAGTGGTTTGATCAAGCTCCGTTCCGACGATCATTCATTCCAAGACAGACTTGCTCCTCCGGCGGCACGGGGGGTCGGACAAGGCCGTGCTCGCGAGCGCGGGCTCTGTCCTCTGTGGGTTCCGCCCTCCGTGGGTTCTGCCCTCCGAGTCTCGCCCCTTGCTGGCTTTTTTAAGGGGAAGCCTCGGGGCTTGGAGGAAAGCTCACGGGCTGTGAGTTAGACCTAGGTTTCTAATCACGGCTCTCCTGCTTACTTGTGCCTCAGTTTACTCCTCTGTAAGAATTAGATGTTATCTGTGAGCCCCTTATAATTGAGTCTCCACCGGGCGTGCTGGTTCACGCCTGTAATCCTGGGGAGGCTGAGTCGGGAGGATTGCTTGAGGCCAGGAGTTGGAGACCAGCCGGGGCAACAAAGCGAGACCCCTTCTCTGCATAAGTAAATAACTGAATAAATAAATGCATGAGTGAATATAATTGAGTCTCAGTAAGTGCTCAATAAATTTAGCTCTTATTGTTTCTTCATCTAACACATTCATTCCTTGTTTTATTTATTAAACAGGAACTGGTTTGTGTCCTGGGGATTCAGCAGTGAACAAAGTAAACAAAAGTCCTTGCCTTCATGGAGATTGTATTCTGATGGGGAGAGACAAAAATAAATAAGGAAAATATGTGGTATGTTAAGTGGTGGTGAGTTCCAAGGAGAAAAATAAAGAGGAGAGGAGAATGGGAACAACAAGGTGATTTCAGTCTGAAATGTGATGTTCAAGAGAGATCTCATTGAGAAGAGGATTTTTGATATAATCGTACATCCCAAGAAGTTAGAAAAAAGATTAAACTGAAAAATAATGGGATGAAGGAAATGTTTAAAAAAGAGAAATTAATAAAAGAGAAAGCAAGCTTCGATAGGCTCCACAAAGGCTTGCTGTGGTGGCTGGTGCCTGTAATCCCATCACTGTGGGAGGCGAAGGCGGGCAGATTGCTGGAGGGCGGGAGTTGGAGACCAGCCTGCCCAACATATTGAGTCCTCATCTCTATAGGCTGGAGTACAATGGTTCAATCTCAGCTCAGTGCAGCCTCCACCTCCCAGGTTCAAGCAATTCTCCTGCCTCAGCCTCCCAAGTAGCTGGGATTATAGGCACGCGCCACGACGCCTGGCGAATTTTTGTATTTTTAGTAGAGACGGGGTTTCACCAGGTTGGCTGGGCTGATCTCGAACTCCTGACCTCAAGTGATCTGCCCACCTCGGCCTCCCAAAGTGCTAGGATTACAGGCGTGAGCCACCACGCCCAGCCTAAAAGATATTTTTTAAGAAGAGAGTCTCAACCAACTAACATTAGCTCTTTGAAAATACTAATACATTCGATAAACTCTGGAAAGATTGATCAAAAAGAAAAGAGCCCAGCTTGGTGATGCACACCTACAGTCCTAGCTACTTGGGAGGATGAGACGGGAGGTTTGCTTGAGCTCAAGGCTGCAGTGAGCTATAATCGGGCCACTGTGCTCCAGTCTGAGCAACGGAGCAAAGAAAATCAAAATAAACTGATATCAGTGGCATCACTAACCAATATGTAGGGGCATCACTGCAAATACCACAGACATTAAAAAGATCATAAGGGCATATTCTGAACAACTCTAGGCCAATAAATGTGAAAATTCCACCAATTTTTTTTTTTAAGACAGTCTTGCTCTTTCACCCAGTCTGGAGTGCAGTGGCACCATCTCAGCCCACTGCAACCTCCGCTTCCCAGGTTCAAGCAATTCTCCTGCCTCAGCCTCCTAAATAGCTGGGACTACAGGCGCCTACCACCACACCTGGCTAAGTTTTGTATTTTTAGTAGAGATGGAGTTTCACCATATTGGCCAGGCTGATCTTGAACTCCTGACCTGCCCACCTCGGCCTCCCAAAGTACTGGGGTTACAGGCATGAGCCACCACGCCTGGCCAAATTCTACCAAATTTTTAAGAAAGAAATAGGCCAGTCATGGTGGCTCACGCCTGTAATCCCACCACTTTAGGAGGCTGAGGCAGGAGAATATTTGAGGCCAGGAGTTCGAGACCAGCCTGACCAACATGACAAAACCTCGTCTCTACTAAAAATACAAAAATTAGCTGGGCATGGTGTTGCACGCCTGTAATCCTAGCTACCTGGGAGGCTGAGGCACAAGAATTGCTTGAACCTGGGAGGCAGAGGTTGCAGTGGGCCAAGATCATGCCATTGCACTCCAGCCTGGTTGATAGAGAGAGACTCTGTCTCAATAATAATAATAATTTTAAAAAGAAATAAATAACACCCATCTTATACAGATGCTTCCAAATAATGAAAAAAGAAGAGCATTTACCAGTACATTTTAGGAGACAAGCATGACCTTGACACCAAAACTTGACAAGGATATTTCAAGAAAAGTCAAAATTAAAAAGCAATTCCTCTCATAAACATACATGCAAAAGTTCCAAACAAAACATCAGTAAATTGAATGTACATCCTGTTGTACTCAGCAATATATAAATAGGATAATAAATCACAGCCAAGTTAGGTTTATTCTAGGAATGCAAGTTTGTTTAACATCGAGCCTGTAATCTCAGCATTTTGGAAGGCCAAGGTGGACAGAACACTTAAGCCCAGGAGTTTGAGATCAGCCTGGGAAACATAATGAGACCTCATTTCTGCAAAAAATTAAAAAATTAGCTGGGTGTGGTGGCACAGTCCAATAGTCCCAGGTACCTAGGAGACTGAGGTGGGAGGATCGGTTGAGGCTGCAGTGAGCTGTGGTCACGCCACTGCATTCCAGCCTACATGACAAAGCAAGACCTTTTCTCAAAATTAAAAAATGTTAAAAGAAAAAGTAGAGAAAAAAGAATAAAGATTTAAAAAATAAATAAAAGAGAAAAAAATAAATCATACAGTAATCTAGTGTGATGCAAGGATAGACCAAAAAATTGACAGAACTGAATAGAAAGTCCAGAAACGGACTCATAAGTACATATAAAATAATCTGATTTACAACAAAGCTGCTACTAAAATTCAGTGAGGAAAGAATAGCTTTTCTCCTTTTTCTTTGTTTCTTTTTTGAGATAGAGTCTTGCTCTGTTGCCCAGGCTGGAGTGCAATGGCACAATCGCGGCTCACTGCAACCTCTGCCACTCAGGTTCAAGCAATTCTCGGGCCTTAGCTTCCCAAGTAGAGGTAGCTGGGACTACAGGCATGTGCCATGACACCTGGCTAATTTTGTATTTTTTAGTAGAGATGGAATTTTGCCATGTTGGCCAGGCTGGTCTCGAACTCATAGCCTCTAGTGATCCACCCACCTCGGCCTCCCAAAGTGCTGGGATTATAGGCGTGAGCTGAAAGAATAGTTTTTCAATAAATGGTTCTGAATCAATCAGACATGCATATGAGAAAATTATTGACCCCTTTCTCACACTGTACACAAAAATTAATTCAAATAGATCCTACATGTGATAGGTAAAACCATAAAGCTTCTAGAAAAAAAAAGTGGTAAATATCTTTATGATTTGGTGTGGAATAGACTTCATCAACAGGGCACAAAAAGCACTACTCCTAAGAGAAAAGGTCATTACACTGGATTTCATTAAATTAAGAACTTCGATTCATCAGAAGACATTGTTAGGCTGAGCACAGTGGCTCACGCCTAGAACCTAGCACTTTCAGAGGCCGAGGTGGGAGGATTGCTTCAGCCCAGAAGTTCAAGATCAGCCTGGGCAACATAGAGAGATCCTATCTCTACAAAATTTTTTTAAAACTTAGTTGGGTGTGGTGGGCATGCCTGTAGTTCCAGCTACTCAGGAGGCTGGGTCGGGGGGATTGCTTCAGCCCGGGAAGTCAAGGCTGCAGTGAGCTGTGATCATGACACTTCCCTCCAGCCTGGGTGACAGAGACCCTGTCTTTAAAAAAAATTAAAAAAAAAAAGACATAATTAAAGCAAACTAAAAACTGAGAGAAGAAATTCACAATACATATTCGACAAGACATGTAACAAAGGTTTCCTACCGATCTATTAAGAAATAATAAACAATCCAGTTAAAAATAGGCAAAAAGATTTGAACAGGTATTTCATAAAAGATAACAGCTAAATGGTCAATAAATATATGAAAATGTACGCAACGTCATTACTTATCAGACAAGTACAAATTAGATCAGGCTTGGTGGCTCATGCCTATAATCCCAGGATTTTAGGAGGTCAAGGCCTTGCCTTCCACCATGATTGTGAGGCTTCCCCAGCCACATGGAACTGAATAAGTCCATTTGAACCTCCTCCTTTTGTAAATTGCCCGGTCTCGGGTATGTCTTTATCAGCAGTGTGAAAACAGACTAATGCAGTGCGTGAGAAGGGAGAGGATCTGCAGCACCATGGAGGGGTCAGCCCTAGCATAGAGGGTTCATCTGCTGCAGAACCAGGAAAGAAGGGAGAGCACGTGGGACAGCGCAGGTGCATGAGGTGGAAGGTCTGTTCTCTGAGCTTCATTGAAATGGAAGCAAGTCATCAGTTGAGAGTGGGAGTGGGGAGGGCTGTGGGAAGTTTGAGAGGAGACCAGAGGTGTAATAACTCTTGGAAATGGAAGAATGGAATCAGGAATCTAGCAAAAATTGCAAGCAGCATGAGGGCCTACTTGACATTTGCAATCATAAATATAAAGATAAGGCAGTCAAGACACCCAGCCATTCTGATGCTCACTTTGTTAAAACATTCCCTTTACCCTGAAGGGACAAATTAAGTGTATTCCCCATTTCAAAAATATCTGCCAATACTACTGACAACTACTTGTCATCCCAGGAATACTTACTTTCCTGTTTTTTAAAAAAGAAGGTAACTAGCTCATCTGTGGGTCTGGCAGGTCTTTGAAATGTTTTGCCATGAGGTATCCAAAAGCCTTCTGTGGGGACACAGGACTTTTGTGGATATTCATGCTCAGTCCAGATGACGGCGATTCCTGCGCTATATCTGCACAGTCTTGTCTTCATAAAATTGACTATATCCTGACACACTCCAGCAGTGTGCACCTTCTGCCTTTAACTTCTGCTGCCACTTGATGCTGGTGGATGAGGCGGTGGGTGAATTGCCCCCGCGGTGCTGTCAATGTCTTCTCTCAGAGCTCTTCTAGTATTCTAGGTTCTTTCATGGTTACACAGACACAATTTTTTTTTTTTTTTTTTTTTGAGATGGAGTCTCGCTCTGTCGCCCAGGCTGGAGTGCAGTGGCGCGATCTCGGCTCACTGCAAGCTCCACCTCCTGGGTTCACGCCATTCTCCTGCCTCAGCCTCCCGAGTAGCTGGGACCACAGGCACCCGCCACCACACCCGGCTAATTTTTTCTATTTTTAGTAGAGATGGGATTTCACCACGCTAGCCAGGATGGTCTCGATCTCCTGACCTCGTGATCCACCTGCCTCGGCCTCCCAGAGTGCTGGGATTACAGGCGTGAGCCACCGCGCCCGGCTACACAGACACAATTTTACCACAAAGTGTTGTTTATAAAAAGAAATGGTTTATTGTCTAGAATAGGTGTTTCCTGGTGCATCTTCCCATTACAAGTGGTTTTTTTTTTTCCCTATGTTCCATTGTGGAAATAGAATCTAGCAGCTCTCATGCAGAGACATGTTTGAAACATCTGCATCTTATCCAGCAGCATTGCAAAGCTTTGAATGGCAGACCAGTGTAATTTTTTCTAAGATGTGTCTCTTCTAAATTTTCCACACTGTTTTCTACATCTTCCGGTGGTATTTGTGACAGTATTTGTCATCTTGTCTTTTGGCCATAGTTATCATGACAGGATGATAGAAAACAGATACAAATAAAAAACAATTTTAGAGAGGACTAAAAACATTGTAAGAAAAAACACCACACAGCAAGGTATATACATATGTATAGGATGACTTGGGTGGAAGATAGTGAAGAGAATTTTTGTAGGGTCATCAGAGAGACCTCTCTGAAGAAGGGCCAGTTGAGCAGAAATGGGAATGGAGAGCTGGGCGCGGTGGCTCATGCCTGTAATCCTACACTTTGGGAGGCTGAGGCGGGTGGATCACTTGAGGTCAGGAGTTCATGACCAGCCTGGCCAACATTGTGAAACCCCATCTCTACTAAAAATACAAAAATTAGCTGGGCATGGTGACACGTGCCTGTAATCCCAGCTACTCGGGAAGCTGAGGCCAGAGAATTGCTGGAACTCAGGAGGGGGAGGTTGCAGTGAGCCGAGATTGCACCACTGCATTCCAGCCTGGGTGACAGAGCGAGACTCTGTCTCAAAAAAAAAGAAAAAGAAAAAAGAAATGGGAATGGGTGAGAGACTTGCAAGAATATGAGGGAATGAGTCTTAGGGAGATGAAAATGCCAGCTAGATGAGGACCCAATGGCCAAAGGTCTCCTGGGCCTACAGGGCTGATGTTTAGCCAATGCACCCATAGTGCCTGTTCCATTTGTTAAAATATTTACACCGGCTGTCCCCTGAAAGTCTCACCTCCTGGCCACCATCATTGGCTCCCACTGGGGAATGATGGGAAGAGAGGACAGACTCCTGGTGAGCCAACTGGTGGCCAGCCAGCCGGCTATGACTGCCTTGGACTGTCCACTTACCTCATATCTGGGTGTGGAGATTACAGCCTTCATGGGATTCGGGCTTAGAGAGAGCCAGGGAGAGAACTTCCTCAGTAGGGGCCCTACCCAGGCCCCAGCCAGGAATTGAGGGCTTCATTGGAATAGTGGATGCTCCATGACAGGAGGGAGGCTATGGGGGAAGGAAGGGACCAAGGGGATGATTTGGGGCCTGAGGACACCAGGGTGCATGGGACTCCCTCTTTTCACTGTTCTTGTTTAACCTCATCTCCGTTTAAGGGGACATGGTCGTTAAAACCCACCACACACCTTTGAGTCAAGGGTACTGACGTTGATTTTATTAATAAAGTGAGAGCTAATGCATGTTTAGCATTTTGTGAGCCAAGCACCAATCTAAATGTATTTTGCTCATTTGAAGTTATCATCATCATCATCATCACCCCATTTTACAGATGAGAAAACTGAAACAAAGAGAAGTCATTTAAAATTTATGTAAGCAGCTGAGCCAGTGAACAAAAGAAAGCAGCCTGGTGGGGACACACACCCAGTTTGAGCCACCATACTATGACCCTCTCAGGAAGGATTAGGCTCAACCTAACTAAATGTGACATTTCACCAAAGACTTTTGTGACTTAGCCAATAAAAAGATGTTGAATAACAAGCTCAGATGAAATTGGATAAGGATCCAAAAAAAATTTTAATACAATTGTTCTTAGTCCACCAGAAGCTCAGGAACAATTCATTATCATAAAAATATTGTTATTTAGAGAAATTCTCTATTTTGAGACTCTTAGTTACCTAGAAACCACTGATTTGAAGGGAAGTTACTGGAGGATTTTGGAGCATTTCCGTCTGTCAAATCATAACTCTGATTAAGTCATCATCTCATTAGTGAGAATGTATCAAACAAAAGATCATACCAACAACTTGTTTTTCTTTTTTAAACTTTTAAAAACTTTTTCGATTTTTAATTTTTGTGGGTACATAGTAAGTATACGTAGTTATGGGGCACATGAGATATTTTGTTACAGGCACACAATGCATAATCCATCATGGAAAATGAGGTATCCGTCCTCCCAAGCATTTATCCTTTCTTACAATCCTTTCTTCCAATTACACTCTCTTAGTTATTTTAAAATGCACAAGTAAATTATTATTGACTACAGTCACCCTGTTGTGCTAGCAAATACTAGGTCTTATTCATTCTTTCTATTACTTTTGTATTCATTAACCATCCCCACCTCCCTCTTCACCATTCCCTGCCCCTGACCAACTACCCTGCCCAGACTCTGATAACCAATCTTCTACTCTCTGTCTCCATAAAGTGACTTGTTTTGATTTTTAGATCCCACAAATAAGTGAGAACATGTGATGTTTGTCTTCCTGTGCCTGGCTTACTTCACTTAACATAATGACTTCCAGTTCCATTCATGTTATTACAAATGACAGGATTTCATTCTTTTGCATGGCTGAATAGTACTCCATCGTGAATATGTACCACATTTTCTTTATCCATTCATCTGGTGATGGACACTTAGGTGGCTTCTAAATCTTGGCTATTGTAAACAGTGCTGCAATAAACATGGGAGTGCAGGTATCTCTTCAATATATTGATTTCCTTTCTTTTGAGTATATACCCAGCAGTGGGATTGCTGGATCATATGGTAACTCTATTTTTAGTTTTTTGAGGAACCTCCAAACTGTTCTCCCTAATGCTTGTACTAATTTGCATCCCCATCGACAGTGTTTGAGGGTTCTCTTTTCTCTACATCCTCACCAGTGTTTGTTATTGCCTGTCTTTTGGATATAAACCATTTTAACTGGGATGAGATTGTAGGTTTTTGTTGTTGCTGTTGTTGTTGTTTGTTTGTTTGTTTGTTTTGAAACAGAGTCTTGCTCTGTTGCCCAGGCTGGAGTGCAGTGGCGCAAATTCAGCTCACTGCAACCTCCGCCTCCCAGGTTCAAGCAATTCTCCTGCCTCAGCCTCCTGAGTAGCTGGGACTACAGGCACGTGCCACCACACCCAGCTAAATTTGTATTTCTTTGGTAGAGACAGGGTTTCACCATGTTGGCCAGGATGGTCTCCATCTCTTGACCTCACGATCTGCCTGCCTTGGCCTACCAAAGTGCTGAGATTACAAGCGTGAGCCACCGCGCCCAGCCGAGATCGTGGTTTTGATTTTCATTTCTCTGATGATTGATGATGTTGCACAGTTTTTCATATACCTGTTTGCCATTTGTATGTTTTCTTTTGAGAAATGTCTATTAAAATATTTTGCCAATTTCTTTATTGGATTATTAGAATTTTTTTCCTATAGAGTTGTTTGAGCTCCTTATGTATTCTGGCTAATAATCACTTGTCAGATGGATAGTTTGCAAATATTTTCTCCCATTCTGTGGGTTGTCTCTTCACTTTGTTGATTGTTTCCTTTGCTGTGCAGAAGCTTTTTAATTTGATGTGATCCAATTTGTCCATCTTTGCTTTGGTTGCCTGTGCTTGTGGGGTATTAATCAAGAAATTTTTGCCAAGACCAATGTCCTGGAGAGTTTCCCCAATGTTTTCTTTTAGTAGTTTCATAGTTTGAGGTCTCAGATTTAAGTCTTTAATCCATTTCAATTTGATTTTTGTATGTGGTGAGAGATAGGGGTCTAGTTTTGTTCTTTATTGAAGAGACTGTCTTTTCCTCAGTGTATGTTCTAGGCCCCTTTGTCAAAAATTAGTTTGCTGTAGGTGTGTGGATTTGTTTCTGGGTTCTCTATTCTGTTCTGTTGGGCTATGTGAGTGTTTTTATGCTAATAGCATGCTATTTTGATTACAATAGCTCTGTAGTATAATTTGAAGTCAGTTAATGTGATTCCTCCAGCTTTGTCCTTTTTGCTTAGGATAGCTTTGGCATTCTGGGTCTTTTGTGGTTCCATATAAATTTTAGGACAGTTATTTCTATTTCTGTGAAGAATGTCATTGGTATTTTGATAGAGATTGCATTGAATCTGTAGATTGCTTTGGGTAGTATGGACATTTTAACAATATTGATTCTTCCAATCCATGAACATAGAGTATGCCTCCATTTTTTGGTGTCCTCGTCAATTCCTTTCATCAGTGTTTTATAGTTTACATTATAGAGATCTTTTACTTCTTTGGTTAACTCCTAGGTATTTAATTTTGTTTGAATATTGTAAATGGGATTGGTTTTTTGATTTCTTTTTCAGATTGTTCACTGTTCACACCAATTATTTCTGAAAACCAATAAATGACTTAGAGTATTAGGCTGATTTGATGTGTGCTCTGTGTTATATTAATATCATTTTGTAAGCAGTTTTTTTTTCTTTTTTTCTTTTGAGATGGAGTCTTGCTCTGTCACCCAGGCTAGAATGCAGTGGCACAATCTCGGCTTACTGCAACCTCTGCCTCCTGAGTTCCAGCGATACTCCTGCCTCAGCCTCTGGAGTAGCTGGGATTACAGGCTTGTGCCACCACGCCCAGCTAATTTTTGTATTTTTAGTAGAGACAGGGTTTCCCCATGTTGGCCAGGCCGGCCTTGAACTCCTGACCTCAAGTGATCCTCCCGCCTCGGCCTCCCAAGGTGCTGGGATTACAGGTGTAAGCCACCACACCCAGCCAGCAGCTTTATTATATAGATAAATATAGTTTGGTTCATTTGGAAAATAGAAGATAATATATTTAAAATTTTTGATTTATATAGAAACTTATATATGACTATGCATTCCTCTACCAGTTGTTAAATATGGGTATTTTGAATATTCTGTCTGGGACCATGGTTAGGTATTTTGATCTAATTCTAAGTCAGTGGAAAAGTCATTGAAGGATTTTGAGCAGAGGAATGATGCAGTCTGATTTACGCCTACTCAGGCTGACTATAAAGGATAAGGGCACAATGGAGATGAGTAATTGGGAGGCTGTACCAGGAATCCAGCCTAAAGATGTATGTGGTGCCTGTTAGGACACTAGAGAAGGGCAATGAGAAACAGATGTGTTTTGAAGGTAGAGCCAACAATGGACTGGATGTAGTTGTGAGCAAAAGAGAGGAATCAAGGATGCCATGCTGTAGTGAGTGGAGGAGACTACAAGATCACTGTGAGCAGATATTGGGGTGAAAACTCAAGATTTGGGACAAAATTTGACATGTCTATTGGAAATACAAGAGAAAATATTGAGGAGGAAGTCAACACATGAGTCTGGAATTCCAAGGAGATGTTCTGGCTGGAGATATGAATTTGGAAGTCATCAGTGTCTATGGGGAATATAAAGCCATGGACAAAGTGAAGACACCTAGGAAGTGAGGGTAGATGGCAGGTGGGAGAAGACAGCCCAGGGCTAAGTCACAGGACACCATAGCATTAGATGTCAGGGACAGCAGAAGCATCCAGCAAAGATGATGGAGAAGGAAGAGAACCAGAGGAGTGTGGTGACCGGAAGCCACATGAAGCAAGTTTCAAGAAGAAAGAAATGTCAAATGCTATTAAGAGTTTGAGTGAGTTCAGCATAGGACTCAGCAAGATACACAGCATTGACACGGTGATTTCAGGAAAGTGATAAGGATGAAAGTTTAATTGGAACAGGTTTAAGGCAGAATGGGAGGAGGGAAAGGGGACACAAGTGGTGACAACTCCCTGAAAGGGGGAGCAGAAACTTGGGCAAGAGCGGAAAGGAGCTGAAGGGAATATGAACGACTGCAGCATTTTGTATGCTAGTGGAAATCAATCGTGGGTTACGTTGGAGAGAGGCAGAATTACAGGAGTGAGCCCTTGAGTGGTGAGACGGATAGATCTGGCTCTGATGAGACCACCCCAGGGGCTGCATTATTCTTATGTGACCAGGTCACGGGAATTCAAGGAATGTGGCCACAACTCAGCTAGGCTGCATCCCTGATACCCTGATATTCAGGTGTGGCCACATTGGAGCTGGTCCCACTGCCTCCTCCTCACCCCCTGATATTGCCAACATCCCAGGACTTAGAACTCAGGACAAGTCAGCTAAAAGTTTAGCTAAAGAGGTGTGGCAATAGCTAAATGCTACCTTGAGGCAGCAGAGCAGGGTCTCTGGACTCAAGAGAGTAGATTTAAGTCCTGGCCCTCCTACTTCCCTGCTAGCTATATGGCCTGGACAAATCGCTTCAGTGAGTCTCAGTTTTCTTATCTGCAGTATGGGGGTGATAACTTTATCAAACCACCTTATGGGGCTTGAAGGCACGAATGGGATGATGGATATACAAGGGCTTTGTCAAAACTTTGTACACGGAAAAGTGAGGTATAAAGACCATAAATTGTCATTAGGCTTATTTTACCATATCATCCCCTGTTCATTCCCACAAAACAGCTTTGTGGAGGAGGCATTTCTGAAGACAAATTCCTGTGCCACTCCATTGTGGGCTGAATTTTCACTAGACTTTACGTTTTTGAAAGCTAAAGAGCAACTCTTGGCTCATTGCAAGAGCCTCCCTATTTCCTCACTGACATAAGCGTATATCACGTCAAGATCATCAGTCAAAAGGGAGGGGTAGACATATGATTATCTTCAAAGCTTTCTGGGAGCCTATTAAATGCTAATCACAAGGCACAGGGATGATCCAGAAAGCAAACATCATCCTTGCTGCTTCTCATCCACCCTCCATGTTCCTGCTAGAGAGAAGAGAGTATCCAGCACTTGCCCTCTGAATGGATCCTCCAGGCGCTCCAAGGCCTGCTGGTAGCCTGGTCTGCCCATAACTGAAACTGAAACCACTTGCAGTTTGCATAGCCCTGGGGAAGGATAAGGAGTGCGTATTTGCTAGGCACAGACTCTGTCAGGCACTGTACCAGGCCCATTACCCAAATGATCTCTTAACTGTTGTCATTAAACAGTAAAGGAAACTGAGGCTCAGGAGGACTAATCAGGTCACCCAACCAGCAAGAGGCCAAGAGGGAACTTAACTCAGTTCTGCCTGTTCCAAAGAGCCTACTTTTTCTGCTAACAGACCAAGTGCTTAATAAAGGTTTTTTTAGTGAATGAATGGATGAATGAATAAAGTACTCTGGATGCAAAATCACTTTGTCAAAGGAGCTCAACAGCCAGAAGGCACAGCCCCAATTAAACAGAAGCAAAACAACCTTCTAAGAGTGTGGCTTAAATAACTCAAGAGTTTCCCAAACTCAGGAGCGATAAGATCTCAGGCAAGTTGCAGAACCTGTTGGGGACTGGTTTATTCCATTTATAGGCTTGGGGCAAACCGGTCTTGCTCCTCCCTCCCTTCCAGGAAGGAGAGTAACAGAGCCACAGAAGTCTCATTTTAAATAAAAGTCTAGGGCTGGGCACAGTGACTCACGCCTGTAATCCCAGCACTTTGGGAGACCGAGGTGGGTGGATCACAAGGTCAGGAGTTTGAGACCAGCCTGGTCAACATGGTGAAACCCCGTCTCTAATAAAAATACAAAAATTAGCTGGGCATGTTGGTGTGTGCCTGTAGTCCCAGCTACTCAGGAGGCTGAGGCAGGAGAATCACTTGAACCTGGGAGGCGGAGGTTGCAGTGAGCCGAGATTGCGCCTCTGTACTCCAGTCTGGTGACAGAGCGAGACTCCATCTCAAACAAACAAAACAAAAAACAAACAAACAAAAAACAAGGGAGTAACCAAGAAAAGAACACATGGACCAAGATATCAGGAAGCAAGAGATCCAAAATATGGATGAACCCCCAGGATGATGGGGACTAGAAACCAGAATGACATCCACCCAGCATCCAGTCTCAACAGAATAAATGGAAGAAAGGCTGGCTCTGAGAAAGAGGTCTCTGGGAATTAGAGGAATATATGCGATGTTTGAGATAATGGAAAACATTACTGATGGAGTTGAGGCTGACTTGTTGGGGCATTAGGAAAAATTAATGGTGGGTGTGTAGAAAATCAGACAAATGAAAAAAAGGTGGCAAATGAACAACTCTAGTAAAAATGAAGAACTGAGGAAGAAAGGTGTTATGGGCATTAAGTTACTGGTTTTCTAGTGAATGACATCTGCACAATCATAATAAAGTATATCCTAACTACTGATATAACTAACACTGTTTTATAACTATATTGGGGGGATGGTGAAGAGGAAGTGGGGAGATATGGGAGATCAGAGACCTTATTCATCATTGTGGGAACTCATTCACAGTCTCAAAATGTCCATGAATATGCGAAGGAATAGGGATAACTCCAGCCCCACGACTTTAACTAACATCTATAGGACTTCCAAATTTAAGATGATGAGGGAAAAATGTTCCCACTTATTTTTTCTCTGAAAAATTACCCCAAAATAAGAAAAGTAACTAAACAGAAACACAAACTCTATCCTTGTAACAGCAGACATGGCAGTCCTGAACCTTTAAATGTGAAGCAGCTAAGTGGCTAGAGGAATGACAAAAAAGTAGACAAAGAGGAATTCAAATGTCAGCAGAAGTAGAATTTATATACAACAACATTGACCGATTTTAGGTGTACAATGATGAGTTTTGACATCTGTATACAGCAGTGCCACCAGTACCAAAAATGTAATTTTAAATTCTATACCCAATCCCGTAACTGCTAGCAACTACTGATCTGCTATCACTATAGGTTTGCCTTTTCTAGAACTTCATGTAGTGGGCGCATACAGGGAGTTGTCTTTTTTGCCTTAGTAGTGCTTTGCAATTCATCTATTTTGCTGCATGTATCAGCTCATACCTATTAATTGCTGAGTAGTATTCCACTTAGTAATTTTTCTTTATCTATTTACCAACTGATGGACATTTGGATCACTTCCAGTGGCTACTCTGAACAAAGCTGCTGTGAAAACTCAGGCACAAATCTCTGTGTAGACATGTTTTCACTACACTTGAGAAAATATTTAAGAATAGAATTTCCAAGTCATATGGTAAGTGAATAGTTAACTTTATAAGTGAATGCTAAACTTCTCTCCTTTCCTTTCCTTTCCTTTGCTTTGCTTTCCTTTCCTTTCCTGTCCTGTCCTGTCCTGTCCTCTCCTCTCCTCTCCTCCTCTTCCATCCCCTCCCCTCCCCTCCTCTCCTTTCCCTTCTTTTCTTTTTCTTCTTTTTTTTTCTTACTTTTTTTTTTTTTTTTTTTTTTTTGGGACAGCATCTCACTCTGTCCACCCAGGCTGGAGTGCAGTGGTGCAATCACGGCTCATTGCAGCCTAGCCCTCCTGGCCTCAAGCAATGCCTCTACCTCAGCCTCCTGAGTAGCTAAGACTACAGGCATGTGCCACCATGCCCAGCTAATTTTTTATTTTAATTTTTTTTTTTTTTTTTTTTTTTGTAGAGACAGGGTCTGTCTATGTTGCCTATGCTGGTCTTGAACTCCTGGGCTCAAGCGATCCTCCTGCCTCAGCCTCCCAAATGCTGAGATTACAGGCATGAGCCCTTGTGCCAGCCTAGGCTAAGCTGTTTTCTAAAATGATTGTACAGTTTTGTATTCAGCAGTGTATGAGAGTTCAAGTTGTTCCATTCTAATGCTTGGCATTATCAATCTTTTGAATGTCATCCATTTCAGTGTGTATGTAGTGGTATCTCCTTTTGGTTTAAATTTACATTTCCCTAATGACTAATGATGTTCAGCATTTTTTTCATGTGCTTATTCGACATCTGTGATTTTTTTTGATAAAATATCTGCTCAAATCTTATACACAATTTTAATTGTCTTTTATCATTACTGTGTTGTGAGAATTCTTTTTTTTTTTTTTTTTGAGACAGTCTCACTTTGTTGCCTAGGATGGAGTGCAGTGGTGTGATCTTGGCTCACTGCAACCTCTGCCTCCTGGGTTCAAGTGATTCTCCCACCTCAGCCTCTCAAGTAGCTGGGATTACAGGCACGCACCACCACACCAGGCTAATTTTCGTATTTTTAGTAGGACGGGGTTTCATCATGTTGGCCAAGCTGGTCTCAAACTCCTGACCTCAGGTGATCTGCCCACCTCAGTCTCCCAAAGGGCTGGGATTACGGGCATGAGCCACCATGCCCAGCCATGAGAATTCTTTATATATTCTGGTACAAGTCATTTATATAGTCTGGTACAAGCCAATGAGACTTGCCTTTTCATTTTCCTAATGGTGTTTTCAAAGAGCAGACATTTTAATTTTTGATGAAGTCCAAATTTGATGTAGTTTTGTATTTTCTTTTGTAGTTTTTGCTTTTTGTGCCCTATTTTTAAAATAGTTGCCTTGCCCAGGATCACTAACATTTTCTTCTGTTTTTTTTTAAAGGTTTATAATTTTAGCTCTTACATATAGTTTATGATCTGCTTCAAGTTAATTTTTGAATTGGTGTGAGGTAAGGTTAAGATTCATCTTTGTACATTGAGTCAACCAATGATTTCACTACCTTTTATTGAAAAGATTGTCTTTCCCCCCATTTAATTGTCTTGACACGTTTGCTGAAAATCAGTTGACCATATGTGTGGGTGGGTCTATTTCTGAATTTTATATTCTGTTTTATTGATCTGTATGTCAAAATTTACTTGAATACCAAACTATCTTGATTACTATTAGCTTCATAGTAAGTTTTGAAACCAGAGAGCATAACTCTTCCAATTTTGTTCCTCTTCACAATTGTTTTGGCTATTCTATGTATAAAATTTTTTAAATTTCTTATTAAATTTCTTTCTTTATTTTATTAAAATTGAGATGGGGTCTTGCTATGTTGGCCAGGCTGGTCCCAAACCTCTGGGCCCAAACAACCTTCCATCTTGGCCTCTTAAAGTGCTGGGATTACAAGTGTGAGCCACCACACCTGGTCTGCTTATTAAATTTTTTTTTTAAAAGACCTGCTAAGATGTTGAATATTATTGTATTGCATCTAGAGAATCAATTTGAGGGAGAACTAGCGTTTAAAGAATATTGAGTCTTTCAATCCATGAGTGTGGTATATCTTACCATTTACACTCACCTTCCTTCATTTCTCTCAGTAATGTTTTATAGTTTTCAGAGTATACCTATTGCACATATTTATTAAATTTATTCCTATTTCATAACTCCGTATGTGTGTGTGTGTGTGTGTGTGAGAGAGAGAGAGAGAAAGAGAGACAAAGAGAGAGAGAGAGGTTCCTTTATGTTCTGAAAGTTTAGCAAAAGAAAATTTGTTAATTAAGGATTGCGGTTAGCTGAATTCCAGTTAGGTAAGATTTTACCATATTTGGTACTCACAATAATGCCTTCAAATTATATCACACCCCATGTTCAAAAACCTTTATTGGGAAATAATCAATTTACAAAGGGAATAATTGGAAGCAACTGGATGGGCTGATTAGATAAGTGATGTTCTCTTCTTGCAGTGCAGTCATACAAATCACATTATGCAACAATGATTTTCAGATGGAGTCAGGGTGTCTTACCAGGTCAGGCAGGCGTCACGTCTCCTGCTTCTGCTCTGATCCCGGGAGCTCTATTTTTACCCATTTTGGCTCTTGAGGTCCCTAGTAAAATTTTATTTCAAACAGAGCTCCAATGAAAAAAATTTTTAAAGATCATTATTGAAAAAGAATTTTTAATGACTGAGAAAGATGATAATAGAATTATAAGCAGATTACAAAAGAATGTCTCTTATGTCCCTTTTGGGGGAAAAAAGAAGAAATACATGTATAGGAAACAATCAGGGCTGGGTGCAGTGGCTCACGCCTGTAATCCCAGCGCTTTGGGAGGCCAAGGTAGGTGGATCACAAGGTCAGGAGTTCGAGAACAGCCTGGCCAATATGGTGAAACCCCATCTCTACTAAAAATACAAAAATTAGGTGGGTGTGGTGGTGGGTACCTGTAGTCCCAGCTACTTGGGAGGCTAAGGCAGGAGAATCACTTGAACCTGGGAGGCGGAGGTTGCAGTGAGCCAAGATCGCACCACTGCACTCCAGCCTGGGTGACAGAGCAAGACTCTGTCTTAAAAAAATAAAAAAGAAAAAGAAAAAGAAAAGAAAACAATCAGAAGGCTACACATATATAAAAATATTTATAACAATTATTTCTGTGCAACTGGCTTATGAATTATTTCTAGATGTTTGTCCTCACTTGTATTTTTCTAAATATATATAGTGTAGCATGTATTATTATTCTCTCATGAAAACAGAATAAACTAAAATTCCTTAGTATGTTACTCAAACTCTCCATCATCTGACATAAAATGTTTTTCTAGACTCTTTGCTAAGCCTCAATTCATCAGGGTCACGGGTTCTAGCCTCAAAGAATTATTCACTGTTTCCTGAATACACCATATGTTCCCTGGTCCACACCATTTCAAGGGCTATGTTCTTAGTCAAGAATTCCCTAATCACGCACTACCACTTCCTATAGGAATTCAACCACTCAAAATATATATAATAAAATAAGTTAAAGCAGTAAACAATATTCAAGTATACTACACAGAGAGTATAACCAGTTAAAGAAAAAAATGCAAAGAGAAAACTGGAAGGAACGCTGTAAATAATGCATAGTGATGGCCCCTGCATACTGGGATTATAAGCTTTCTGGTTATGTGTTTGTTTGGCTTGGCAAATCACTTTACCCTCTGAGTTTTTGATTCCTTGCAGCCTGTGGTAAGGATTAAATGAGAGAACGTGAATGTGCTCTGTAAACTGTAAAGGGATGTTGGAATGTGAGCGACACATTTGAAATGTGAACTGTGTGAAGCTGTCCCCTTTGAGGCTGAGGCTCCATCACCCCACATTGTCTACCATGCCCCATTCAACAAATGGCTGCTGATTTAAATCTTACACTAATTCTGAAAATAGAGCAAAAATCCCTTTGCATCCTGAAATGTTAACAATAGACCTGAGATTTCACAAAGGTCTGTGCTCCAGAGGGCCTAGGATTTTCATCAAGATTGGATTTTCCTCTGCTGTTCCCAGGACTTGTGGCCTTCATAAGCCATCCAGTCCCCAGGCCAGTAATCCATGGACTCTGGTACAGCCCAGGGGTGCCCTTCAGTCTTATTAAAAATAGAAAACTCTAGGCCAGAGAAACACTTACACTGAAGATGGCTCTGGAGCCCTGGGCAGAGTCACTCACTCCCCACCTCTCTAAGCAAGGTGATGCCTAGAACAACCTGTGTGCAAGTCCACCTGCCCATGGCCCTTATTAACCGAACAGACTCCAGGAGCACCGAGAGGATGGCCGGCCACCACCTCCCATTCCTCAGAGGGGACACTGAAGTCACAAGTGGGGAAGCAACTTACCAAAAGCATATGCTAGTTAGTGCAGCTAGCTGGCACTGGAACCAGAGCCTACCCAAGTGTTGTTCATTTCAGCTGAGATTGCTTTAGGGAAGCAGGGATTCTACTCTGCTTGATACCCTCAGCACCAGGCACAGCCTGGCCACAGCTGGTCCCCCTGAATCTTTGCTGGACACAACTGTGCATATGGAGACATCAGCATGTCACTTTCCTTGACACCCAACTACTGCCCCCAGAAGAGATTCTTTCCAGGCTAAGAAAGACCCCGCTGCCTGTCCAGGAGTGGGGCTCAGTAAGCCATGAAGTGATTTACAAACATCGGCCACCATGGTTTATTACAGGTAGAAGCAACAGTGAAAATCACGACGGTGAGACCAAGCAAAGCAGATGGACTGAAGGACAAGGACAACTCTGCCCAGCAGAGGGAGGGGAAGCCCAGGCTGGACTCCACGTGGCCGGAGCTTCCAGGGTTGGTTTTTATTTTATTTTATTTTATTTTATTTTATTTCATCTCTTTTTGAGACGGAGTTTCGCTCTTGTCGCCCGGGCTAGAGTGCAGTGGTGCGATCTCAGCTCACTCCAACCTCCCCTTCTTGGGTTCAAGCAATTCTCTTGCCTCAGCCTCCCGAGTAGCTGGGATTACAGGTGCCCACCACCACACCCGGATAATTTTTGTATTTTTAGTAGAGACCGGGTTTGACCATATAGGCCAGGTTGCTCTTGAACTCCTGACCTCAGGTGATCCGCCCGCCTTGTTGGGATTACAGGCATGAGCCACCCTGCCTGGCCCAGGGTTGGCTTTTAAAGACAGAAATCCTTACTTTTAAAGACATCTTTG
Source organism: Homo sapiens (assembly GCF_000001405.40). Classification (NCBI taxonomy): domain Eukaryota; kingdom Metazoa; phylum Chordata; class Mammalia; order Primates; family Hominidae; genus Homo; species Homo sapiens. The sequence goes on along the minus strand of NC_000002.12, from coordinate 9,823,695 downwards.
GACTTCTTTTTTTTTTTTTTTTTTTTTTTTTTGAGACGGAGTCTTACTCTGTTGCCCAGGCTGGACTGTAATGGCACAATCTCAGCTCACTGCAACCTCTGCCTCCCAGGTTCAAGCGATTCTCCTGCCTCAGCCTCCCGAATAGCTGGGATTACAGGTGCCCACCACCACGCCTGGCTAATTTTTGTATTTTTAGTAGAGACAGGATTTCATCATATTGGCCAGGCTGTTCTCGAACTCCTGACCTCAGGTGATCCACCTGCCTCAGCCTCCCAAGGTGCTGGGATTACAGGCGTGAGCCACCGCACCCAGCCGTCCTTGGACTTATAAATGCTGACTCAGGATGCTTTAGAACAGCGTAAGGCCAAACAAAATAAGTCTAACCCTGGTGTCCAGTAGTCTGCCACCTCCAGGATGGACATCTCTCTGACTGATGGCAACCGAGTCTAGGCTCTTGACACCCAACTACTGGGGCAAAACCTCTGGGGTGTGAGGGAAAGATCGCTGCCAACAGAGGGACCCGCTTCATCTGCGTAAGCCTCAGGCTCCTCATTTGCAAGACAGAAACCATAATATCTACCCGTAGGGCTGTTGGGAGGGTTAAATAAGGTGATGTAGGGGAAACCGTAAAACAATGTACCGAGTGTAAATATACAAATAATAATGTCAGTATGTAATATCTTTAAGCCACTAAGGTTAGATGATTCTGGGTTTAAGATCCACAACCCTGGCCAGGTGCCGTGGCTTAAGCCTATAATCCCAGCGCTTTGGGAGGCCGAGATGGACAGATCACTTGAGGTCAGGAGTTCAAGACCAGCCTGGCCAACGTGGTGAAACCCTGTCTCTACTAAAAGTACAAAAATTAGCCTGGTGTGGTGGCGTGTGCCTGTAATCCCAGCTACTCGAGAGACTGAGACAGGAGAATCGCTTGAACCCGGGAAGCAGAGGTTGCAATGAGCCAAGATCGCGCCATTGCATTCCATCCAGCCTGGGCAACAGAGCCCAGAGACTCCATCTCAAAAAAACAAAAACAAAAACAAAAACGAGACTATTTTGGGGGGATAAGCATTTGTGAGTTCAGAATGAACCACGTCCACATTGCAGTCTCCACATATCAGAATTTTCATACAAAGGGCACCATGTGGAAGAGAGAGAATGGAGTGTTGCCACCACAGGGCCATGTGTCTCGGGGTAAGTTCTTTCTTCTCTCTCTGGGTCTCAGTTTTTCCTCAAGAATATGAGTGATTGAACCAGCCGCCTTCCAGCTCCGAAGTTCTTAGATGTTAGCCTCCACATCAGTCCTGTTTAACAAGGGCGAAGGCAACAGATGCAGACGGGCTCCTCTGGGGTCCCATTCTGGCATTTCTGGCAGGCAGGAGAGAAAGGAACCTGACAGCCTGGAATCTTCCATGCCCTGACTCACGCCAGCTCAGCTTCACAGTGCCCGGCCTGTGCCCTGCCCTGGGCCCTTTCTACACGGACGGCTGGCACAGCAGCCAGGCCCTCATGAGCTGGTGCTGTCACGTCACAGCCCCAAGGCCTCTGCCTTGTCCCCAAGCACAGGTGACCCAGGAACAGGACTCTTTGAAGGAGTTGAGGTGGGGGCTCAGTACAGACATGGGCTGCCTTGGCCTAGGATTGACTTCTCAAATTAAAGTCAGACAGATGGGCTGCTGGTGAGGGCCTTGTGCGGCCTCCTAACACAGCAGGGGGCATCGCAGGGCAAGGGTGCTCTCCAGGTAAACAACCCACTCCTGGGATAATCCATTAATCCATTCACCCACTCAGCAGGGTGGATCCCTCACCCAATCACCTCTTAAAGGCCCCACCTCTTAATATGGAAACATTGGGGATTAAGTTTCAACATGAGTTTCGGAAGGGACAAACATACAAATCACAGCCACCTGGGTCTGTACTTAGGACCAGATCACCGGTAATAGTAATCACAGCAAAGTCATCCCTCACTGTCCATGGGGGATTGGTCCCAGGACCTTCTGTGGATACCAAAATCCATGGATGCTCAAGTCACCAATAGGAAATGGTGTAGTATTTGCATATAACCTACTCATGTCTTCTGTATACTTTAAATTATCTCAAGATGACTTATAATACCTAGTACAATGTAAGTGCTATGTAAATTGTTGTTATACTGTATTCATGTCTTTTTGGGTTTTTGTTTGTTTGTTCGTTTTGAGATAGAGCCTCATTCTGTCACCCAGGCAGGATTGCAGTGGCTTGATCTCGGCTCACTGCAAGCTCTGCCTCCTGGGTTCAAGAGATTCTTGGGCCTCACCCCAAACAGCTGGGATTATAGGCACATGCCCCCACTTCTGGCTAATTTTTTGTATTTTAAATAGAGACCGGGTTTGGCCATGTTGGCTAGGCTGGTCTCGTGCGATCCTCCTGGCCTCAAGTGATCCGCCCACCTCAGCCTCCCAGACAGCTGTGAGTACAGGCATGAGCCACTGCGACCAGCCATTTATATATATTTTTAATTGTTAAATTGTGTGGTGGCTCACACCTGTAATCCCAGCCCTTTGGGAGGCCAAGGTGGGTGGATTACCTGAGGTCAGGAGTTTGAGACCAGCATGGCCAACATGGTGAACCCCCGTCTCTACTAAAAATACAAAAAATTAGCCGGGCATGGTGGTGGGCACCCGTAATCCCAGCTACTCGGGAGGCTGAGGCAGGAGAATCCCTTGAACCTGGGAGGCAGACGTTGCAGTGAGCCGAGATCACACCACTGCACTCCAGCCTAGGCAACAAGAGAGAAATTCCATCTCAAAAAAAAAAAAAAAAAAAGAAAAATTAATAAATTGTTATTTTTTTATTTTTAAACATCTTTTTCAAATGTTTTCCATCTGCAGTTCATTGAATCCATGGATAAGGAAGGCCGACTGCCCTGGGTCCCGGCCTGCGCGCAGCGTTTCCCAAGGTGCTTCCACACACATGGTCTCCTTATAGAGTGGCCTCCCTCACCCCGAGGGGACAGTGAGGGAGACGGAGGCTCAGAGAGGCTTCCAGATTCCGCCTTAGACACAGTCATCGGGCGGGTTGGCAGCAACTGGCTTGCCGCTCCCTGAAATGCCATGAGCCGTATGTACTGTGCGCCTCCAAGGTGGCTGGCATCGTGCTTAACGCTATCTGCAGAGTCGTTCTGTCTTTACGGCACCTCCGTGGGGCATGGGTTGTTTTACTAAGGAGAAAAGCAGGAGACCGAGAAGTTGTGTAACTCGCCCACGTTCATGAAGCCACTGGGATCTGGAATCATCAATCGGATCCTTCTAAGTCCAGAGTCTGAGCTCTTACCCCTTCCCCTGCACCTGCTCCCCGCCCCCACTCCCGCCCCCACCCCCAGCTTCCTGAAGGAGCAGGGCGGTCTCTCCCAAAGCCAGCATTCCGATTCTGTGACTTCATCTGTGATTTCATCCTGGGAGTCGGTAGCAGCCCTCTTAGGTTTGCTCTCATGACCTCACCCTTTCTCTCCTAACCACTTGGCACCAACCAGCTTTCCTCCGCGTGACCTTGGGCAAGTCCTTTAACCTGGCTGGGTTGGTTCCTGGTGTATGAAGAGAGAAGAGAGGCCCACGGTGACTGCCGACACCTGGCAGGCTGATATCCAGGGCTCCTGTGTGGGCTTGTGGGTCTCCCTGGGACCAAACCCTGTGTGAAGAGCAGGCTCCAGGTTGGCTCCGTGTCAAGCAGGAGCTTGAGAACCCACAGGCCCGTGTTCTAGAAGCATATACAACCCCAGATCCGCACATACCAGCAGAGCATTAATGTCTCCCCACCACAAATGCCAAACGCTAGAGCTGAGAACGCTGGAGGGACCCTGGGATCTTTAGTGGGCCCAGCGTTGCTGCTGAGGAGGCCTGGGGACCCATGGCCGCACCGAGGTATGGTCAGGCCTGGTTCTGACATCACTCAGTTCCCCAGCTCTGTGCCCCAGCCACCCAACGGATGACACCTTGCCGAGTGTGGCGGCTCCCGGGGTTGCTCCTGTGGAACAGGGACTCCGAGCAGAAAATTCTCTGAAGGCAGGAACCACCTAGGGGTCTTGGGTCCTGAAAGGCGAACATCCTCTTTCGCCACCTCCAGGAAGCCCTTTTCAATATTTCTCACACTTGGGAGGCTAAGGCAGGAGGATAGCTTGAGCCCAGGAGGACTGAGGCTACAGTGAGCTATAATGACGCCACTGCACTCCAGCCTGGGTGCCAGAGCGAGACCTTGTCTCTTTAAAAAAAAAAACTGGGCCGGGCGCGGTGGCTCACGCCTGTAATCCCAGCACTTTCGGAGGCCGAGGCGGGTGGATCATGAGGTCAGGAGATCGAGACCATCCTGGCTAACAAGGTGAAACCCCGTCTCTACTAAAAATACAAAAAATTAGCCGGGCGCGGTGGCGGGCGCCTGTAGTCCCAGCTACTCGGGAGGCTGAGGCAGGAGAATGGCGTGAACCCGGGAAGCGGAGCTTGCAGTGAGCCGAGATTGCGCCACTGCAGTCCGCAGTCTGGCCTGGGCGACAGAGCGAGACTCCGTCTCAAAAAAAAAAAAAACAAAAAAAAAACAAAACAAAACAAAAAAAAAAACAAAAAAAAAAACTGGGGAGGGGAGGCGGGCGGGACATGTAATTTGGACATAGAAACACACAGGAAAATGCCATGTGAAGATAAACACAGATGTGGGGGATGCTTTCTGTTTTCCCCTATGGTTGATGTTTATTCAATTTATTTGTTTTGGTTTTTCTCTGTTTTAGGGATCACCCCTCCCCATACAATCTGACTGAATTTTACTTACTGAATAAGTAACACATTAACAATGTTACAAAAGTTTGTTGAAACGATGCAAAAAAGGTATACTCAGGGAAATATCCTTCTGTCCCCTTTCCCTTCTATTCCATTCCCTCCCACCTCTGTAGGTAATTAATTTCATTAGTTTCTAGTTTATCTTTCTTGTGTTTCTTTTTGCAAAAATAAACAGATTTGTATATTTTTAAAAATTTCTCTTTCTTACACAAAAAGTAACATACCACATGTGGATTTTATTTTTTCTACCTGCTAACATATTCTGAAAATAATTCCATAACAATTTATAGAGCCCTTCCTCATTCCTTTTTCAGCCGCCTTCTTAATTCACTAGGTTGCTTTAGGGGAATGGAGGCAGAAATCCAGGCGAGTTTGCCACCTTTGTAACAACAAAACCCTAATGTTCTTCTTTTCCTAATCATTGCTATTGAAATATTAAGCACCATTTATTTCCCTCCCTCCCTCCTTCCCTTCCTTCCTTCTCTTTTTTTTTCTAGCTTAAACACACATAGTAGATAGAAGTCTACTGCTTGCCAGGTCTTGGTCAAGGTGGCTGTTCCTGGGCGTGGGTAGCTTTCCTCCACTGAGTGACTCAAGGATTGAGGTTCCTCCCAGCCTCTTGCTCCACCATCCCCTATGGTCTCATCATCATCTGCAAGCAGCTGGGAGAAAAGGGTTTGTGAAGGAAGCACACTCACACCTTACTTTTCAACTAAAAAAGTCAAAGTGCACAAATCACGTACAAAAAGTGCACAAGTCATAAGTATATATCTTGTTGAACTTTAACAAAGTGAATACATCATGTAAATCACTACCCATGTTAAGAAACAGGACATTATAATATTATCATCATCCAGTCCTTACCTCCCAAAAGTAGCCAGTCTCCTGACTACCATGCATTAGTTTTGTTTGCTTTTGAACTTTATATAAATGTAGTCACAGTTTATACACACTCGGGTCTGGTTTCTTGGACTCGAGACTCATGTCATTGTGTGTAGTGGTATTAATAGTTTGCTTCCCCTTCATTGTCATATAGCACTCCATTTTATAAACATATATTCATCCATTCTCTTGTTGATGGACATATGGAAAGAGCAATGGCTGCTGAGTACTGTACTTGTTTCTTGGTACATCTGCATGCATTTCTGTTGGCTGTAAACCTAGAAGTGGACTTGCTGGCTCATAGGGTGTGCAGATATTCAATTTAGTAGACAGAGTTTTGATGTTGTTGCCCAGGCTGGAGTGCAATGGCACAATCTCGGCTCACTGCAACCTCCGCCTCCCGGGTTCAAGCGATTCTCCTGTCTCAGCCTCCTGAGTAGCTGGGATTACATGCGCCTGCCACTATGCCCAGCTATTTTTTTTGTTTTTTTAGTAGAGATGGGGTTTCACCATGTTGGCCAGGCTGGTCTCGAACTCCTGACCTCAGGTGAACCGCCTACCTCGGCCTCCCAAAGTGCTGCAATTACAGGCGTGAGCTACTCTGCCTGGCCATCTTTTTCTTCTTTTTTTTAAACTCTGGCCAGAGGAATTATAGAAGGTTCTTGAGAAGCTGGCTTTAAAAAGACCATACATAGGCCAGGCACAGTGGCTCATGCTTATAATCCCAGCACTTCGGGAGGCCGAGGCAAGAGAATGACTTCAGATCAGGAGTTCAAGATCAGCCTGAGCAACCTAGTAAGATCACCAGCTACACAAAAAATTTAAAAATTAGCCAGGCACGACGATGTTTGCCTGTAGTCCTAACTACTTGGGAGGCTGAGGTGGGAGGATTGCTTGAGCCCAGGAGGTACAGTGAGTTGTGATCGCGCCACTGCACTACAGCCTGGGCAACAGAGTAAGACCCCGTCTCAAAAATAAAAATAAAAGCCTATAAACAATGATCAGGACCAGGACTGTACTGGGGGAGAAAAGGAAAAGAAATGTCGGGGAGAGGGAGTCCACGGGCAAGATCTGCAGGCCGCAAAGTGACTGGTGGATTTTAGGAATAGTCCAGACTAGTGTGTAGGACTATAGGCCCCTGTGGATTGGACATGGGCAAGCTGTCCTTAAGAAACATCTGGCCAGGCATGGTGGCTCAGGCCTGTAATCCCAGCACTTTGGGAGGCCGAGGTGGGCAGATCACTTGAGGTCAGGAGTTCGAGACCAGCCTGGCCAACATAATGAAACCCCATCTCTACTAAAAATACAAAAAAAAAAAAAAAATTAGCCAGGCATGGCAGCTGGCGCCTGTAATCCCAACTACTTGAGAGGCTGAGGCAGGAGAATTGCTTGAACCCAGGAGGTGGAGGTTGCAGTGAGTTGAGTAGCAGAGCAAGACTCTGTCTCTCTGTCTCTCTCTCTCTCTGTCACACACACACACACACACACACACACACACACACACACGCACACACAGAGAAACATCCCAGTGTGGTTAAACCTCTGGGCCTCTTCCTGCCTCTGATTTTCATCAATGAGAATGGGAGAATATTAACTTCTCTCACAGGATACAGAGTATGTTAAGGAGTCGTAATTCATCAATGTTGTATTGGTTTTTCTCTTTCTTTCTTTCTTTCTTTTTTTTTTTATCCTTTGTTGGTGCTTTGCTGTCTGTGTGGAGGACACAGAGAGTCATAAACCACGATCTCCTCTCTTCCAGAGTTCCTTCTTGGCGTTAGAGTCATCGGCCGGCTGTGTTGTAGCCAATGTGCTGAGCTTTGCGGCTCCTGGAGCTAGCTCCCTTCCTCTCCGCTGCCTCCATGCGTGGAGGTCACTTGCTGGAACGCAGATGTGTGCAATGCCCAGAGATCCAAGTAAAATATCTCAACCGGTTCTTGTGGTTGTGGAAACACCTTTGGCTCCCAGATGGTTGACACTGACAAACAGAAGTCCCTGCTCCGTCTGACATCACGTGGCTCAGCTGCCTTCTCAAAAAGTGAGCTTCCTGTGTGGATAAGGCAGCCCCATAGCCAGCCTGGCAACAGACAGCTTCATGAGAAGGGAAAAGATGAAGACGGATTCCCGGGCGAGGCCGACAGTGAGGCCGACAGTGGATCCGCCATTCCTGCCTGAGCCTCTTCCACAGCTGTCCTTTTTAGAGGTCACCAGACCTTCCTCACACAGACCTCATGGTGCCCGCACCTGGACTCATTAGAAGGTTCTGTTGCCTTAGCTTAGTAAATTTTCATGGAGAGCTTTAAGTTTTTCTTTTTGCATGTTATCCTCATGGTTGTACTCTCCAGGGGGCTTGTTCCTTCGGTAATTATCTTTAATGACGGTATTTCCATATTGACGCGAGGTGGGTGGGGTGTTGAAGAGAGAGGGAGACTCGAGACGGTGCATTGACTCTGGATTACATTAGAGGGGTTAGATGGATGAGTGTTAGTTACATCCCAATCAGAACATTTGCACCACTAGGTTTCACCAAATGCCAATCATACTGGACTGAGCTCCTCTGCTCCTCTCCCTGAAACATTAACAAAAAGTCATTAACAAAAAGCCTTCCTGTTCTGAAGGCAAATATCTATCTATCTATCTCATCAGTCTTAGGGCTGGAAGAGATGCAGCTCTGGGCTGGCTCTGATGCGGACTTGTCACAAAGGCTTGGGTAAGTGACTTCATCTTGCTAGGGAGAAATGGTCCCTTGTCCCACGTTCAAATGGTCGCCACCTTCCAGCTATAGTAGGATCTAGGGTGGGGGCAGAGCTGAAGGCTAACCCTGGGCCAATGGGTCAACATGATGTCATGTGCATTAAGCAGGAGATTGTCCTTGGGGACCTGAGAAGACGCCTAGGGTCAAAGGAAGCTGATTTTTCTGGTTATTAGAATGGTCCCATTTCTCTGATTTCAGGGACTTCAGAAGACTTCTAGATTTGGTCTCCCCAAAGCCTGAAATGTCACTAGGGGTCACCCCCTTGACTAAGAGTTTGCTTGCTGAGGGCTCCTGTTAAAATGCTCAGCGTCACCAAGCAGGGCTGTTTGCATGCACAACGCCTGCTCATAGACGCACATTCACCTGCAAGCTTCCCTGGCTGTCTCTTAGCAGAGCCTGGACGGAATGGGATTAGGGAGGCCAATTCTGAAAGACTGAGCCTGAGGCCGGGGGACAGGACATTGGGAGGACATGTCCTTGTATGGCCTGCTAGGGAGGGTGTGGCAGACAGTGAGGACAATGGGCGGGCACGCCAGGGCAGCAGACGGTGGCCAGCTGCTCTTGGAACCGTCCCTCTCCAGCCCACCTCTTTGTACCATGCTTCAGTGCAGGACACTCTCACCTCGAATATTGCAGCAGCCCCTTCCCTGGTCTCCCGTAGCGCCTACCCCGCACTGAGGCGTCCCTGGGGAAGGGAGAGGCCAGGCGGCTGGAGTCTGCTTCCTATGGGGGCTGCCCCTGGTCTCCGGCCTTCTCCCTTCTCCTCTCCAGTCCTGCCCTCATAGGTAGCGAGAGGGGTCGAGGGCCTTTAAGAAGCTTCCCGAGATCTTCTGAATCCTCAGCAATCTCCTGCCCTGGCATTCAAGGCCTGCCTGTCTAGGATCCTGTCTCTGCAGCTCTGCCCACGTGACCGTATCCTTGGAAGAAAAAAAAAATGGGGATGCACAAAGTGACCAGCACAGGGTATTCGTGATGACCGGGGAACAGAGATTGAGAAAGCAAGAGCCTTCCTGGCAAATCTGGGTTCAGACGCGGCAGAGGTGGGTACTGTGCCTCCAACACGTTTTCACAGCTCAGTTCTCACGGAGTCCCCATCACTGGGCTGACTGAGCCCCTCATCCTGAAAGGCCAGGGGGCCTTCTTTAGCGAGGCCGTCTCGCTCTCCGGTGTCCCCCTCCGCCCTTGCTGGTTCATCCAGAGGGGCCAGGGCGCTTAGCCCTAAGTGAGGGGTTGACGGCGCCACCTGGTGGCACCGCGCCTCCATCGCGCTGAACGCTGCTGATTCCAAAGCTTCGGGGCTCAGGGTCTCTGATGGGAAGACCTCACTCTTTCAGCCTGTGTGTCCTGGCTTCCCAGGCCATGGCAGTGCTGGGGCACTTAAAGTACCTTTGGGCCTCCACACAGACTTCTAACTCAGGGTGGACAGAGGAGAGAGCATTCTGGAACCTGCTGGGCTGTCCCAACCCCATCCCCTGGGAGTTTCAGCACAGGATGCACTGGGACTGGCCAGGCCTTTGGAGGAAGGGCGTGCCCGGGGGTGAGACCACAGCCCCCACTCGCCACGGCACCCAGGGGTTCCCAGGGAGCCTGGGCAGCCTGTTGGCCAGAGCTTGGGATGGAGGCGTCCCTGGGGAAGGGAGAAGCCAGGCAGCTGGAGTCTTTGCTTCCAGGAGAACCACTGGCAGCCTTCCTGTGGGTGCTGTCCTGGGATCGGGACTGGGCCTGGGTAGCATGCGTCCTGCCAGAGAGGAGATGTGGGCAGAGTTTGGCCAGGCCACTCAGGCATCCCTTTCCTGTGGGCGGGTGGGCTTCCCTTCCTGAGCCCCAGACGTGCGAGATCATTGCCAGGACTTTCTGCCAGCAGCCATGGCAGTGATAGGACACTGAAAGCACCTTTGGGCCCCCACCAGGATGGTGGACAGGGGTCCTTGCCACCCCCTCCTCCCCCACGCTCCCCCCACAGCACTGTCTGTTCCCTGGACGCTGTGCTGAACCTCTGCTCCAGTGCTCGTCTTGGCTCCAGCCTCATAGAATCGCCTTCCCTTTCTTCCCAACCAGCTTCTTCAGCTCGTCTTGGCTCCAGCCTCATAGAATCGCATTCCCTTTCTTCCCAACCAGCTTCTTCAGCTTCTTCTTTCTTCTTCTTCTTCTTCCTCTTCCTCCTCGTCTTCCTCCTCTTCCTCTTCTTCTTCTTCCTTTTTCTGAGATGGAGTTTCACTCTTGTCGCCCAGGCTGGAGTGCAATGGTGCCATCTGGGCTCACCGCAACCTCTGCCTCCCGGGTTCAAGTGATTCTCCTGCCTCAGTCTCCTGAGTAGTTGGAATTACAAGTGCCCGCCACCACGCCCAGCTAGTTTTTGTATTTTTAGTAGAGACGGGGTTTCACCATGTTGGCCAGGCTGGTCTCGAACTCCTGACCTCAAGTGATCCGCCCACCTCTGTGTCCCAAAGTGCTGGGATTACAGGCATGAGCCACCGTGCCTGGCCTTCCATCTAGCTTTGATTCACCTCAACAAACGTTTTCCAATTCCCATGCCCTGGGCCTGGGCGACCTGAATCCGTTCCAGCCCTGTGAGCTTATGGTGATGCTGGAGAAGTCAGGCGGGTAAACAGATCCTATCAGTGAAACTGCCCTTCCCTGAGTCAGCCTAAGCCCCACTTCCTCTAGGAAACCGTCCCTGCCCCACTGTGCACAGTTGGTTTGTTTGAGAGCAGGGAGACGCCCAGCTCCAGTGGGGGCTCAACAATGCTGCCCTAGCCAGGGAGCAGACACCTCACTGCTGCCATGTGTGGAAAGTCAGGGGCAGGGGACTTCTCTGGGGTCTGGTCTGGGCCCCTATGTGTGGCCCCTCGCTAATTTCAGGCCCAAGTGGCTGGGGCAGGCACAGGGCCCTGAGAGTCTGGGGGCAGCTTCTCCGAGCTCTCAGGCTGTGAGGGCCTGAGCGGCCAGCCCTTCTCCAGGGCAGCACTGGGAAGGGTTCACAGGCTTGCCAGGTTAAGGCCCGCCACCTGCGATAATGGCCCGGATTTGGATTCTGCTACTACAAGCATAAACATGTGACAGGAGGAGGCCAACAGCGGCTAACAGAGCAGTGGCGCCCGGAGCATCTGCCGGGAACCAGCAGGACACACAGGAGGGGGACACCGGGGCTCCCGGGGGGAACTGGCCCGGCCGCCGGGGCAGGATAACAGGACTGAAACGGGTCTGCCGGTTCTCTCTGGCCAGCTGCAGGACTTCCCACCCTTTTCCCAGTCAGGGAGTGTGTGATACTGCGCCACTGCCACAGAGCACAGACTGGGGTGGCTGAGACTCCGCCATTTACTCCCTCACAGTTTGGGAGCCAGGAGGTCCAAAATCAAGACAGGGGCAGGGCCAGGCCCTCTGATATTCTGGGCAGAATCCTGCCTGCCTTTCCAGCCGCTGGCCTGGCCGGGAGCCCCCGGTGTCCTGGCCTGCAGCGGCAGTGCCTCGGCCTCTGCCTGTCCCCACGAGGCGTCTCCCTGTGTGTCACTGTCCTCATGTACCATTGTCTTCCTCTTATAAGGACAGTTGTATTGGATGACAGTCCGTCCTAATGGCCTCATCTGAACTTGATTACTCTGCAAAGATTCAGTTTCCAAATAGGTTCACCTTCACAAGTACTGGGGTCAGGACAAAAACATCTCTTTTTGGGGGGCACAATTCAACCCTGAACGGGGGAGAAACTGAGCTTTGGTGAGATGAGGGGCAGAGCCTGGCACTACGAGTTCCAAGCTTGACGTTTCTTTCCAGTCCTGAGTTTTAGCTTAAAAATTCTTGCATTTCTGCATTATTCTCTATTCTGAGTCATGTTTGCTTTAACAGGAAATACAGTATGATTTCTTCAAATCTTTGCCACTTCAACATGAAGAAACGTGTTTATCCTGTGGCTCCAAAATCTTCAATGTGTTTCTGAATTTTCTCAAGGGAATTTCTCCCCAATTAGAAAAGTATAAACCAACCTGGATTCATGTAGTTCTCATAAAAATCCAGGCTAGGCACGATGGCTCAGGCCTGTAATCCCAGCACTTTGGGAGGCTGAGGCAGGTGGATAACCTGAGGTCAGGAGTTCTAGGGCAGCTTGGCCAACATAATGAAACCCCATCTCTACTAAAAATACAAAAATCAGCCAGGCGTGGTGCACGTGCCTGTAATCCCAGCTACTCGGGAGGCTGAGGCTGGAGAAATGTTTGAACTCAGGAGGCGGAGGTTGCAGTGAGCGGAGATCACACCACTGCACGCTAGCCTGGCCGACAGAGCGAGACCCCATCTCATAAAAACAAACAAACAAACAAGCAAACAACAACCCAGTGAAGTATGCATAGTTAACAGAAGAGGAAATCGAGAGGTTAATCTGCTAAGGTCATACCTCATAGGTATAGGATAGGTATACGTAGGGGAGTCCACGTGAGAATTCAGTTCTTTTTTGGCTTATTGATCAGGTTAGGGTTTTGTTTTTTTTTTTGGAGTCTTGCTCTGTCGCCAGGCTGGAGTGCAATGGCACAATCTCGGCTCACTGCAACCCCCGTCTCCTGGGTTCAAGCGATTCTCCTGCCTCAGCCTCCCCAGTAGCTGGGATTACAGGCATGTGCCACCATGCCCAGCAAATTTTTGTATTTTTAGTAGAGACGGGGTTTCATCATGTTGGTCAGGATGGTCTCCTGACCTCGTGATCTGCCCGCCTTGGCCTCCCAAAGTGCTGGGATTATAGGCGTGAGACAACGCGCCCGGCCTGTTTTGTTTTTTACCATAAGTGCATGATGAGGGGAGATGAGGAAAGGGGAAGAGAGAGAGAGCACTGTGACCATCCCCTAGCCCAGGAGAGAGATTTGTATGCCTGTTGTGAAAAGCAGGGATGGGAATTCTGAAATAAAAACACAGTTGGACAGTTTCCCACGGAGTGGTAACATAAACCCACCCAGGCCAACCATATTCAAGTGCTGTCTATCTACCCAAACGCCCATGTCAGAAATGCCCTCCGGTGCTTCCATGTAGAAGGGAGAGAAGCACTTTTACATTTTAGTTCTGCTTGTTATTTGGAAGTTATTTTAAAGGTCATTGAAGTGGGCTTTTTGTTGTTGTTGTTGTTAACAGACAGCTGTTTCCAGCCACTGCTATGAACCCATCTAAGTGAAATTGTGAGGACTAAGGAGAGAGGCACCCATGACTGCCTTAATCCACTCCTACCCATCGTCTCTTCACCCATCCACCCATCCTTGCTGCAGACCTTTACTGGGCACCTGTGCCAGGAGACCATCACTGCCCATCAGAAGCTCATACAGGGAGAAGCAGTGGCCACAGCAGAAGGCGTCCCGGGTCCTAGAGAGCACCTGGAGAACAAGGGAGAGCTGCAGAAACCGCCCTGTCTGCATGTGTGCCCTCATGTTCTTGGGTGCATGTCTGTGTTTGTGTGTGTGTTTGCTTATGTGCATGTGCAGTGTGTGTGTGTTCGAGACAGAGCGAGACTGAGAGTGCAAGTGGGTGTAAGCACACACACCCACCCGTCAGCCCTGCCTGTCTGCTCAGAGTTTTGCCTGTCACCCGGCCACGCCCTGTGACCCCCCTCCTCGGCTGGGTGCAGCCAGGACACCTGTTGCCAGCTGCGAGCACCTGCCTGGTTGCTGCGCCCGTGTCCTGTGCATGTTCCAAGCCAGCCCCCTGGGGTAATCCAGGCCATGACTCAGGAACGTCATGTTGGGACACCCGAGACCCCCAGCCCCTGCCCTAGGGGTCAGGGCAGCAGGTCCCATCTCCCTTAGCTGGGCTGGGCCCAGGCAGCCTGTATCACTGTTTGCTCCAGAGGCTGGGTGCGTCCTGCTTGGGGGCTGTGTGAGGCCCGCTTGTTTTCACCCACAGATTCCCAGGGTTCTCAAGGCAGAGGAAAGCGACAATTAGGGCAACACCCATGTTGGTTGGATCAGAGTGAATCCCAGGCCTGCTTGGGAGGCTTTAGGCACTCAGCTCGGCCATCTCTGAGGGTAAGGGCATGTCAGCCACTCTGCTGGGGCATCTCTGTGCTCAGCACCATGTGGGCTCATCACAGACACAAGAGTGCGTCCTCTCAGAGGGAATGGTCTGGCAGGTTTTGCCTGTTTTCCTGCTCACAGGTTGAATTTCTTGGCCAGCATCCCATAGCCAGGCCAGAGCGGAGCAGGGCTGCCTGCTGCACCCAGTGGCTTCTTGTCAATCTCGGCCTCTCGTTCCCTGCCTGGGAGAGGGTCTCAGTGTGAAGGGCAGAGGGGTCTTCTGGAACCAGCCAGTGCTGTGTCGGAGAGAAAGACCAGGAGGAAATTGGAGGGGTACAGGCCTGAAACTCTCCCGCTGCCTTGCCAGGCACCCAAACCTGCTTGACCTGAGTGTCTTTCCGGCGGCGGGTGGGGGGGAGGGGGGTGGGGCGTGCTGCATCGCTTACTTTGCCTGTGTCTTAGGGGAGCCTACCCATTGCCCTCCAGCACCGGCGAACAAAGACCCCCACGGTGGCCAGGCCTGTGCGGGGTGTAAACAGTGTCCCAGGGTGTCTTGGTGTCCTCACTACTACATCCTCCACGTTCCAGAGGAGAAACTGAGGCCCGAGGACACCCAGAATTTCCCAGGGTCACACCAAGGGGAAACAGGTGACGTTGAAGTGGACACAGGGTGATGAGAGGGGTGCAGAAAAGGAGATACCCTGGCATGCCAAGCCTGGGGCTGGTTGTCCACATCCAGGAAGGTCCCTGCAAGGTTGTGGCACCTTTTCATGGCAAGCAGACGCAGCACCATGAATACCCACAGCCACTCCTAAGGGCCCCTTCATGCGGTGGCTGTGCCCAGCACTGGGCACGCAGGAACCAAGGCCCAGAGAGTTCTGGGTGGGTGGGGAGAGCTAGAGCCTTCCTTCTGGGCTCCAGGGCTTTTCAGTAGCACCACTGGCTTTCTAGAAGGTTGCTGTGTGATTGGAAACTTGTGCTTTGAGATACGATTATCTGTGTGGGGAGGAGGTTGTACTGGAGTCAGCAGTGAGGGGTGGCAGCACTAGGCCAGAAATGGATGTGGGGTCCTCTTGCGTGGAGCTGCCACTCCCCCAGCCACTCTGTCCTTACAACCAAAACCCCAAAAGGGGGCTGAGCCGGCCCTTGTGAGTGAGAGTAGAGGAGAAGGAAGGGGCTGTGGGGGGAGAGAAGCACATGGAGCTGGCCCACGTGGAGAGAGGGACCCTGGGTGGCAGGGTGGCGTTGGGGGAGATTTGCCATCAGAGTGACCTTAGTGACTGTGCCACCTCGACCCTGACCTGGGCAATGCCTGTGAGGGCACTGGGGCCCAAGGTCCCAGAGGAGCAGGGGAACTAAGATGTGGCTCTCACAGAACCTCAAATGTATCTCCAGACATCCACATATCTGCACCTGACACACATTTCTGGAACAGCTACTTGGCCAAGCACCACCAGTTTGTCTCTATGCCCCTCTTGCTGGGGAGCCCAGTCTGGGGCAAAGGAAGGCACAGGGGCATCCGCTCCAGGCTTTCCAGAATAGGCAGAACACAGAAGGGGTGCCCGCCGGACACGCGGAGGGAGGAGATGAGAAGAGTCCCCAGCGCCAGAAGGGGTGGAGACGGCCTTGCTGGGGCAGGGCCACAGGTCACCTGCTGCTGGGCTCTGGCTGCAGTGGGAAACAACCAAAGTTTTAAAAAGAGGGTGAACCTCTTAGGAAAGGAAATGACATTTATAAAGAGGTAGGGACGTGGGGGCAGGGATGATGGCCTTGGTGGCCACAGCTCTTAAACCAGTGGGGAGGAGGCAGCCACGCCAGCATGGTGAGATCCAAGCCGCAGTGACGGGGCTGCACTCGCTCCAGGTAGATTGCTCAAATGGAAGCTTCTGGATGGATAACTAAGGCAGCACAACCCCCAGTCATTGTCTGAGGGCCACCCTGGGGGATGGAGCGAGTGCAGGCCAAGTGGATGCAGGGCCCACGGCCAGTTTCCAGGGTGAGCTGCAGGGCAAGCCGTGGGAAGCCCCAGAGGCAGACGCTGAGGGATGGGCACCCCAAGAGAGTCCAGGGATCCGAGGCCACCTGGGTGGAGCCCGGACAGCGTCTACTCCAGGGAGCAAAGCTGAGGCAGGAGCCGAGGGCTTTCCAGTGGATGTGGAGACTTCGGCTTACTCCCGCACTGACTTTATCCCATTTCTGAGCCTGTCGGCACGTGTAGAGCATTTTGGGCTCAGTTTCTCTAGAGACTAACTGTGGCCTCCCATGGGGTGGGGACAGGACAGTCTCCCGGCTGCATGGAATGGGATGCCGACCGAGGGACGGGCTCTCTCTTAAAGACTTGCCACCACACCTCTCTTGTCCATGCCAGGCTTCTGGGGTCCCCTCTGCTGCAGGTGCTTCGGGAGTCTCAGTGGTTCTTCAGGGCAAAGCTGGCCCTGACCGTGTGCTGCATGCCCGGAGGTCTGACATCGGTGCTGCTGAGTGGCCTGCCGTGGTTCTCTTGGTTTCCCATCTTGCAAAGAGTCGGTGAACTCTCACCTGCTCTTGTCTCCTCGTCTCTGTGCCCTGTCCTCCTGCGGGGCTTGGGAAACCATAGGTGATAAACACATGAGCCAATCTGCCATCTCCACTGGAGCCAATGCTCTTTCTGTGTTCCCATTGGCCTGCCTAGGACTGAGGTCAGCTCCAGGGTCAGAGGCAGGACTGGAGTTGGGTTCTAACTGAGGCAGAGACAGGGCTTGGGAGAAGAAATCAAGGTGGAGGGCAGAGGCTCCAGGTCTTTGCCAGGCTCACCTCAGAAGTGGGTGTGTCAGGCTGTCCAGAGTGGAGTGCACAGAAGCTGGGGCTTTGACAAGGGCAGGGTGACCAGTCCAGGCTGGCCTCAAAGGCAAGAGCTTGACTGCAGGGCCAGCAGGCGTGTGATGTGGGTGGGCCCTAAGGAGGCTGAGGGAGAGGATAAACTGTGAAGAGCCAGCAGCCCAGAAGCTAAATGCAGGGAGGCAGAGAAGACAGGAGAGATGGAGGCTTGCAGGACCTGGTGGTTGGGGAGGGCCAGTGACCAGGTGTTTAGAAGCAGCACCTCCTGTGATTGGGGCTGAGGGTGAACTCTGCTTTCAAGCAGAGGTGGTTTGTCGTGGGTCTTCCATGATGACACCAGGTCAAGGTAGGCTGTTAGCACTGAGGCCTGTGGGAAGGCGAGGCCCGTGGGCAGAGTCCCAGAATGGGAGGAAAATGAAGACAGCCACTGCAGGGACTTGGGTGTCATTCTGAAGGAAGCCACTTAATGGTAAATGGAGCAACAACATGGTAGCCTTTCCTCTGGGGGAGCCCAGAGACAAGGGGGGTCTGGGGAGGCAGGCAGGCAGGCAGGCAGGTCAGGCCAGGGAGGGGCTGTGCCCAGCAGGGAATGGATGGCACACTCCCTCCCAGAAAGGCTGCTGCAGGGCTCAGCACTCTGAACCTTAAAAGGTTTACCCAACAGAGCCTCCAGATGCTCAGAGTCTTGCAGGCTCAGAACAAGAATTGTCAACTTGCCAAGATGAATCTGTCTCTCGGGGGAGGACCCACACAGAACAAACGTTTGTGAGTGATGTATACAATTTATGTTGAGGCATGAATGTTAGAAGAACTGACTTTTTGCATAGGCATGACCAGAGCATTTTTCTTTCTAGGAAGCAGAAGTTTGCTTGGTAAACATGGAATCGGAACATGGGAATTGGGCCACTGGGATATTCAATTGCGTCAGACCATTGTAGCTGATACTCCTGGACAGAGGGGCTTTGCCAACTGGACAGATATATGAAGTGTTGCTGACCGAGCTCCTTGCTCTGTGTGGGAGGGATCTTGCCAGCTCCAGCCTTGGTGGGTCTCCTTTTTCTGTTTCCAAGCTTAAATAAGCACTTGGCTGTTCTGATTAGCACTTTTAAAAGCTGTGTTAATAAGTTCAATTAAAATAGAAGAATCTCTCATTCTGTCATATCGGGTTTTTTTAATTGCAAACCAATAAAACTTAAATGAACTTGAGCAAAAGTTAATTTATTGGAAGGATATATGGGAGACTGTACTAGGGTTCTCAAGAGAAACAGAGACTGAAGCAGACAGACAGACTGACTTTAACAATGATCTCACACAATTGTGGGGGCTGGCAAATCTGAAATTTGGCCAGCAGGCTGGCAGGCTGAACATTCAGGCGAGTTGATGTTGCAGCTTGAGTCCAAACTCAACAGGACGGCAGGTTGGAAACTCAGGCAGGACTTCTGTGTTGCAGTCTCAAGAATTCCTTCTTCAATTTATCTATCTCCTCTCAAATTTAAGTCCTGGAGGCTGGAAGTCTGAAATCAAGGTGTCAACAGGGTTGGTTCCTTCCAAGGGCTCTGAGGGAAGGGTCTGTTCCAGGCCCCTCTCCTCAGCTTGCAGATGGCCATCTTCACCTTTATGTGGCATTTTCCATGTATATGTTCCTGTGTCCACATTTCCCCTTTCTATAAGAGCACCAGCCATATTGGATCAGGAGCCCACTTACTGTTAACTAATTACATCTGCAATGATCCTAGTTCTAAACGAGGTCACATTCTGAGGTACTGGGGTTAGAACTTCCACATATGAGTTTTGAAGGAACCATCTTAGTTTGTTCAGGCTGCTATAATAAGATACCATAAATTGAGTAGCTTATAAATAGCAGACATTTATTTCTTGCAGTTCTGGAGGCTGGGAAGTCCAAGAACAAGATGCTGGTGGATGTGGTGGCTGGTGAGGGTCTGCTTTCTGACTCATACATGGCACCTTCTAGCTGTGTCCACACTTAGTGGAAGGGGGTATGGATGAGCTCCCTTGGCCCTCTTTGATAAGGGCACTAACCCCATTCACAAGGGCTCCACACCCTTGACCTAATCACCTCCTGAAGGCCCCACGCCTTATACCATCACATTGGAGGATAAAATTTCAACATATGAATTTTGAGGGGACATAAATATTCAGAGCACAGCAAGACAAATTAAACCATAACAGGCCCAGGTGTAGTCCAGGTGCAGTGGTTCACGCCTGTAATCCCAGCACTTTGGGAGGCCAAGGCAGGCAGATCATCAGAGATCAGGAGTTCGGGACCAGCCTGGCCAACATGGTGAAATCCCATCTCTGCTAAAAATACAAAAAGTAGCTGGGTGTGGTGGTGGGCGCCTGTAATCCTAGCTACTTGGGAGGCTGAGACAGGAGAATTGCTTGAACTCGGGAGGTGGAGGTTGCAGTGAGCCGAGATTGCACCATTGCACTCCAGCCTGGAAGACTCCATCTCAAAAAAAAAAAAAAAAAAGAGTTAGCCGGGTGTGGTGGTGCACACTTGTAATCCCAGCTACTCAGAAAGCTGAGAGGCAGGAGAATCACTTGAACCCAGGAGGCAGAGGTTGCAGTGAGCTGAGATCATGCCATTGCACTCCAGCATGGACAAAAAGAGTGAAACTCCATCTCAAAAAAGAAAAACAACAACAACAAAAAAACGCCATAACGGAACATAATTCAAATAATAACAGGAACCAAGTTCAGAGGGGGCTGGAACTCAGGCTTGGGCATGGCCAACACCCAGGATAATTCCAGAGGCTTTGGAGCAGGGATCGCAACCTCTGACTCAGAGCCCAGCAATCAGGGCAGGCAGCTGTCTCTTAGCCCCTCGAGAGGACTGAGGCACCGCAGCCAGTTTCTTTGTCCCTCTTTTCAATAGCCAGACTCCAGGAGGGAGCAGTGACTGACCAGGCTGCGTAGGAGCCTGTCCCTTACCTGCAAGTGGGTGGCAGGGGCAGGGGGCAGGTGGGGAGAGAGGGCCTCGAATGGTGGTCCCACCAGACCCTCTCCTGTGTGGAAGAGGTCATTCCAATTTTGCACCCTGGGATACTGATAGGAAGAGGAAATGCAGGCAGGTAGCGAATGTGGCCAGCCCTGCTTCTTGAGTGACTCTCCCACCTCTTCCTGGATGCTTAGGTGTTGATTCCATGGCCTAATTCTCAGAGAGCACGGGCAGATGTGGATGCTGAGGTGCACAGGTATTGGAGCTGTTGCCCAACGTCTGGCTGGGAGCCAAGAAGCCCAGGTGTCCCTGACAGTGCACCTTGAACCTGGGCCCGCCGTCTTATGTGGAGCAATCGGCCAAGTGTGTGCCGAAGACCTTCCAGTCCAAATGTCTACAGTGGCTGTGTGTGCAGAGAAAGCGCTGGGCTCGGTCCCTGGAGCCGTTTCTCTAGCTCTCACATTTCTTTTTCCCCATCCTCTTGTAAGAAACTAAGGCAGTGCCCTTTCCCGGCTTCAGGGGAAGAGCTGAGGCCAGGTTTCAGGTGGGCCACGGAGGAGAAAGTACTGGGCTCTCGGGACTTCTCTCCCAGGGCCCTAGAGGATGTGGCTGGCATTCCCCCTAGGGACAGCACCCTGCGCTGCCCAGATGCCTGTCCCCTCCTTGATGGGGAACACGGAGCTTTCCTGGGCTGCTGGCCTACCAATGCCAAGAGGCTGGCCCACAGCCCCTCCAGACACAGCCAAGAGCCTTGCCTGGAGCCCAGTGTCAGCTGCAGGGCCTGGGACATTTCCGAGGAATCAGAGGCAAGGATGCCAGAGCTACGAGGAGCCTTAGATTCAGAAACAAGGCTCAGAGAAGGCAGCACCTCAGATAACTGGCTCAGAGAAGGTGGCCCCTCAAACGCTGCACAGCCAGCCCCAGGCTGATCCCATGCCAAATCCCTGTTCCCTCAACATGGCTCAAACTGGAGTCCCTCTGGATCTGTTTGGGAGTCCAAAATTATTTAGAAAGACTTTTTTTTTTTTTTTTTGAGACAAAGTCTCTCTGTCACCCAGCCTGGAGTGCAGTGGTGTGATCTCGGCTCAATGCAACCTCTGCAACCTCTGCCTCCTGGGTTCATGCGATTCTCCTGCCTCAGCCTCCCAAGCAGCTGGGATTACAGGCATGTGCCACCATGCCCAGCTAATTTTTGTATTTTCAGTAGAGTCAGGGTTTCACTATGTTGGTCAGGCTGCTTTCGAACTCCTGACCTCAAGTGATCCGCCCGCCTTGGCCTCCCAAAGTGCTGGGATTACAGGCATGAGTCACCACGCCCGGCCTAGAAAGACTTAATTGTGAGTTTGTAATCCAAGAAAATAAATCTAAAAAGAATACTATTTGCTTATTCTGATCAGGCCGACAAACCCCCAGGAGCTGTCTGGGCTCCCAAGACCTGAGCTGCCTTGAGGTTGGAACTGTTTTAACTACGGCAGGCTCAGTGAGAGAAGAGCCGAGAAGCCGGCGACGACATGGCCCAGGGATGTGGTGGGGGAAGGGGCTGCAGTTCTGCGGGCTCTGAGGTCTGCGGGTTCCAGACAGCCTCAGGCAGCTCGCAGCCCTGTGATTCATGCCTCATCTTGGCTCAGCAAATGGAGCCCCAAGCCAGAGGCAGAATTTTCTAGGCTGTGTGGCAAGAGAACTGAGTGTGCGGAGGTTGGGGGTGGGGGCTTCTGCCAAGATAGGAGGCTCTGACTTCCCCAGGGCAGCAGGAGAGCCAGGTGCCTGGATGAAGCAGGGAGCAAGGCTCCGGGAGGTGGGCCCCGGGGCAGCCCTGCTGAAGCCCACCGTTTCTCCTGGGTCTGAAATGAGTCTATTTCCCTGAAAAGCAAACTGGAAGACTCACAAAGAGGAAACGGGCCTCGAACACACACACGGCACCCTCTGCCCTAGATCCCCATGTCTGCCATGTTTCTACATCCTCCCCGGGTGCTGTCTGCCCCCACCCACTGAGAGGCCAGCTTCCGGGAGAGCTCAGGGTCAGGCAGTGCCCAGGAAGCCCACCACAGCAGCCCTTTGAGCCCAGGGTGGAGGTTGAGTCTCTGTGCTGTTGGTCACGAATTCTGTTTGGGCTTCTGCGAAGGCATGCCTTGCCCCGCCCTGGAGGTGTCGACAGAGTGGCCGGGAAATTTAGGTCAGCTCTGGGCAAGTCCCTGCAGGTGGGATCTAGTGACAGGAGAGACGGGCCTGGCTGTCAGCCGTGAGCTCTGCTGGGGACTGAGCACCCACTCGGATGACACATCCCCATTTCCTGGGCCCGCCCAGAAACCCTTCCCCTGGAGACAATGCGCTGTGAGTGGGCGTGGGAGCTGAGGAGCCCCTGGACCCAGCACTGCTGTCCGACTGCAGGCTGCCGCTTTGCCCTCATTCCCTGGGGCCTGGACCGGCTCGGCTCGTGGGGCCCCCTGCCTCTGATTCTTCAGTCAGTGACTTCTCTGAAGTGCCGGTCCAGCTGACCTGGGACCCTCTGTGGGATCTCTGCTCAAAGCACAGGCCTCCTGCTCAAAAGCCCCCTCCTCGGAGAGGCCTTCCCTGGCTCCTCAGAGCACTCCGGCCCCTCCACCCCCACCAGCTGCACCGTCCCTTGGGATGTTCACAGCACAGACACAGGCACAGTCCCGGAGGGGGTGGCTACGTTGTGTTTGTTTGATGAGGAATAAATAAATGATGTTGGGTAAACCCTCCCAGTTAGTAGACTCCTCCTCTCACCCCCTGAAAGCTTAGACTAAGGGTCTCTTAGGCTTCTGCCAGTGAGGAGTCCAAAAGGGACAAGAGGCTTCAAAAAGAGGACAAGCCCCCAGTGGACTCCACTCAAGCTGGGCTCCGAGAGGCTTAGGAGGCTTCCAGGTTCCACTGGCAGTGGGTATGAAAATCCCTTTGCTACAAGTATTCTGAAGCCATGCCTGAATTTCTCCCATTCATTCACTCATTCATTCACTCTTCATTCATTCATTCATTCATTCATTCATTCATTCATTCATGCCTGCCTGCTCATCTATGCTTGAGTGGAACAGGCCCAGCTGATGTCCTGTGTGTACCCGGCACAGCTGCCACAGCTCCCAGCCCATCCACTCTGCCAGCCCACCTGGCCCCACAGGGCCAGGCCTGCAGGTGTCCTCTCCCAGGCAGGGGGCAGAGGAGGCAGCTCACTTCAAAGGGCCCCTGGCTTTGCCTGGGTCACAGTCTGGAGCTCCCCACTAAGAGCCGAGAAGCGTGGCCCTACAGAGGGTCCCAAAGCCTGAGGAAGGGAAGATAGGGAACTGCCCAGAATTGGGTAGCACTACTTCCCCATTTTACAGACGAGGAAACTACAACTTAGAGAGAAGAGGTTTCTGGCCCAAAGTCACACAAAGTCAAAATTGGACCCTGGTCAACATGGAAGGGGAGGGAGTGGAAAAGAGATGGCAGGGGAATGGAAGGGAAGGAAGAGAAAAGAAGTCTCTGGAATCGGCATGGGAAATGAAGAGACTCCCCCAAGGCCCTGTCCTCATTTACCCTCTGCGCCTGGCCCTTCCCTGCCCTGCCGGCTGGATGTCCAGGGACCCACCCAGCCCGACCTGCTCTCTGCCGCGCTGCTCACACTCGGCTGCTGTGCGCTCCTGCCCTCTGGTGGCAAGATCTGGAAGCGCGTTGTCACTGCATCCCAGCACCTCTAGAGGGGAAACTAGGAGCAAGTCAGTTCACCACCCACTGTGTGCAAGACACTGAGCTGGAGACCTAGGGAGGAGGGAACACAGCCCCGTTTCTGAGAGTGCAAAGTTTAGGGGACAAGACAGACAGGCAAACAGACCACGGCAACACAATGAGATAGGGACTTGGCTGGGGGAAGCTCAGGTTGTTTTAAACCTAAAACAAGCAGCCCCCAAATCTATGAGGAAGAGCCTGCCTAGCAGAAGGTCCCACCATGCCCAGGAACATTTGGGCAGCACCTGCTCTGAGGGCTCTGGGCTGCCTGGCTGGGGTGGGACAGACCCAGAGTCCTTTCTGATCTGTCTGCAGCGAGAGCCCTGGAGCCAGAGGGGACCCGAGGAGGTTTGCAGGCTGTGGTCTGGGCAGGAAGGAAGGGCTGAGGTCCCCACCCTTCTTCTCCCTTTCTTAACCTAGTGCAGACCCAGCTGAAGCCAGCCTCACAGGGTTAACAAGAACTGCGGACAGTCATATAGCTATAATTAAGCATTCATCAGGCTGTACTTTGACCCACTTCCTTGTAACCAAAAGTCACGTAGCCCTAGGTACGGACAGTTCACATCCCCATGGTTCCTATTGATAGGATCTCTGACCTTAGAATCATAGGAATTTTGTTTAAGAATTGCTTAAGCAGATCCTGAATTCCATCAGAACAGCTGATGCCAACCAGCTCGAAGACCCCCACAGAGGAACGGAATCCGCGTGACAGTGAGGTTTCTTCATCTCCTTGTCCCGTGACTGCACTCTTCGACCAATCAAGGACCTCCACACTTTGACCCACTTCAAAACCCTTAAAAATTCGAGCCCCGAACTCCCTGGGGAGATGATGGATTGGGGGTTTCCTCCCATCTCCTCACTTGGTGGCCCTGCATTGATTAGACCTCTCTCTCTGCTGCAATGCGGCATCTTGCATATTGACTTCCTGCACGGGTCAGGCCATGAACCTATTACGGTTCCAGAGCTTCAGGCTGGAGAGGCAGAGTGACAAGAGGGTTCAGTAGAAGGCTGGGAGCCAGACTGCCTGGGGTCTTAACAGCAATTGCGTCCTCTGGGCTTCAGTTTTCTCTTGTGTGAAAAGGTAATAAGAACAGTGCCCACCTCTGAGGGTCGCCCTGAGGGTTAAACACACTGATACAGAGAAAGTGGGCAGAATGGTGTTTGGCCCATGGTCAGGGCTGATCATATCTGCTCTTGCCAATAATGCCAACTCACCAGCATCCAGCCCTCCTTTCTTTGGAAGAGTTTCCCATCTCACTCTCATGGCAGATAGTACCACCCAGAGTAGGTGCAGAGGCCCAGAGAGAGGAGGTGTCTCACGTGAGGTCACTGGGCGAGCAGCAACTGTGTTGAGCCTGGCACCCAGGCCTCTGGGCCTAGAGGTTGCAGCCTGGATTCCCAGCCCCCTTGTGTACCTTCTGGGCATCCCTGACTTCCGAGTCCCTGAACTGCCCTCCTCAGTGAGGAGTCTACTTTGCTACTTATTAACAGACTCTCTCACAGGACTGCTGGGCAGGTGCAGCCAGTTTCAGAGTCGCAGCATCCATAGCATTTGCTGAAGCATTGGCTACAGGCAACACCTGTATTGCATTTGTCTTCCTGGAAGATAATGAGCTCTAAAGCTTCACTGTGAAAAGTGTGGTCCCTGAGCCAGCAGCATTGGCCTCACCTGGGAGCTGGTTAGAACTGCACAATCATAGGCCCCTCCCAGACCTACAGAACTGGAATCTGCAGTTTAATGAGAGCCCCAGGCAGTATGTGTGCACCTTACCGATTGCCAGGGAAGGGTGTCTTAAGCAAATGGACTAAAGTGGGAGAATGAACTGTAGATGTGTCCACCGAGCCTGCCCTGGGCAGCACATGTGCCGGCACCCGTGCCAGGGTCTGGGAATTCTTGGGGGAGTCGGCCGAGGTCAGCGCCTTCAGGGAGTCCCCAGCTCCTGCTGTTAGCAGGTCTTCACGCGACCGCACATGCTGGCCAGACAGTGCTGGGAGGGAAGGAATAAAGGCCACGGGGGCCTGTCTGCTCGGAAGAGTCAGAATCTGGGCTGAAACTTGAGGGAAGAACCGGATAGGCCAGGCAGACGTGGGGGAGGGCCTTCCAGAAAGGGGACTCCCTGTACCAATTCCTGAGCTGGGTGTTTTCAGAGAAATGGGTACTTTGCAGACCTTACCCTAATACTTCCAGGTGCTGAGGCAAGAGTAGAATTGGAGGCCCACCTACTCTAAGTCTAAATATCTGCAAGTCATATAGCTGACAAACTATTAAATAAAATGTGTTCCAGCCTCTTATAAATATGCCTTCACAAGGATCTGGAAGGCCAGCTTTAAATTTAGTATTTTTGGACTCCTGGGAGTTCGGCACTACAACACAATGGTGTGGGGTGGGCCAGCCCCACCTGCCCCCTTCTGCTCTGTACCCTAAGTATGCACACATTCATGCATACATGCTGTGTCCCAGCCTGCCATCGTCCACATCCCCTTGTCCCACGAACAGCTGCCCCATGGGATATGCAAACCAGGTCAGCCTCAGGAGGGCAGACCCTGGGAAGAAGTTCAAGAAGGCCCTGGAAATGTGGGGAGGAGCATGGGCTCTGGGAGGGCACACCCCTTGACCTCATGAGAGGACCCCAGCTGAAGGGGCTCTGTGACGCTTAAAGTATGACACACCCTCAATTTTAAGACACATTTCAGAGACACATGTACTATATTTGCTGTCCAAAAGCCTTCTGGTTCTCTGACCATAAGAATTTGTTTAAACCTAATGTTTCATTGAATCTCTACATCAATTTGGGAATTATTAATAATAGGAACAATTTAAAATCTTCCCCATGTTGAATCTTGCAATCCATACACATAGGACGTCTTTCTGTTTATTTAGTTCTTTAATTTCTTTCAGTGAGGTTTTGTAATTTCCACGTAAAAGCCTTGCATCGTTTTGCTAAGCATTTTTATATTTGTTCCCCCTTTTACATCTTGAAAACCCTCTGTGAAGGCAGCATGGCGGTCATTATTAACCACACTGTGTAGAAGGTCAGAGAGGTTAAGAAACCTCAATTAGCAAGGGGCAATGCTGGGACTGGAGCTCTCATCCTCAGCCCCCTGGCAGAACCGGGCCTGGCCTTGCTCTGGTGAGGGTGACTTGTTCTAGCCCCTGCTATGTGTGTCCCTCTCCACCAGGACGACTGCTGAGCAGGTCCCAGCCTCCCTTCCCCCACTGACTGGAGAGAGGGGCTGGATGCTCGGGGGGTCCTCCAGGCAGGAGCAGGCAAGGGAGGGGAGCCTCTGGTTGTAACCAGGGATTCTCAGCCTTGGCTTTAATGGAAATCACCTGAGCGCTTTAAAAACTACCAGTGTCCAGACTCCACCTCAGACCAATTCAAGTCAACCTCCTACAGCCAGGGCCAGGGAACCTGTGATGATCCAAGTTGTTTAGCTGAGTGAGCAGCCAGGCTGGGAACCACAGGTGAGATGTGGGAGTTGGCTCAGTCAGTCCTGACCCATCCACGCCACCGGAGCAAGCGTTGAGGAAGGCAGGGCAGCCTGGGAGGGGAGTTCAGGTTTTATCTATTTAGAGTGTAGGTCTCTGTTGCTCAGGCTGGAGGGCAGTGGCTCAGTCATGGCTCACTGCAGCCTCAAGCTCCTGGGCTCAGGCAATCCTCCTGCCTCAACCTCTCAAGTAGCTGGGGGGACCACAAGCACGCGCTACCACTCCTGGCTAATTTTATTTTTCGTTTTTGTAGAGACAGGGTCTTGCTATGTTTCCCAGGTTGGTCTCAAACTCCTGGCCTCAAGTGATGCTCCCGCCTTGGCCTCCCAAAGCACTGGGATTACAGGCATGAGCCACTGTGCCCAGCCCAGAGCCCGGACTTTAGGCTTACACTCCAGGCTGCAGTCCCAGGTGTGAATCTCCAGGTGTGAGTCCCAGGTAAGTTCTGTGACCTTGGCTACTTCATGTCTCTGAGCCTCAACCTACCTATCTGTAAGACAGAGACAATAACACCTGCCTTGAGAGGTGGGGTCTGGTCCTCCGAGCCTAGGCTGGCCTGTGTAGGGTACAGCAAGGTGACTGTGCCAGCCTAGACTGGGCCTGGACTTTACAAGGATTGGTGGTTTCCACCTTGGTCTCTTGAAGCCAAGTTCAACCCTCAGGTGTGGAGAGGCCCTGAGAGTCCATGGAGAGGGACAAGGACCCAGTCACTTCCTCGTCCTGCTGAGCAGCCAGCATGAGGGCAGCTGTCTGAGACCTTCCAGGCCAGCCCCTCCGCCAGCTGCACACCACTTAGTGACCCCAGTCAATGCCACAAGGAGCAGAAAATTGCTCAGTCCAGCCCCACTGAATTCCTAACCCACAACATTGTGAGACTGAATAAAACGGGGCCGTGTGTTACGTGACTGGAGGGAACTGTGACATCTGTGATTGAGTCACCTTCACATCTCATACATCAGAAACCAAAGACAGGTGTGTTGACCTTTGTCCTCTGGGCACTTGCAGGCTCCCCTCCTGCCCGATGGGATGCGCCAGGGTTGTGTCCCCAACTCTGCAGCTGGCTGTTGTGGCCACAGCTGTTCAGATAGGCACCCCGGGCCCAGCTCCACTTCTGGCAAGTCTCTCCTCATTGTTCTGGGTTCATCCTGTCTGTTAGTGGGGAAGGCCTGTCCACCTTAATATTACAGAGGCTGACTGCATGGTGGGCACTGAGCTAGGCCCAGGGCACTGGGGGGCCACAGCTTGGAGAAAAACAGATGCAAACCCTCCCCCTAGAGCTTGTAACCGTGTGAGACGGACTGACGTTAAACAGGTAAAATGTAAGTACAGATGGACGCCAAAGAAGACAACAACACACTGGGGCCTTCTCGAGGGTGGAGGGAGGGAGGGAGGGCGGCGAGAAAGAAAAAACCACCTACTGTGCTTATTACCTGGGTGGCAAAATAATCCATACACCAAGCCCCCATGACACGCAATTTGCCTATATAACAAACCTGAACATGTACTCCTAAACCTAAAATACAAGTTTTTTAAGAAGTGGACAAAATGCAAATAACGCCACCATTGGCAGCTCTGAGAAGGTTGTGAAGGAAGGGCGATCTGGGGCTGAGTCTCACGGGGGCCTCGACCTGCTGCCCCAGGGGTGAGGGTGTCAGGGTGGGCTGGGCTGAGCTGAGAAAGGGGAACAGGGTTACTGGGTAGAGGGCAGAGAGTGTCCTAGGCCAGGGGAAGAGGGAGCTCAAAAGCAGTGAGGGATGGAGGAAGATGGGTGACCGGTCCAACACACACAGAGGGGAGATCAGAGATGGGGGAGAGGGTGGCAGGCAGAGCGGGAGGCCCTGCAGTGCGGTGGGCAGGGGGTGCCCTGGTGAGGGCTTGGGCCTTGGGCTTAAGGACAACAAGAAGCCATTGAAGAGCTTTAGGCCGGGGCGACCACGGCAGGTCTGTGCTCCTGACTGTCCTCTGGGTGGTCAAGGTCAAATCAGAAGGTAGATGAGAAATTGCTTTGAAAAGTACAAAATGGAATACAAATATAAGGTGCGAGTGGTATGAGGGACAGATGTCAGTGAAGGGCACGGGCTGGGAGTCCGGGGAGCTGGTTCTCCACTTAGATGCACCCCACCCCTCCCTGTGGACCTCAGCATTCCCATCTGTGGAGTGGGCGTGGCTCCAGCTCAGAAGCGCCTCACCTGGACCAGGTCTCCATGTTGGCTGCACCTGACCTCACATCCCCAGCTGCGAATAGGCTGCTTACCTGACTGCCTGTGAGGAGAGTGAGGCTGAGGGGCAGCAACTTACCCGAGCAGAGGGAGCAGGCTCAGCCCCTCACTATTTCCTGGCTCAGAAGGAGGAACAGGCAACACGCAGGGCCACAGACTTGGCCGCACTGCTGGGCTTGAGCCTGGCTCTGCCACTCCCGAGCTGTGGCACTTTGGGCTGGTTAATTAACATCTCCGTGCGTATGCGTCCTCTTTTGTGCCATGATGACAATGGTGCCTGTGTCAGTCTGTTCTCACACTGCTATAAAGAAATACCCGAGACCAGTCAAGGAAAGAGGTTTAATTGACTCACAGTTCTGCATGGCTGGGGAGGCCTCAGGAAACTTAGAATCATGGTGGAAGGAGGAGCCAACACCTTCTTCACAGGGCGGCAGGAGAGAGAGAGAGTGAGCAAAAGCAGGGAAAACTGCCCTATAAAACCATCAGGTCTCATGAGAACTCACTTGCTATCAGGAGAACAGCAGGGGGAAACTGTCCCCATGATCCAGTCACCCCCCACCCTCCCCACGTGGGGATTACAATTCAAGATGAGATTTGGGTGGGGACATAGAGCCAAGGAAGGTCAGTGCCCACCTCACAGGGCTGATGCAGAGTTTAACTGAGAGCAGCAGCTGGCACCTAGGAAGCCCCGCGTGTGCTGTTTGTCCCTTAGCCTCAGGGGGCAGGGAGGCCTTCCCCTCATGGAGAGCATGAGTCCTGTGGGGGCCCCGAGCTCTGTCCGGATGCAGCAGCTGCAGGTTATTTATTTTTGAGACAGTCTCCTCTGTCACCCAGGCTGAAGCGCAGTGGCACCATCTCAGCTCACTGCAGCCTCTGCCTCCCAGTTCAAGCAATTCTCCTGCCTCAGCCTCCTGAGTAGCTGGGACTACAGGTGCGTGCCACCACACCTGGCTAATTTTTTCTATTTTTAGTGGAGATGGGGTTTCACTGTTTGCCAGGATGGTCTCGATCTCCTGACCTCGTGATCTGCCCGCCTTGGCCTCCCAAAGTGCTGGGATTACAGGCGTGAGCCACCGCGCCCGGCCACTGCAGGTTATTTTTAACTGAGGAGGCTCTGCCAGCCCTTGCTGTGAGGTTATTTTGAGCACAGCTGCGGCTGTGCTGGGCTGTCCGGATGTTTTTGAGGAGGAAGCAGGTCCGCAGTGCGGAAGAGCCTGGGAAACCCCCTATGTCCAGAGGGTCCCCCCTTCTCCACTCTGGAAACAACAAAGCCATCTGAGGGTGGTCAAGGCGAGGCAGGATTTCCCCTTTTGGGGAGGGGCCCTCACTTCCCCCAAGGGCTTGTATATCCCGAAGCCAGGTTCGCAGGTCTGGCTGGGGGCTGGTTAGGCAGCGGAAGATCATCTTCCATGGGAATCCCAGGGCACTGTGTCCCCACCACCTTTTATTTTATTTTTTTTGCCACAGAGTCTCGCTCTGTCACCCAGGCTGGAGTGCAGTGGCACAATCTCGGTTCACTGCAACCTCTGCCTCCTGGGTTCAAGCGATTCTCTTGCCTCAGCCTCCTGTGTAGCTAGGACTACAGGTGTGTGCCACCACACTCAACTAATTTTTGTATTTTTATTAGAGATGGGTTTCACCATGTTGGTCAGGCTGGTCTCGAACTCCTGACCCCAAGTGATCCACCCACCACGACCTCCCAAAGTGTTGGGATTACAGGCATGAGCCACTGTGCCTGGGCTGTCCCTACCTTCTTTAGGTGTCACTCAGATGCCTGGACCCTGGAAACCTGGGTTGTGTCCACTCAGCCCTCCTAGCTCCACGGCTGGAGAAGGCTCAAAGTCTTGCCCAAGTTTGCCGAGTTCCCAGGACCGCTGCAGCCTCTGGGCTCTGTTCCCTCAGGAATTCTGCCCAGGTGTAAATCTCAGCCCCTCTCAGTGCTTCTCTCCTGACAAGAAGACCTCCCTGGGCAGCACTGACCACCTCCACACTGTGCAGTGGGCACAGCTGCCCAGTACTGAGGGCTCTTCCCCACCGCCCAGCCTTCTCCATCATCCCGTGCTCTGTCTCCCCCTGTTACCCTCCTCCCCCATCTCAGGGGCCTCCTCTACCCCTGCCCTGCTTAGGAACAAAAATAGCAGATTGTCCCCTTGGTCTTATGCAGAACAGCCCCCACCGTCCTGGAGGCCCAGAGCCTTGACCTGTCACCCACACCAGGCGCCACTCACAGTATTTTCTGGACAAAGACACTCCTCTCTCCCTTGCCAAGAAGAATTCTGGTGCCAGTTGCTAAAGAGATGTTTTTAAAAAATCCTTCTCACCTTGTTATATAAGTACTTGGATTTAACCTTTGTATATATTTAGTCCTTTGACTTCTCATCCTATTTGGGAGACTGCATTTGGAGACAACAAAACATAAGATAAGGGCTGTTCTCTGATTTTTGGCTGCTGTTGCCAAAATGTCCCTCTCCACCTCTCTTCATGCATTTTTTTTTTTGAGACAATCTCACCCTGTCACCCAGGCTGAAGTGCAGTGGTGCCATTTCTGCTCAATGCAACATCCATCTCCCAGGTTCAAGTGATCCTCCTGCCTCAGCCTCCTGAGTAGCTGGGAGGCGCCTGCCACCATGCCCAGCTAAATTTTGTATTTTTCTTAGTAGAGATGGAGTTTCACCATGTTGGCAAGGCTGGTCTTGAACTCCTGACCTCAAGTAATCCTCCTCGGCCTCCCAAAGTGGAGGATCACAGGCATGAGCCACCGCACCTGGCCAAAGGTGACATCTTAGACCTTACAGTGTAGAATCTGAGCACCTTAGAGTCTTAGAGATGACCTGGTCTGATGTTTGATTGATTGATTGATTTTTTTTTATTGTGGCAAAATGTATGTGTGTGTGTATATATATATACGTGTATCTATACACGTATATATATATGTATACATACATGTATATATATATACACACACACATATACATATATATACACACACACACACAGGATTTACCAGTTTAACCATGTTTACAAGTGTCCTGTTCAGTGGTGACTGATTTTTGTCGCTGAGTAAACATTTGTTCAGATGAAATCTTGAGCAGAAGCCTGATATAAAACTGATCACCATACTGCCAGCCCTGGAACCACAGCCTGAGCAAAGGCCAGCTCTTCCACCAGAGGCCAGGAGCAGGGCTGCGGAGTGCAGGTGCAGGGAGCGGGGGCTACGGCAGTGTGGCCTGTCCTCGCTGCAGCCTCATCTGGCTTCCAAGACCTCTTGGCTCCCCATCAGGCATTTGGTCCCCTCATTCTTCCCCTCTAGGACAGTCCCTGATATCCCAAGGGACCTGTGTCCTGCTTCCAGGTGCCTATCCGGTCCCCCAGACCCAAGGGGAAATCACTGCAGATGGGCAGGTGATGGGCAAGGGGGCTCTGAGCTGAGCCCGCCAGACAGGCCTAGAGAGGGAGATGTTGTTTAAAGAAATAAGAGGTGGGCCGGGCTCACACCTGTAATCCCAGCACTTTGGGAGGCCGAGGTAGGTGGAACACTTGAGGTCAGGAGTTGGAGATCAGCCTGGTCAATAAGGCAAAACACCGTCTCTACTAAAAACACAAAAATTAGCTGGGGTGTGGTGGTGCGTGCCTGTAATCCCAGCTACTTGGGAGGCTGAGGCACAAGAATCGCTGGAACCCGGGAGGTGGAAGTTGCAGTGAGCTGAGATCATGCCACTGCACTCCAACCTGGGTGACAGTGTGAGACTCTGTCTCAAAAAAAAAAAAAAAAAAAAAGACAAATACGAGATGACAAGTTCAGTGGAAAGAAGTCCCCACTGCTGGGACAGCCACTCCACAGAGCACACTTCTGAAGACTTGGCGCCCTTGTGGACCCCAGGCAACCGGGGAAACTGCATGCCCAAAACCTGGTGGGGTCTGGTTGTGGTTACACCCAGGAGAATTTCCTCTCCCCTTCAGGAATGCTTAGATTGAATGGGGACAAAGCAGCTCCACTGAACATCCATAAAACCTTGAGACATGGCCTGTTCCATGGTTCTCCCTATTTCTCATGAGTGAAAAGTAGGCCTTCTGTGAGGCCCTTTGGTCCTCTGCCCCTGCCCAGCAGATAAGCAGACACAAATGAGGGAGGGGCCTTCAGGAACAAGGACAGGGGGCAGAGAGAGAGGGGACTTTAAAGAGGGTCCTATGACCTTGTAGGCAGGCTGGGCCTGCAGGAGACAGCTAACATGAGAAGGAGGACCCTCACCTGGGGATGTGGCACTCAAGTCCCCTAGGCGGCCTCCGTGCCCTCCACATGCCCTCACGAGCTTTTGAGCACACAAGGGGTCCTGGCTGGGCCCTGCTTTGTTCCTTTAGGTTTCCTGGAGGCCCAGGAGGGCCTGAGCTGCCTCGGCCTTTCCCACTACCCCAGGGTGCTGGACATGGGATCACAGTCCATTTGAGCAGTGGCCAGAGTAAGCGACAAGAAGGCACGGGCTCATGGAGCCTGGCCTCCGCTCTCCAGCCCATGGCGGACTGCCCTGGTGGCTGGGCACTTGTTTGGGCTTCCATGTGGTCAGTTGTAGTCAATAGGACACTGGCAAACACGGGCAGAGCTGCGGGGCCCCTTGTTGCTGAGGAGGGCCTGCTGACGGCCAGTGTGTGTCCTTCCAGCTGGGCCTGGGGCTGCTGTGCCATGCTCTGCTGGCGTGGTCTGAAAGATGAGGCTCAGGGCTCTAGGTTTGCTTGGAAGATTCTGGTAAATGCTGCTATGATTGACTTTATGTAAAGACCAGACATACTTTAAAAAGGGAAAAAGAACTAGCCAAGAGACTTTCCGCCTGAGTCGAAGAGTCAAGTCAGGGAGCAGCTTGGAGCGATGCCACAGGTGGGGAGCCCACGATCCCCTGCCATGGAGGTCAGGCCCCTGAAGTTACAAACTCTTGGCAGCACTTGATAAACATGTGGCAGTTCTGCCTTTTCACTTGATGATGAGGGAGAACCTCTAGAAAAAAAATAGATAATGACCCCCAAACCTTCATTCCATGTGGTGACGTGGACTCACCTTGGTGCACAGACAGGACCCCTGAATGATGCATTGAAATCCCACAAATCCCAAGTGACTGATGCCAAACACATCCTGAAAGCATCTCCGAATAATATGGAATGACTTCTAAAGAAAATACCAATGGTTTGGTTAAAAACCTTCATCTTCACTCTTCTTCAGGAAAACCTGAAACTGCTGAATTAGTTCCTTTTGCATTGCTATGAAGGAATACCTGAGGCTGGGTAATTTATAAAGAAAAGAGTTTGGGAGGCCAAAGCAGGCGGATCATGAGGTCAGGAGTTTGAGACCAGCCTGGCCAACATGGTGAAACCCTGTCTCTACTGAAAAAAAAAAAAAAATTAGCCAAGCATGATGGCGGGCACCTGTAATCCCAGCTACTTGGGAGGCTGAGGCAGGAGAATTGCTTGAACTAGAAGGTGGAGGTTGCAGTAAGCTGAGATCTCACGACTGCACTCCAGCCTGGGTGACAGAGCAGGACTCTGTCAAAAAAAAAAAAAGAAAAGAGGTTTATTTGGCTCACAGTTCTGCAGGCTGAACAGGAAGCACAATGCCAGCATCTGCTGCTGGTGAGGCTTCAGGAAGCTTCCAGTCATAGTGGAAGGTGAAGAGGGAGCTAGTGTGTCACATGGCAAGAGCAGATGCAAGAGAGAGAGGGGAGAGGCCAGGCTCTTTTAAACAATGAGATCTGGTAGGAACTCATAGAGTGAGAACTCAGTAATTACTGCAAGGACAGCACCGAGCCATTCATAAGGGATCCGCCTCCAAGACCCAAACCCCTCCCTCCAGGCCCACCTTTAACACAGGGGATCACATTTCAACATGAGATTTGCAGGGAGGAAACATCCAGATCAGGCCGAGCACGGTGGCTCACACCTGTAATCCCAGTATTTTGGGAGGCCGAGGTGGGTGGATCCCCTGAGGTCGGGAGTTCAAGACCAGCCTGGCCAACATGGTGAAGCCCCGTCTCTACTAAAAACACAAAAAGTAGCCAGACGTGGTAGCTGGTGCCTGTAATCCCAGCTACTTGGGAGGCTGAGGCAGGAGAATCACTTGAACCCAGGAGGCAGAGGTTGCAGTGAGCCGAGATCAAGCCACTGCACTCCAGCCTGGGCAACAGAGCAAAACTCCATCTCAAAAAACAAACAACCCCAAAAAACATCCAGATCATACCAACTGTTCTCCCCAGCAACTACAGCACAGAAGGCGAGAGGACAGGAACGAAGGCATGAAGGCACGGAGAGAAGGCTTGGAAACCAGAACATACACATGGGACAGGATGCGGTGACAGAGAGCCCGTAGAGACCTCTGACTGAACGGTGCTGGAGATAAGCTGTCATGCTCGCTTTAGAGAAGATCGCAGCTTGGAATCAGACAGAAAGAGGGCATTGGAAAATGGAGACCAAGACAATCCGTCAGAAAATGATTTGAAGAAACGATCAATGCGGTTAGCTTAGACGATTCTTTAAGAAGGCTTGAGGGAGAAAAGCCAGATAAAAGCCACGTGAAGAAAATCAAACAAACGAAGCGCTTCCAGTTAAAATGAAGAGTCTGCAAACTGAGCCAGCATCTTTGCAGTCTGCAAGGCCACAGCTTGCAAGTGAGACTCAGAGGCTTTAGGCGAAACTCCCCAACCTGCCTGCCCTCCATAAGAACATCAGGAGAAACTCGCAGAAAAGTCATCGAAGAGGAAATTTACTGCTTAGAAATGGAGAAGACACTTTCCAGTGCGCCTGAAAGCGTCAGCCACACACCCGAGAAGCGCGACTCTGCAGAAAGATGCCCAAGACCTTGGGAAGAACCTGGAGGGAACCGCCTCCTCCTACGGAAACCACTCAAGAAAGGTGGCTGGAGGAGGCGGAGCTTGTAGTGAGCCGAGATCGCGCCGCTGCACTCCAGTCTGGGCGACAGAGCGACTCCGTCTCAAAAAAAAAAAAAAAAAAAAAAAAAAAAAAAAAAAAAAAAAAGGTGGCTGGCAGCTCTTTCCACGGAGAAAAAGCTCATTAAACTAAGAAATGAAAGTGACTGCAGTAGAGAGAAACTGGGGGAAGCGGAGTTTAAGTTCTAGCATTTCCCGAAGGGCCCTTTGTCCCTGCACGGCCCTGGATGACTGGGGACCTGGGCATCATCAGGTCCCCAGGGAGGAGGTGGGCCAAGCTGTGAGGGTTCTCAGACCCAGAGCCACATGCAGGCATAACTCAGCGTTCACAGCAGCTGGCCCCGCAGCAGAGGATGTTTGCCTGTTTTTTCCCTTTAAAAGTAATTTTGAGCTGGGTGCGGTGGTTCACGCCTGTAATCCCAGCACTTTGGAAGGCCGAGGTGGGCGGATCACCTGAGGTCAGGAGTTCAAGACCAGCCTGGTCAACATGGTGAAACTCCATCTCTACTAAAAATACAAAAATTAGCTGGGCGTGGTGGCGCATGCCTGTAATTCCAGCTACTTGGGAGGCCGAGGCACAAGAATCGCTTGAACCTGGGAGACGGAGGTTGCAGCGAGGCGAGATCACACCACGGCACTCCAGCCTGGGTGACAGAGCAAGACTCTGTCTCAAAAAAACAAAACTGTATTTCCTAAAATAGTGTTCTTTATATATTTGATAACTTTTTGAAAAAGAGATGAGGTCTCGCTCTGTCGCTAAGGCTGAAGTGCAGTGGTACCATCATAGCTCACTGTAACCTCAAACTTCTGGGCTCAAGAGAACCTCTCGCCTTAGCCCCCTGAGTAGCTGGAACTGCAGGCATGTGCCACCACACCCAGCTAACTTTTTTGTTTTTTGTAGATACAGGGTCTTGTTATGTTGCCCAGGCTGGTCTCGAACTCCTGTGCCCAAGGAATCCTTCTGTCTGCCTCAGAATCCCAAAGTGCTGGGATTACAGTCATGAGCCACTGCGCCTGGCCCATGTACTTGATGATTTTAATATAATCCTTGTAAATACATTTTTTTCATTGGCCCTCTGGAATGAAATAGTTAAGTATGGTAATTTGATTGAGACAAAAGATCCACTGTTGTACTTAATCTTAGCCAAAAGGCCGAGAAGTGATAAAAGGTCCTCTATGGCTTAAACCATAATTGAACTTTGACATGCCCAGATGGAGACAGGAGAAACCATAAAGAACATTTCTATATGCTATGCACTGTTATCAGAACTACATAAAACACCCTAATATTTACCTCAAAAGAGTTTTGCAAACCGTACCAAAAAAAAAAAACCCAAAAGATACTCCTAACTGAACCTATCAGTAGTTTTATTCATTTTTCAACAAATTCATAGGCTAAAGGAGTTAACATTTTCCTACCATTACTTTCTTGTTTTAAGTTTCTTTTTTAAAAATAAACATTATTCTGCTTATAGTATTCTTTGTCACTTAAATGCTTAAAAATTGTATACAATAGAAGAGTTCCCTAGAAAAAAAAAATAAATATCATTTTCAGGCCCACAGTGTCCGCTGAGGGTGCCATGGAGTCCTTCAAGGGCCTTTCCCCAGGTTTAATATAATCCTTCCAGTTGGAGAAACAGAGAAAAAGTAATTTTCTAAAGGAACACAGCAAATACAAGCATACCTTGGATATATTACAGGTTCAGTTCCAGACTACTGCACTAAAGCAAGTATCGTAAAGTAAGGCCCACGATGTTTTTGGTTTCCCAATGCATATAATAGTTATGTTTACAGTGTACCAGAGTCTATTAAGTGTACAAGAGTATTGATAGCATTGTGTCTAAAAAACCTAATGTACATTAATTTACACATATGTGGTTGGGCGCAATGGCTCATGCCTGTAATCCCAACATTTTGGGAGGCCGAGGTAGGCAGATCACTGAGGTCAGGAGATGGAGACTAGCCTGACCAACATGGTGAAACCCCATCTCTACTAAAAATACAAAAATTAGCCAGGTGTGGTGGTGTACGCCTGTAGTCCCAGCTACTTGGGAATGAATATTCCAGATCCTTTGTTGTCATTTCAACAATGTCCATGGTGTCTTCATCAGGGGGAGATTTTGTCTCAAGAAGCCACTTTCTCTGCTCATCCATAAGGAGCAACTCCTCATCCACTCAAGTTTTATCATGAGATCACTCACGGCTTCAGGCTCCACCTCTTATTCTAGTTCTCTCTCTTTTTTTCTTTTTCAACTTTTCTTTTAGATTTAGGGGCCACGTGTGCAGGTTTGTTACTTGGGTACTTTGCATGATGCTGAGGTCTGGGGCATGACTGATCCCGTCACCTGGGCACTGAGCATAATACCCAACATTTTTCAACACTTGTCCCCTTCCCTCTTTCCCCCGTCTAGTAGTTCCCAGTATCCATTAGTACTTTTATGTCCATGAGTACCCGATAATTAGTTCCCACTTGTAAGTGAGAACATGCAGTATGTGGTTTTTGTTCCCACATTTATTTGCTTAGAATCTAGTTCTCTTGCTGTTTCCACCACATGAAGCAGTTACTTCATCCACTGAGCCCCTCAAAGTCATCCACAAGGGGAGGAATTAACTTTTTCCAAACTCTTGTTCATGTTGATATTTTGACCTCCTCCAATAAATCATGAATGTTCCTAATAGCATCTAGAATGGTGAATCCTTTCCAGAAAGTTTCCAGTATATTTTGCCCAGATCCATCAGAGGATTTACTATCTATGGCAGCTATGACAGCTATAGCCTTATGAAAAGGATTTCTTAACTAATTCCACTTGAAAGTTGAAATTACTCCTTGATCTTGGGCTGCAGAATGGATGTTGTGTTAGCAGATATGAAAACAACACTAATTTCCCGTACATCTCCATCAAACCTCTTGGTGTATCTCCATCAAAGACTAGGTACATTGTCAATGAACAGTAATGTTTTGAAAGGAATCTTTTTTTCTGAGCAGTAGGTCTTAAGAGTGGGCTTAAAATAGTCAATAAACGATGCTGTAAACAGAGGTGCTGTCATCCAGGCTTGAGTGTTTCATTCACAGAGCACAGACAGAGTAGATTCAGCATAATTCTTAATGACCCTAGCATTTTTGGGATGGTAAACAAACATTGGTTTCAACTTAAAGTTACCAGCTGCATTATCCCCTAACAAGGCAGGCAGCCTGTCCTCCAGAGTTTTGCAGCCAGGCATTGACTTGTCCTTTTTAGCTATGAAAGTCCTAGATGGTATCTTCTTCTAATAGAAGGCTGTTTCATTTACATTGAAAACCTGTTGTTTGGTGGAGCCCCCTTCATCAAGGATGGTAGCTGGATCTTCTGGATGACTTGCTATAGCTTCTTCACCAGCACTTGCGGCTTCACTGTGCACTTTTATGTTCTGGCTTCTTTCCTTCAACCTTGATAGGGTTTGGATTTGTGTCCCTACCCAAATCTCATGTCGAATTGGAGGAGGGGCCTGGTGGGAGGTGATTGGATCATGGGGAAAGATTTTCCCCCTCCTGTTCTCTTGATAGTGAGTGAGTTCTCATGAGATCTGATGGTTTAAAAGTGTGTGGCACTTCCCCCCGGCTCTGTCTCTCCTGCCAACATGTGAAGAAGGCCCTTGCTTCCCGTTCGCCTTCTGCCATGATTGTCAGTTTCCTGAGGCCTCCTGATCATGCTCCCTGTTAATCCTGTGGAACTGTGAGTCAATCAAACCTCTTTTCTTCATAAATTACCCAGTCTCAGGTAGTTGTTTACAGTAGTGTGAGAACGGACTAATACAAACCTTACGAACCAACCTCTACTAGCTTCAAGCTCTTCTTCTGCAGCTTCCTCACCCCTCTCAGCCTTCATAGAGAGTTAGGTCCTTGCTCTGGATTAGGCTGTGGCTTCAGGGAAGGTTGTGGCTGGTTTGAGCTTCTATCCAGGCTACTAAAACTTTCTCCCTTTTGGCAATAAGTCTGCTTTGCTTTCTTATTATCCATATGTTCACTGGAGTAGCACTTTTAATTTCCTTCAAGAACTTCTTTTTCTCTGCCTTCACAACTGGGCTGTTTGGCACAAGAGGCCAGGCTTTCAGCCTTTCTCAGCTTTCAGTGTGCCTTCCTCACTAGCTTCATCATGTCTAGCTGTTGAAGTAAAGTGAGAGACTGACTTTTCACTTGAACACTCAGAGGCCATTGTAAGGTTGTTAATTTGCCTAATTTCAATATTTGTTGTGTCTCAGGGAATAAGGAGAACCAGGGAGAGGGAGAAAGAGAAGAAGTGAGAGAGAGAGAGATGGGGGAATGGCTGGTCAGTGGAGCAGTGAGAACATATGCCATTCATTAATCAAATTCACCATCTTATATGGGCACGATTCATGGTGCCCCAAAACAATTACAGTAGTAACATCAAATAACACCAAAGGTTGCTGATCACAGGTCAACAGAGCAGATATAATAATAAGGAAAAAGTTTGAAATATTGCGAGAATTACCAAAAGGTGGCGTGAGACACAGGGTTAGCAGGTGCTGTTGGAAGGATGGTGCCGATAGGCCTGCTTGACACAGCATTGCCACAAACCTTCAATTTGTAAAAACTGCACAGTATCTGAGGTCCAATAGAGTAAGCAGTGCCTGCAATCACGGCACAGACATGAGAACCCAGGCTTCTTTTTCCCAGCCCAGCAAGGGTGGCTTTGCGCTGTGAGTTTCCTGAGAAGAAGGCTTCTCTGCTCCTATCTGTGATTCTAAGAAGATTTAATCAGCTTCCTGGTAATTTCCGAAGTGAGTAAGAAGAGCCTCTTGTTTCTACCTGTTTGCAGCCTGGCGTGCTGTTACCTTGGCAACAGCTGTCACCAGGAACCTCAGCTCCTTCTGGCATGTCACATCCTTTATTGCCGACATCAGTGTGCCTGGGTCAAGGGTAAAGTGGTGTGGGCCTCCCAGGTCCAGTGTGGGGGACCTTCCGCTAAGAACTGCTTATTTATAACCCACAGAAAATTTGCCCTAAAAACAGGACTTCCGTGCTCACCCAGATGATTTTCTTTTTATATTCTACAGGGGTTAGTAGAGAGGCTCTTGCCATTTGAAGAGGTTGCTTTTCTTTCTTACCAGTCAGTAGTAGCTTGAGATTTTAAAACTGAGTTGTTGGCCGGGTGAGGTGGCTCACGCCTGCAATCCCAGCACTTTGGGAGGCCGAGGCGGGCACATCACCTGAGGTCAGGAGACCAGCCTGGCCAACATGGTGAAACCCCGTCTCTACTAAAAATACAAAAATTAGCTGGGCGTGGTGGTGCGTGCCTGTAATCCCAGCTACTCCGGAGGCTGAGGCAGGAGAATCGCTTGAACCCGGGAGCTGGAGGTTGCAGTGAGCCGAGATCACTCCACTGCACTCCAGCCTGTGCAACAGAGTGAGACTCTGTCTCAAAAAAAAAAAAAAACAACAACAAAAACAAAAAAAAAAAACAAAAAACAGATGTTCAGATCCAGTGGGAAACCCACCCCACCTCATTATATGGACAAGGATAGTAAAACTCAGAGAGGAGAACTGACATGCTCAAAGTCCACGTAATGTATTGATGCAATGCAGGACTTGAACTTGGCTGAAGTCCTGGTTGCCTTTAGGGGTTGGCGTTACCGCAGGTTTGGCTTGATGACAGTAACATCACGTAGAAACCCTCATCGCAGTGGATGGGCACAGGCTTGCTTCTGGACTCTATTAGTGATGGAGACATATTCTGGGGCTGCCTGAGTCATCTTCCGGGAACCCCATTTTCCTGGCGCCCAGTACTCCCTTTCCACACCTCCCAGCCGCCAACCAGGGGTTGGAAATCGGGAGTCTACAAGGGTCAGGCAGGGGACAAAACCAAGTGACATGGACTGGCTGGGGACAGTCGAGCTGGCTCCTCTAGCCGCTGGGCCCACACCCCATGTCTGCCTGTCCCTGCTTGGCCTGTGCGATGCCTGAGGCTAGAGGTCTGAGGTCTGAGATCTGCTGTCCCTTAGCCCTGTCAGGTTCAAGGTCCTTCCTTCTCACAGGAACCTCCTTCACTTTCACCAGTGCTATAGGAACCCCCTGAGGTCTGGCTGTGCCTCCCAACCCATCCTGGGCCCGGTCCATCTGTCCAGCAGCCTCTGTTACAAGGGCACGGCCCCTGTCCCCTCAGAACCTCCTAACTCCAGGTGGGATCACCTGGGAGCCAGGGAAGACCCGAGGCAGACAAACCCGGGTCATCCCTGCATCTAATCACCGACAGAGCAGAGCACTCTCATGCTAAAGCAGAAGGTCCCAGGCAAGCCTGGATGAGTGGTCACTCTAACTCTAGTCTTAGAATAAATACCTGTAAACAGCAGTTCAGGGACCAAAAGCCAGCCTGCCATGTCTTTTATATAGCCAGCTGCCTGAAAATGGTTGCTACATTTTTAAATAGTTGAAAAAAATCAAAACAGGAACGTTTCATAACGTGAAAGTTATATGAAGTGCAAATTCCAGGACCGATAAAGTTTTATTGAATCACAGCCATGTTCGCTCACTTTTGTGTTTCAACAGCAGTGTTGAGGAGTTGCAATCGAGACCACAAGCCTGCTGACCACAAACCCACTGACCTAAAAGATTCCCTACCCAGCCCTCAGCAGAAACATGTGCCAACCCCTAAAAGTTCTCTGTGCTCTGAAAAGTGAACTTTCAGTCTCAAAGTGAAGACCTTTTACTTGGCACAGGGTAGAAACCTCACCTCCTTCTCTGAAGCCATGAACTCATTCCTCACTTTGGAGATGGGAGGCTGCAAAGAAACACGATTTGAAAGCAAATTGCAAATCCATCTTGTTAATGTCTTCAGCATATTGTAGCCATTATACAGACAGGCAAACAAAAACCACGCAAGCTGAATAAAACCGTCTGTGGCCAAATGCGGCTCGCGAGTCCCTAGCACGCAGACTCTGGGCTTCATGAGCTTCTCCGGCTTCTCCTCCTGACTCCAGGGCTCTGCCAGCTGGAGCCAATGCCTCTTCCTGCCTCAGCTTCCCCGGCTCTCTAGCATCCTGCTCAGGCCACACACGCCTCCTCACCAGCCTGCCTTTGAGAGCAACTGTGGCCTGGAGGGAGGCGTGGCCTTGGGGCCACAGGTTTAAGTTCTGCACCAGCTGCAGCTTACTAGAACGGGGCTTTGGGCTCCAGCAGGTACCCATAGGGGTGGCTTCCTGGCCCAGCAATTCCCTCTCCTAGCCATCACAGGCAGAGGCAGGCTGGGTCTGGATTTCCCTTTCCAGTGAGTTTGGGATCCAGGTTCATGGAGCCTGGGACTTGCATGGAGCCTCCACCAGGCAGGTGCCCTGAGAGAAGGGCAGGAACTTCTTGCTTCACTGATCCACCCAGAGCCTCCGTGTTTCCTGCTTCCTGTGAGTGGTCGCTCAGCACTTTGATCCTGTGAGCTGGGACAGTATCTTTTCATACATTTTCTGGGTTTTTTGTGGGTTTTTTTTTTTTGCTAAAGCTGATGTCTGTTTCTCGCTACTCTAACAACACTTAACACATATAATAATAGTCGGATACATACTTGTATCAATTTCCTATTGCTGCTGTCACAGTTACCACAAATTTCATGGTTTTAAGCCACTAATTTGTTATTTTGCAAGACACATTTACTATCTTATAGTTCTGGAGGTCAGAAGTCCGCAGCAGGTCTCCCCGGGCAACAACTGGGGCACCAGCAGGCCATCTTCCTTCCGGAGACTCTGCGGGGAGGCTGGTTCCTTGCCTTTTCCCACTTCTGAGGTTGCCCCGGTCCTTGGCTCATGGCCCTCCCTCCATCTTCAAAGCCGTTTCTTATAGCCATCGTCAACCCCCACCACCCCACCCCATGCCACTCCCTGAATCCAGGCAGATTCTGTAGTTGCTCTGGCCAGTGAGAGGCAGCCAAGAGAAGGCGGGTGGTGGCCGGGCCGGGCCTCGGGAGGCCAGCAGCTTCCACTACCTCCTCTCGTGCTCTCTGGGAGCCCTGATCCACTCCAGGAGGAGGCCAGTCGTCTTGCACTGTCAGGGACATCATTTTCAAACAAACAATAGATGTGTATCAGGGCTCGTGCCCAGACTTTTTTACTATGTGTGCTATAGTGTGGCCCCTCTGGGGGAGACTGGAAGGGAAAGGAGGTTGGTAGTGAGGGGATTGGCAGAGGGTGAGCTAATGAACTCTGTCCTCCTCATAAAAATGAGCCTGCTATGGCTTCTGAGCAGCAGGGAGCTAATGGCTGTGGCTGGGCAGAAGGTCGCTTAGGAGGGTGGGCTGCGTGGACAGGAAGGGAGTGA
This sequence comes from Homo sapiens, assembly GCF_000001405.40. NCBI lineage: Eukaryota > Metazoa > Chordata > Mammalia > Primates > Hominidae > Homo > Homo sapiens. The sequence goes on along the minus strand of NC_000002.12, from coordinate 9,778,842 downwards.
GGCCGACAGCAGCAGGGAAGCCAGGCAGGGGCTTCAGCGGGTGCTGTCTGGGATTTGGAGACATCTGTAGGGAGGAGGCTGGGAACAGCAGTGCTTGTTCCCGAGGGTCTGTGATTCTGATATTCTGTGATGCTAAACACCGTGTCTCCATAGTGCTCTGATCTGGTGATTTGCAGAACCTCTCGCCCAGCAATTCTCAAATCCTCTGATTCATGCAGTGCTGACCCAGCCCATTTGGTTCCTGCCAACCCCTGGCCGGCCCACGACTTCCCCAAGAAGCTGAGGAAAGGCTCCATTTTTATTTATTTTCTTTTTCTATTCAGTCAGGCAGGTGTTAGGGGGAGCCCTACCTTCCACCCAGGATGCCCAGATCGGGAGGATCCAGGTCAGGAAGGTCTGGAGGTAGGTTGGAGTAACTGGGAGTGTTTGCCCGTGTGGGTGACCGTGTGTGTCCATGTGTGACTGTGTGTGTCCATGTGTGCTTGCATGGGCCCATGTGTGCCCCGAGTGTGCCCAAGTGGGCCTGTGTATGCCCATGTTGTGCCCACATGAGCTCGTGTGCCCCGAATGTGCCCATGTGTGCCTTTGTATGCCTGTGTGTGTGCCCACGTGAGCCTGTGTGTGCCTGCATGTGCCCATGTGTGCCCATGTGTGCCCATGTGTGCCCGCATGTGCCTGTGCACCCATGGGCTGAGTGAACTGCCGACTCCTGCCGAGGTGGAGAGGAGAGCTCCACCTTGAGGAGAGGAGCTGGCAGTGCTGCCTGGCCTGGGACTGTCAGCCACTTCTTCAGCCTCATGCCCTGGAATGGCTTGCCTGAGACTGTGGTCTCACATTAGGACCCTCTAGAGACTGAGCACGTGGAGTGGAAACTTGGAGTGCCTTTCCTTAAGCCACAAGCCATATGCCATAGTTACCCACTGAGTGTCATCATCTCCACAGTTGACAAAAGGCATGAGGGACATGGGAGACAAGCAGGGTGGCCTTGGATTAGTAAGACAGGGAGCGGTGGGTGAGGGAGAGGTAATGCCAGGGAGCAGGGCCACTAAGGACAGAGCTGAGGGCACGGACAGGGCCAAAGGCAAGGCCAAGGACAGGGCCAAGGGCAGAGCCAAGGACAAGGACAAGGACATAGTCAAGGGCAGGGCCAAGACAGGGACAGAGCCAAGGGCAGGGACAGGACCAAAGGCAAAGCCAAGGACAGGGCCAAGGGCAGAGTCAAGGACAAGACCAAGGGCAGGGTGCATTTAAAAGGGGAGGAAACATTCAGCAGAAGCTGGGGCCTTTTGAAGGTAAATTGTAAAGGGACTCAGGTAGACCTGGCTTAATTCTGCCCCATACCTGACTCTGGGTTACCTCTGCCAGTCCTCACCCTCTGTAGGGCTCCATGTCCCCACTTAGAAGTGAGAAGCCTGAATCAGGGGACTTCTGAAGGCCCTGCTGACTCTCCTGATCCCTGGTCCCCCGAGGTGGGGTCTCCTCCTCCGCCACCCTCTCAGCACCAGCTCCCGGGGGGACGCCCTGCCATGCCAGGGCATTGTGAGGTCCAGACAGGAAACAGGCAGAGCCTTCGCCCTGTGCCTGGGATACTTGCTGCCAGCTGCTGGGGCTCTTTCCAGGCCTTGGGTGACCCTCTCTGCCCTGCCAGCCTCCTTGCAAGGGGAGGCTACTTCTGAGATGGTCCTAGGAGAGGAGGAGGTAGCGTGGGAGGGGTGCCATGCCCACCTCCACTCAGAGCCCTCTTCTGGCTGCTCCTTGGCCCACCTTGGGGGGTTGGCGAGCTCTTCTGAGAAGGAGATACTGTGGGTGACAACCATGGCCGTTGTTGGTTATGAGAGGTGGGGGTATGATGCAGCATCCATCCATCTGTCTATCCATCCATCCATCCATCCATCCATCCATCCATCCACCCACCCACCCATCCATCCACCCATCCATCCATCCACCCACCCACCCATCCATCCACCCATTCATCCATCCATCCATGCATTCAGCATTTATTAAGTACCTATGGTGTCTATAGAGAGCATAGCACCCTCCGTGGATGAGTCTACACCCTTATCCTGCCTGTTATTCTTCTTTGAGTCGTCGTTCATCTGTCCACTGTGTCCCCCATTAGAATATTCACTTATACAGGCTTTGTCTTTTTTGATAAATGCCTAAAGTCAGGCCTGGCGCTTTTTTTATGACTAACACGTAAGTGTACATTTTTAAGCCTGGCATTTAATAGATGCTCAAATGTATTTCTTCCATGTACAAATTTAACCCTCCTCCCCTCAGTACTCCTGGGAATTAAACTCAATTATAGATAAGGAACCAGGCTCGGAGAGGCAAAGTGCTTGCTCACGTTTCACAGCCACAGTGTGGTGGCAGGAGAAGCCAGGTTTCCAGATCTGGGCCTCACCCTTTCCACCACTCCACACTTCATGGCCAGGGCAGGGGGGGCAGAGTCACCTCTGGCTGGCTGTGAGGTGGGCTTCCTGGAGCAGGGGCCGTGGACAGGTGGTTGAAGGGTGCTGCTCCCCAGCTGGGAAGGAGTGGGGAGGACAGCCAGGCTGAGGGGACATCTCTAGCCAAGGCTGGGGGGCAGGATGGTGTATCTGGCCTCCAGGAGGGAGGAGGGAGGCAGTGCAAGATCCAACCAAGCCCTGCCAGCCTTCCCCGGAGCCACGAGCAGTCCTCAGTCCCTGCCGTTATGCACTGAGTCTGACTTGTCCCTGTGAAAGTAACCAACAGCAAGACCTGTCCCCAAACACCTTGGGCTTAAAATGCTTTATCCCAGGCTGCTGTGCCCAGGAGCACCTCTACTGTGCAACGGGGAGCCCCTCCAACCCCCTGCAGGCCCAGAGGAAGGGCTGGTTCAGCCAGGCCTGGGGGTCGGCAGGTCTGGGCTCCCCGCTTGCTCTATCCCAACCTGCTGTGTAGGCTGAACTTTCCCCTTCTCTCCCTGGAGCTCAGAGTCCCCATGGATCATCAGCATGGCTTCTGCAGCCCTTCGTTGCCGTGGAACTCTAGTGGCCTCACCCAAAGCTGACACCCCTGTGGCATTTCATGGCATCCGAGGCGTTTTTCACATTTGACACTGGCCCTCTGACCATCCCAATGGCTCCATGAAAGGGGCTGGCTGAGGTTAGAGATCTCCCTACCTCAGGTGAGGAAACGGAGGTTTGAGGGAGACAAAGTCATTGCCCCACGTGTCTGGGTTGGTCCATGGCAGGTCCTTGTCTGGAACTCTCACTTGTCCCATGGCAGTGAGGACTCATCCCACAGTGGAGAGCAGGCAGAATGGCGACACGTTCCGTTTCCTGAGACCCCGACCAGGACCCACCTCTGAGGTCCTGTTGTGCCCCCTCCCCGAGGGACTCATCCTGGCCAAGGAAGAGAAAGGAAAAAGGACACCCCCAAAATACATTGCAAATGATGTCCCCCTTTCTCTTATCTAAACCTCACCTTTCTGTTTGGGCCGACTCACTCACAGGCGGCCTGCAGGCTTCCGGACAGAAGTGGCTGAAGCCAGCCCTCAGGTCCACTCTGTCTGGCACCGGGGAAGAACACGGAGGGTGACTTACAATCTGACCTCATTTTTAGGAGACACTTTTCTTTTTCTCTTTTCTTTTCTTTTTTTTTTTTTTTTTGGAGACGGAGTCTTGCTCTATCGCCCAAGCTGGAGTGCAGTGGTGTGATCTCAGCTCACTGCAACCTCTGCTCACTCGGCTCACTGCAATTCTCCTGCCTCAGCCTCCCAAGTAGCTGGGATTACATGTGTGCGCCACCATGCCCGGCTAATTTTTTTGTATTTTAGTAGAGACGGGGTTTCACCATCTTGGCCAGGCTGGTCTTGAACTCCTGAGCTCAGGCAATCTGCCTGCCTTGGGGTCCCAAGAGATTTTTCTTTTTAACCCAGTGAAGATGATTGTGCCTGGAGCTAGGTATTGGGGCATGCTGGGTGTGGGGTTGGCATCTTGGTTTGGGGGCTTTTTAGACGCTAGGACAGCAAGCTTGGTCTCTTCTGGGGCCAGGTGGGAACTTGCTGTCTCTGCCTAGGTGAGCTCAGGTGCTGTCCCCACAGCAAACCTGCAAAGCCCCATTTTTCCTGAAGGAGAAAACTCAAGTTCAGAAGGGAAAAGTCAGTTGTCTGAAGATACACAGCTAACACGTGGAAACTGGGATCCCAAGCAGTCCTGTGTAGACGTCCTTCTGCCATCCCCACTCCTGCTGCCGTAGTCACTGCCTTTAAGGACCACAGAGATGAGCCCTGGGACCGGAGTCACGGGCAGGAGAGTGGATCTCGGGGACTGGAACTGCAGACTCTGCCCCTCAGTCCAGGCCCAGGCTCTCAGAATGACGTGTTCTCCCGGGAGAAGTGGGACGGCCTCCGCGTGAGCTCCCTCCTTCCTGCTCCAACTGCTCCTTAGCCTTTTGGTAGAAGTCAGAGTCCTCGGGAAGCTTTCCTGGGGCCAGGCCAGTTGCCTCTGCAGTGGCTTCTGCGGGTAGAGATGGGATGACCACATCTTGCCTCCTGGGGAATGACCCCTGAGCCTCTCTTATGGGTTGAATTGTGTCTCCCAATTCCCATGTTGACATTCTAACCCCCTGGAAGTCCGAATGTGACTGTATTTGGAAACAGGGTCATTGCAGATGTGATTTGTGAAGATGAGGCCACTCTGGAGTAGGGTGGGCCCTTACCCACTATGACCTATGACCAGTGTCCTTATTTTTATAGGACATTTGGACACAGACACAGGCCATGTGAGCATGAAGGCAGAGACTGGGAGATGCATCTAGAAGCCAAGGAACGTGGAAGATGGCCAGCAAACTGCCAGACACAGAGGGAGAGGCCTGGAGCAGTCTCCCTTATAGCCCCAGGAGGAACCAACCCTGTTTGCACGTTGCTGTTGGACTTCTGGCCTCCAGAACTGGGAGACAACACGTTTTGGTGGCTTAAGCCACCAACGATATTCATGCAGCCCCTGTGGAGGTCAAGGGATTTGTTCCAGAGCTCTGGGCAAGTCACTTTGCTTTTTGAGGCTTCCTAGCCTGTAAAGTGGGGAGTGGCAGCTGTCTGCAGCTGTCAAGATCAAATGAGGTAAAGAAGTCTGAAGAGAGGGGAGGCGGAGACGCTGACCTCCATTTCTGCCCTGCTTCTGCCACTCCCTAGCTCATGGCCACTTGCCCGCTACTTAATAATAGTAGTTACCTCCCAGGATGGTTTGGGACCAGCGGCGTTATTTGATAGAAATCACCTGGAGAGCAGCAGCGCTCCCCAGAGTTTTGCAGTTCTTGTTCATGACAGAGCCCAGCGGAGGGTCCAAGCGTGAGGGAGGAACGTCAAGGGCAGTGTGGCGGGTGCAGGAGCTGGAGGGGGCTTGGGGTTTGGTGGTTGACCTTCGACCTTCTCCAACAGAGATGCAAATGTTACAGATGGGGTCTGGGGACAGCCAAGTGGGGAGAGGTGGACTGGAGTTGAGTGTGCTCTGGTTTGGAAGTGAGACCTTGACTTGTGGTGGCCTCACCCTGTTTGGGTGACATCTCTGTTCAGAGCTAAGCCCCAGGGACACATGGCAAGGAAGACAGATGGGAGTGGTGGCAGTCGGGAGCCTCGGCGAGATTCTATCTGGTGCTGGGCTGGAGCCGGGGAATGGGACCTTCTTCTGACAGCTCTCTGGCTGCTTCCGATGGAAAAGAAGCTGATCTGTGCGATGCGGGCTTGGTAAGATACCGAGGAACAAGGGGCGGGAATGCTGCAGAGCACGGTGGGGAGGGAGAGCCCCTGACTGGCTGTGTTTTGGGGAACTGATCCAGATTTTCAAAGCCACAAGATCACCCCAACGGCAAGGAGTAGGCTGGTGTGTCCCAGCTTTCCCTCCCCAGCCCTTTCTTCTCACACCTCTTGGCGATTTGGTTTTCTTTCCTTTCTCTAAGGCCTGTCTTTGAAAGATGGAAATGTCCATAAGTTGGGGGTCTACGGTGTGTCCGGTCTGGGGACAGAGATGGGACCCCCCAGAGACACCGAATGCAGGATTCTTTCGACATCTCCAAGAGGTGCTGCTGTAAGACCCCCGTGTGCCCGGGAGGAAAGAGAAGCTGGTGGACTTGGGGAACCACCCGAGTCTTGTGGGAACAGCGGTGCGCTGACCACCCATCTGAGGGCTAGGTGCAGACTGGCCTAAGGCAGGGGGGAGGCTCCAGGATGACGGTCACTTGTCATTTCTCCGTCGGAGGCTCGGGGCTTGCGGCCTCTGCTTCACAGCTGCTGCCACAAGCAGGACGCTTCAGAGGCCCAGGCCCTACCTCTGCGCCCACCTGCCACTTTCAAAAGAAATCTAGAGTGAAAGGAAGAGAGTTTCTATTTTTGATGAGACACCAGTGAAATGGAGGCTTTTTAAATAATTAAAATCCAGAATACATTATTTATTCAGGTCGGATATGAAGCTGCCTTTCCTTTTAGGAACATCAGCCCCACCCGCACATTGTCACTCATTTCCTTGTACCCTGGCAAGTCATTCACCCTATCTGGACCTCAGTGCTCTCCTCTGTAAAATGGGTGGAACACCAGGCAGGGGGTTGGGCTCTAAGGGCTTCCAGGGTCTAGAGCAGCCCAAAGACCCAGCCAAAGCGGGCCTCCTCCAGGAAGCCCTCCCACCTTCCCTTTGTGCTTCTGCAGCACTCTGCCATCCCCTGTCAAAGCTCTCACCACCTCCATGGCTTCACGCTTACACACCTGTCTTCCCACCAGAGTCTGAGCTCCTTGAGTTCTGGGACCGAGTTGGATGAATTTCCACATCCCCAGGCCCAGCACAGGGTGGGGCGTAGAGTCTCAGTGATTGTTGAATGAATGAATGAATGAATGAATGAGGCTCCAGTGTTTGAGCGAATGTGGCTTCTTCACCCTGCTGGGAGGCCTGGGTTTGGGAAGCTTCCCCTAAGTGTAGCTGGCCACTCATCCCTGGGAATTCTGAGATGATTTTCCCTCTGAGGACTCAGCTGGGGAGGGAAGACATAGGTTACCATGGCAACAGATTTTTTTTTTCCTGCCGGAGCAAACATTTCTACAGAAACCTCAAGAGATGCCAGCCAGTGCGGGGCGCTGCCTGTTTCTCCCACGCCCTCCCTGGCCTCTGAGCCCAGAGCTGGCCCTTCTCACTGGGTTTCTCAAAGCTGCCCACTGTAAGGCTGTGCCTGAGACCTAGGTCAGCCTTGGCCTCACATCCCCCGCCCCGTGCAGGCCCTCCCACCGGTCTGTTCACAGCCCAGGCTGTCAGCAGTGGGGGAGCCAGGCCCAGAGAGGGGAGCCATAGGGTGCCCTCTCCCAGCCCAGACAGGCTTCCTCTGCCATCCACCAGTGCCCTCCACCTCAAACCCAGGTGACAGCGCCTTCTTCCCCCTCCCCCATTCACAGGGCCCCGGGAGGCTACCAGGGGGCCACCTAGAGGAGCTGGGAGGGGTGGGGGTCCTCTGGAGAGGGGCAAGGTCTCTGAGCTCAGATCCTGCCAGCTCAGACCCATGGACCTCGGGTCCTGCTGGATCCCGTCTGGGACCCTGGGGTGGGAGGCCCCAGGAACAAAACTCAGAGAGGCCTTGTGACTTTCCCCAGGACACACAGCGAGTGAGGGAGGAGGCAGGAGTTGAGCCCCGGTTTCTCTGGAGACAAGGCCCAGCCTCTGCCTCCTGTCCTGCCAGGCTAGACTCCACCTTCCACTGCCTGGAAACAGGGGACAGATGGCCCCTTCTGGAAGCACTGGGGGTGCAGAGTGCCTCGCGAGCACTGAAGGTGTTGAGGGTCTGGCTCATGCCCTGCACTGCCCGTGTGTGGACTGCAGCGTGGAAACAGTGCTCAGAGAGGCTCCGTGGCCTTGCCCCAGCTCGCAAGTGGTGGCGTAGGACGCCGATGTCAGTGCTGTCGGGCTCTGTGACACTGTGCTATCTGTCCACGCCCCTGGACCGTCTTATTGAAGACAGGCAAGGAGGAGAGAACAGGGAAGGCGGAGGGGTGAGTGGCTGGTGGGACCACAGCCCAGGCCAGGGCCGGGGCAGGGAGCAGGGGAGGGCCTTTGACACCAGGCAGCTCCCTCCCAGAGGCCATAGGCACATGGAAGGGTGAGGCCGGGAGAAGCAGTTGAGCTCAGTGGCCCAAAGCAGGGACTCTGGGACCTGCCAGACAAGAGTCAAATCCCAGCTCCACCTCTTCCCAGGGTTCGTTTGCACTTGGGACAGCTGTTTCTTTCTGATCACAGCTTTCTCACTTGTAAAATGGGGAGAGCATTCAGTGGCTCCACCTGGCGGTGTATGAGGATGAATGAGACGGATGCATTTGAGGGCTGCTCTGGGGGAGGCCGCTGCTCTTTCGTGATTTGAATCCCATGCAGTCCCTGGGCTCCTCTGCCGCTCTTGCCTCTCTGTATCCCGGTACTTGGCCCTTAGCAGGCACTCCCAGGAGCTGCTGGAACAGGCTGAGTCCTGGCGCTTATCCGAGCTGTCTTGTTTGCACGTGCTCGTCTCCCACCCACTCACTGGTGAGCTCCGCAAGAGTGTACTTCTCTCCGTCCCTGGAGCGCCACGGCGTGCTGGTGCATAGTAAGCATCTGTCCATGTCTGTCCAGTTGAATTTCTTGAGAGTCATTTGACCTTCTCAGCAGCTCTGGAGGTAGGTCGATCAGGGTTCCTCATCCCATTTCACAGATGTGAAGACCCAGGTTGAGATTCACTGGGCAGGTTGCTCATGGTCCCAGAGTTGGTCGACAGGGACAGGCATCCTGATTTACTGTTTGACTCCCAGTCCTCTGTGATTCCCATTCCACTAGGCTGCAAAGGAGGGACCAGTGGAAAAGAAAGAGAGGTCAGGTGATGCCAGGAGGTGGGGAGAATCAGCTAGACCCTCCTCAGCCGTTTTCCTAAAACCAGCCACGATCCTTAGCTCCCCGCCTCTGCTTGCCCTCCCTGATAGCTTTGCCTTGGCTGTGAGCTCAGCACAGTTGCTGGTGGGGGACAGGAGTGGGAGTGAGTGGCACTGATGGGGGAGGCAGAGGCCCCATAGTCTGTGCTCCCAGCCAAGACCACAAATTCATGACCATTCCAGAGCTCCTCAGCTTCACCCCCACCTCAAGAGCCCCCCCGCTCCCATCCTGGAGCCTCCAGCACTGCCCAGTCCCTCCTGAGATCTGTGGATCTGCGGGCTCAGCAGCCGCCCACACGGAGCTCGCCTGCAGTGCTGCCTCTCTGGCTGTCATCTCCATGGCAACGCCCACCACCCCCGCTCAGGGCCACTGTGCTCTGCGCACCTGAGCCTGACCTTCCTTTCCAGCTGCCCATTTGAGTGCGGGGGGGACACCCACGCACCTGCTCAGGCCAAGACTCAGAGCCCACTCACATGCCTGCCCCCACCCACAGGTCAGAGTGGCAGCATGTGGGCATACACAGGTGTGTGTGGGGGGGGGCATGGGTGTTAAACACACCAACACCTCATTCGAGTCCTTGAGCTTCTGTGAGAGTCTCTGGCACCTGGGGGCCGCCAGCGATGACTAAATGTGTGTGGTATCTGTGTCCCCGGTATGGGTTTGCTTTTGTCAGTGTGCCTGTGCCTCTTGGGGCCTGTGGTGCTTCCTGAGTGTCTGTCTGTATCCCTGGCAGAGTGGCGGAGGCACGGGGGCACCTCCCTGTGTTTGTCAGAGAGGCGGGATGGCAGCCCCTTTTTTTCCACTTCCCCAACGACAGGAACATGACCTGGCTTTGGCCCACTTTCTAGGGACATCCAGGCCCAGCAGTGGCTGAAGGAGACGACTTGGGAGCCATCTTTGCTGGGCTCTCCTCAGGGCAAACAGCTCACCAAGGGCACAATGAGCTTTGGCCCTGGGATCCACGGCATTTTCTCCCAAGGCGCTACCCTGATTCCATTTTCCTAATCAACGAAGGGGAGCCACAGAGGGCCACGGGCAGCACTACAGGGTGCAAGAAGCGTCGTCTCATTCTGTTAACAGCTGGCCGTGCCCCCTTGCACGGGACACAGCTTCCCTGCCTGGTAATGATTCCTTATGAACTCCAGTTCCGACTGTCCAGAAGTCCATCAAATGGTGATTGGCTAAATACTCAGTTCTTTTGACACGAGCCGCCTCCTCTCATCCTCATAATGGCCTCAGCCTCGTGGGCTGTCTCATTCTCCCCAGCTGAGAAGGAGGGAGCCGAAGTGCTGAGGAGTGAGGCCGCAGGGGACGCTGTGGAGACAGGATTCAGCTCCCAAGCCTTTGCTCTTCTCCTGCCTGCTCCCTCCAGCGCTCTGCTCACCTGCCTCTCGGGCCAGATTGGGCCCTCTGTGCTGGCTGCTGCCGCCCAGCCAAACCCCTCCCAATCGCCCTCAGCCACCAAGGCCAGGTGTTGGGGCAGGGAGGGGTGAGCAGTGGCGAAGGGCACCAGCTGCTGTGCTGGGAGGCCCCTGCTTGCCCTTTGCTACCGACAGGGCTTGAGATCAAGGGGAAAGTATCAGAAGGGAAAGGCAAAAGGCAGGCAAAGCTGTCCGGCTCCTCCTGGCTGGTGGGGAATGATGCATTGAGTTCTGAGATCAAGGGCTTCATTAGGGATCAGGCCAGGCATGTAGGACAACATAAGACCAAGGTCCTCAGAGTTGGATTCAAGGAGGTGGGAAAGAGAAGGAGGGGAGCCCCGGCTGACAGGTACAGGGACTGGGGTTCAGAGGCCGGCTCTCCTGTTCCACGAGGAGCACAAGGTGTGTGTATTCACGCATGCGTTCACACAAAAAGGGGAACTCGTCAAGTCCAACTCACTCACAGATACCCTCTGCAATGTCAGAACAATAACCGAGGCACGACCTTGCGTCGAGAGCTCAGGGTGGGAGGGACCGATCCTTCCCTAGGGGATGGGGGAGCCACAGACCAGGGAGGTCAGAAGAGGAGGGAGCACGCGAGCTACTTGTGGACGTGGTGGGGGACCTGGAGGGTCCACACACCGGGGCAGAGAGCTCCAGGCTGAAGGACGGCACAAGCAGAGGCAGGGGGCTGACAGAGCTGAGGCAGGTGGGTGAGAGGGGACCTGGCTCTGAAGCACAAGCAGAGCTTCTCAGATCTCGGGGACCTTCCTGACTCAGCAGAGTTGGGGGGCCTGAGCCTCTGCATTTCTAACAGGCTCTCAGGTGATGCTGATGTGCTGGTTTAGGGACCACACTTTGAGCTGCAAGGGTGTGGGCTGAGATGTCAGACTGTCTGGGTTTGAATTTGGATCTGTCCCCTGTTGTCTGTGCTAGTGGGCAAGTGATGACCTCCTCCTCCTGCCTGAGTTCCCTCACTTATAATATGCAGATAATCATAATAATAATGCTTACTTCAAGGGGGTGATTGTGGGGACGAAGAGGCAAATACAGTTGACTTTTGAACAACAGCGGGGATTAGGGGACACTGGCCCCCACCCCCATGGAGTTGAATATCCATGTGAAGGCTGGCGCAGTGGTTCACACCTGTAATCCCAGCACTTTGGGAGGCTGAGGTGAGAGGATCACTTGAGCCCAGGAGTTGAAGACCAGCCTAGGCAACATAGGGAGACCCTGTCTCTACAAACAGTAGAATAAAAACACTCTGGTATGGTGGCATGCGCCTGTAGTTCCAGCTTCTCAGGAGGTTGAGGTGAGAGAATTGCTTGAGCCCAGAAGGTCGAGGCTGCAGGGGGCCATGATTATGCCACTGCTCTCCAGCCCGGGTGACAGAGGGAGACCCTGTCTCAAAAAAAAAAAAAATCCATATATAACCTTAGACTCCCCCGAAAGTTAACTAATAGCCTACTGTTGACTACAAACCTTACTGATAACATAAACAGTTGATTAATACATACTTTATACAGTATATATAATATATATACACCGTATTCTTACAATACAGTAAGTTAGAGAGGAGAAAATGTTATTAAGAAAATCATCAGGAAGAGAAAACATGCTCACCATTCATTAAGGGGAAGTAGATTCATCTTTGCTGTGTTCATATTGAGTAGGCTGAGGAGGGGGAGGAAGAGGAGGGGTTGGTCTTGCTGTCTCAGGGGTGGCAGAGGCAGAAGAGGTAGAGGAGATGGGAGGGGAGGCAGGGAGGGGAGGCAGGAAGGGCGAGTGTATAGTATAACATTGATGGAGAAAAATCTGTGCATAAGTGGACCCGTATTGTTCAAGGGTCAACTGTGTATGTAAAAACACTCAGATCAGGGCTTGAGAAATGTGTTATTGTTCTAAAACGCTAGGCTGAAGAAGACCTGCTTTTTGGCTGAGGAATGGGTCACTGTTGAGTTTTAAGCAGGGCAGTGATGCAAGCAAAGTCTCCTTTAAAAGAATGTCTGTGGACAGTGTTGGGAACCGAGTGGGAGGTGGGGGACAAGCCTGGGAGGTGTGAACAAGTCAGGGCCCTGCTCCAGGAGCGGGAGGAAGCAACAAGCCTGGGCCACGGGGGCAGGGCTGGTGGAGTACAGACACTGCTGGCTCAGCTCTAACTGGAGTGGGCCCAGGGCTGGCCGGCCGCTCTGCACCCTATAGGGAACCTTCTGGGCTGGGGAGGGAGCCCCCGCCTGCGGGGCTGCTGCTGCGTGGTCACTGTGCTGACATGCCCAGCCTGGGGGCAGGTTTCTGCGGCTTGCTGGGCCCTGCACCATTTCCCAGTCCTCAGCCTCCTGGGCCTGCAGCCTCAGGTCGGCCCAGCTCAACTCTCCTGCCAGGAGCTTCCCCGACTTCCTCAGAAGAGAAGAAATCTTCCTCTGAGGTGCCCTGGTGTGTGAGCGTGTGTGCATGTGGGTGTGTAGAGGCAGGTGTGTGTGTACAGATGTGAGGGTATGTGCACACATAAGCATATGTACATGTGTGAGGGTGTATACGTGTGTGAGGATGTGCACACACGTAACAGTACACACCCTTACACATGCACACACAAGGCCCCCGTGTGCCCCAGCTGCCGGCCCATATTCACTCTTTGAGGAGAGGCTCTGTAGTGTTCAGACTTAATTTCTAGGAAATTACTTCCCTGTCTGCCTGTGGACTTTGAATTGAGAGATTCCAGTTCGCCAGGCAAGCCCAGCATGTGACCCTCTGCAAGGCAACAGCCCCTGTGTCCTTTAGGGGGTGCACTTACTCATATGTCCTCCCGCCCCCTCTAGGTTCCCACCAGAGGTAGGGACAGTCAGGGAGGGCCACATACTCTTGGCAGGCCACTGTGGGCACTGCCCTTCACTCAGAGAAAGCTTCCTTTGCTGCTTCCATTGGGGTGATTTCCTAAATGAGGGACTGCTTGGGAGGAGGAGTTCAAGGCAAACGTTCTACTCCTGGGATTTCTGAAACATCTGTTAGAGGGTCACTTCTCAGTCTACAGAAGATAGGGAAAATGCCACTTCACACCAACCCCAGAACCATGGGCTGGGGTTGGATGTGTCCAACCACCTCTGTTCAGGAGGTTCACCTACCCAACGTGCGGCCACCCAGCCTCTGCTAAAACTCCTGCCTGTTGGCTGCCTCTTCCCAGGAAACCCCATCCACTAGCAGATACCTGCTAGAAAAAAACTTGCCAAAATTTGCATTCAGGCATCTTTCATTTGTTTGTCCTAGTTCTGACCTTGGTTCTCCACACCCTATATGACAAATGTGTCTTTCTGCCAAATCTTCTTCCCTTCTTCTGCCAAAATTTATCTAATTCTTTCAGCCCTTGAGTGTAGAGCCTGATTTTACTGTCCAGGGGACTTCTTCAGGCATCCTACTGTTTGCTGAGGTCACACCAAAACTGTCACCCTCCAAATGTGGTCTTTCCCCCAATTTGGGGCTTGATTCTTCTGCAGCCTGTTGACTCTGTTGAACTTTGAGTCAACTGGAGACCAAGACTGCAGATCTTCTGTCTGCTGGCTTCACTGGGACCTTCTCAGCTGCAATGAACACAGATGCCAGGCTGAGGGATTGTATTCTCATGATATGGACTTTCTGAATAAGGGGGCAGAAATGTGACTGGGCTTCAGGAACAAATGAAGCAGGGTTCTAGTTGCCTCTCTTTTCTCTTGCTTTTCTCTGCACCTTCCTTCTCGCTGAGTCTGTCTCCCAGCCAGCCTCCTCCACTTCGGGGTCACAAGACAAAACACAGCCACAGTGTCTCCGTAGCTGATGTGCTATGCTCAAGCCACCTGGAGACGCCTGGAATCTGTAAGCCCCAATTCCAAAATCATCAGGAAGGTTCTCTGGCCCAGTTCGGGTCTCTTGCCCACCTTGCACCAATGAGCCACCTGCTGTGGTTGTGGCTGCTGAGTAAAACTGGGAGAAACACGCTCATCTGTGCAAACCCAAACAATGGACTCAGAGGACAAAGAACAGCAAAAGTGAGACTTTTAATAGAGGTCTTGCAAGATCGGGTGGCCAGTAGGCAGGCACATCTGGGGCAGCTACAGCAGGTAATTTATCTCCTAGCACACAAGTCCCTCCCCCAGTTCCTCATGGTTGAGTACTGTGGGGTGACAATCTTCCTGGATGTTGCCTAAGTGCCATTATCCCCCTTATAAGGTTATACCCTGTCCTCTTCCCCTCTTAAGTTTCAATTTCCCAATAATAGAACTTTCTTCCCTTTTATGGGCTGACCCCTCTTCTACATTCTGTTTGTTTATCAAGACCTTCCAGGTGCATGAGCTGTGCCATTTGTTACATTCACGGGCTGGCTGCCAGTGCTTAGATTTATCATGCCTTGAAAGTGGACCATTTAAAATGTTTTCTGACAAAACCCTATGCAGACAGGGGTAGGTAAGAAGAAGCTTCCAGGGAAGCATTGCTGGGCAATCTTGAATCTTGATTACTTTGTCCAAACAATGTATTACCCTTTCCAGTTCTGTGTCTTTTGCCAATTTGTTGAGTGGTCTGCATGCTACACCTTCATCTTGGCTATCAGCAAAAATGTTGAATAGAACAGAGTTGAGGAGAGATCTTCTACCCCTCACTTAACATTTCCTACCAGGGGGACATGTGTCTGCTAAGTAAACCATTTGATAATGATTAGTCAGACTACAGAGCCCTGCTTAGCTGGCGATAATACAGCCATAATGACACAGGGCAGTGTGGAAATGACGTGGCACTATGGAAAATGCTTAGCATGTAGCAACGGAAAAAAGTGGCATACAAAATTAAATCATGAATATACAGGGGAAAAAAGAGAGGCTAGAAATATTTTTAAAAGACAGGTAACATGAACTATATTTAGGTAGCACAGCAGGCAGAATTCTGAAAGAGGGCTGCTTATGGGTTTTGGCCAGCCTGGATGAGATAACCTTGACTCCAGCTGGCAGGACGAGCCGCCTGTGCAGAGATCTGTCTCTTACAGCACCTGCAGGGATTCGCTGGGAATAACTGCACGCAAGCCCAGGAGGAGGCATAGGTAGAGTTAACATGGCCATGAATGTGTACAAGGTGCTAGGAATGGAATAGAGTGAGTTTGGTTATTAATTCCTGCAATTCCCTTCCAAAGCACCAAAGGCAAGGCAGCCAGTGTGGTAAAGGGAGTATTTTCCATCCTGTCTGCAGCCCTGTGCTGCTCAGCCAAATCTCGCTGACCCCTTCCCTGGGGTGTTTCATTCTCCTCATGTCCAGGGCCCTAGCGAGCCCACAGGGTCTGTCTGTGTGACTTAGAGAAGGATGCCCCTTCTGGACAGACGCAACACCATGGGCACACAGTGTGGTGAGCGGCAGGCATGCTGGAATCTAGCCCTCGCTCACCTTTCAGCTGGATGTCCTTGCACAGTGGACAACATGCACAACCGTATGTGCTGGCCCTGCCCATGTACCACACGATCTGCTCAGAAAACCTGGAAAATGCCTGATCCTGGCACAAAGCACAGCCCTTTAGTCCCAGTTCTTCGCCAGGTGATTTCCTCCAGGCCTTAGTCTTCCCGGACAAGGCCTTAGGCTTTAACAGTGGGGAAGGCCTTCTGGTGCTGCAGCCCCTGGGCGACTGCTCTCTGGGGTGAGGGCCCAGCCAGCAAGCCCATGACCATAGGACTGAGGACATCCCTTCCCCTGTACCCACCTTAGTCACCTCCCACCCGGCACTAGTGGGTCCTCACCAATTTTATTTGAATTGAGCCTAGTTCATTCTGGAGGTTGAGACTAAACATCCTTATTGAGCAGGTGTCTTGGAGACCCCCGAAGGCCACAGGCTTATTTTTGCCCCAAGAGTGCAGTAAGATCCTAAAATTGAAGTGATCTTTCTTGCCCTCCTAGACTGACTAAAAGTCCTGGTGGAGACAGGCTGAGGAGTCCTGCACTTACGTCTGAATGTTCTGTTAGTTGGGTTTTCACATTCAGAGTACACTGTGGAGATAATCACCTTCTAGCTTTCTGGAAACTTCCTAGGTTTACTCCCTGGTGCATTGCTCCTCCAAGTTATAATTCTAGAAACTCATTCCTTTGCCTTTGGCAATAATAACCCAGATCCCGGGACTCCAAATGGAAAAGAACAGGCTGCATTTCCAGACTTCTGGTGTGGAGGGGGAAGCCAGACAGAATCATTCTGGCTGTGAGCTGCAGCGGTGCTGTCCATGCCAGGCCAAATGCATCAATCCCTAATGATGACTTGAAGCGTTATTAGGATCCAGGTGACCTCGTCATCACAATCCTCTCTGAGCGGTAAAACTGGAAAAAAAAAATAAGGCAGATTGTGCTTGGGACTAGGGAGCCCCTGAGACGAGTTACACCCAGCACTTCCAATGTCTGGGAGCCCCCAGGAAGCACCCTTTGGAGAAAGCGTAAGTCAGTTCCCTAAAAGGAACTAAAGATGTGTTCCATCCCACTGTGCAAACCAAATTAATGCTGCATGCTGAAGGCCTTCCTTGCCAAGATAGAGGTGGATTTCTATTAGTCACTGAGGGCCATTTGCCTGGATGCAAATGGCCTTGCTGAGCTGGTGCGATGTCCAGCTGGGGGTTTTGGGGAGCAGTCAGCCCCGTGCATGTGTATTTAATAGTCATCAGGGCTTTCTCTTTTGGCTTCGAGGCTAAGCTTATTATCCAAGGAACAAATGGAATATGAAGGCTGCCTCAGCACCGCCAGAGCCCATTAGGAGATGTGCTATGAAGCAAAGGCGGCGCGTTGACAGGGCTGCAGAGAAAGAACTTGGAAGCAGAGGCAGGAAAGGGAGGGCGGCTTCCGTCCCAGCATCCCTGAAATGGCTTGCTGTGAGTTCAGCAAGCCACACTGACACCACGCACCTTCCCCGTGCCTGGAGCTCATCTGCAAACAGATTATCTTGCAGACAGAACCTCCAAAGGGCCCTGTCATCCTACAGCACATCGTCATTCTCACTCAGAAGCAGGGGACGTGGGGCCTTTTGTCTAACACTCAACAACATAAACGTCTGTTTTCTGTTTTTCTCCCCTCTACTCTTTAGACAATAAACAAGAACCATCTGACATTTTTCTTAGCTTGTATATTTCAAACTCAATCCACCTTAAGCATCCTACCTGACCCTCCCCAACCCTCCTTCCCTCCCGTGTTCTCTTTCCCTTTGGAGTCCTTACAAACTCTCCCTCTAGTTCGATGGTTCAGAGAAGACTGAGAGCTGGGCCTGGGCCTTGAAAACTTCCCAGTGGTTTTCTACTGCACTCACACCCTCAGGCACCTGGTGGGGTAGATCCCACCTTTTCGATGTCCCCTTCTCTCCACCGCGGCCACCTACTCAGACCACTTGCGCTTTGCACCTGGAGCATGACAGTAGTCTCCTAACTGTCCCTGACCACAAGCCACACCCTCTGCCATCTTTCCTCTGTTTGCTGCCAGAATGATGTTTCTGAAATACACAAGAGACCTTGTGGCTATCTTTCTCCCTCCCTCTCTCTACCCCTGCTTTCCTCCCGCCTCTACCCTCCTCTACTCCCTCTTTCTACCCCTGCTTTCCTCCCGCCTCTACCCTCCTCTAGTCCTTCTTTCTACCCCTGCTTTCCTCCCGCCTCTACCCTCCTCTACTTTCTAAGCATCTGCTATGACCAGCCATTGTTCTAGGTTTACAGATCTACAGGGTGGGGCAAGAAGACATCATATCCTCTGTCTTTTGGAGATCATAGAAACATTTGCTCTGGGGAAATGCTAAGTAGCAACCTACACCATTAATTGTTTAAAAACGACTGTGACTCAGTGCCAGGAAGAAGACTTTGTAAAAGGTAATGTGAAAATGTTTTCCCTGCTCAGAATCTTCCAGTGGGATGAACATGATGTGTCAATGCAAGCTTATTATTGTAACAAATGTACAACTCTGGTGGGGGCAGGGGCTCTATGGGAACTCTCTGTACCTTCTGCTCAATTTTGCTGTAAACCTAAAACTGCTCTTTATAAAAGGTCTTCTTTTTTTAAGTCTCCCAGTGGCTCAGCATACAAAACCCATGACAGAGGGCTGGGCTGAGCTTTTCCCACATCCACTGTGTTCCCTAAGGTCCGTCTCCGCAAACCACTCCTTGTTTGAGTACCCAATGCTCCCGTGCCCCAGTTCCTTCAACAGCCTCTCTCTACTTCCTGCATCTTCTTTTCCTTCCCTTGGCTACCTTCTCCTTTGAGAAACTCAGATGTCACCTCCTCCAAGAAGCCCTCCCTGATATAACCAGGCTGGATTAGGTGCCTCCCCTCTGTGCTCCCAGACCTCCCTCTGCCTGTCACTGTCATTGCATCACCTTGTAACTGTACATATCTGCCACTGCCACCAACTCCCACTGAACTAAGAGTGCCCTTAAATAGGGACAAACAGAATCTTTTAGCATAGTTACTGAAACACATGTAGGCTTCAGTAAATGAATGGATGCAAAATAAAGCTAATAGTATCTGGTTAGAAAAATAGATATCTTTGAGTTTTTACTAAAGTTCTAGGGATTGCAAGAATGAGCTTCCTGCCTACCTTTGCCTCTAACAGCAATGCTGCAGTTGAACCTGACAACCTGTTACCATGATGTAGAGAAGCCAATGCAACAGAAGAGAGTAATGTTTAATCTAGTCTTTGTGACTTGGCTCTCGTATCACTAAAAATTGTATTTGTGATAAGTAAATAAGAGTCATTAAACATCAAATGCAATTTAAGTGCTCCGGAAGGCATGCTCCTGGGTTTCAAAACCTCTGTGGATGTAAAGAACCCCCTAGAATAGGAGTTGGACAGTCCTGGGCTCCTGGTCAACTCCCACACTCAGTCCTTAAGGTGGAGGTCACATTGTGCTCCCTCACAGGTGGTCCAATGAGACCATGTGGGTGGAAGCACTTTGTAAACATAGGGGCTCAACAAATGCTAAATGTCACTCATGAAATTGCATCCTAAAGCAAATAAATAAGCACACTTCTTTTGTCTAAATAGCTATGTGTAGCCTTGGAGTTCTGGCTAGGGAGTCACCCAACCCCTGGTTTTGCCCCTTGTGGCAACATCTGAGATGCTGGATACAAAGTTGGATACAAAGCAGGGTGGGGTCTGTTCTGTAAAGAGCTACAGGCAGCTGAGGGCTCAGAACGGTGGACACTGTTGGAGAGACCAGAGAGGTGAAGTGAGGAGACTCCCTTCCTTCTTTCTTTCTTTTCCAGAACCCACATTGACCAGAGACTTTGCAGCCAGCTCACCCCTCCAAATCCCCGCCCTGGAGTCCCTGACCCAGGAATTTCTGCATCAGGCTGCTCAAACCTGAATTTGACAAAATTTCAAAGCGCTGTATCTTTATGTTGATAAGACAACGGATAAAGTGCCATACTTGGAACCTAGATCACTCAATGTTGCCTGTAGCTGAGTCCACTTCTGTCACTCACCCTGCATTGCCCTGCCAGGAGCAAGGGAGAGAAAGCCAGCCAGAAGGCATGGGCATGGGCTCAAATCTGGCTTCTCCTGTGGCCACTGTGAAAGTTGATCATACAAAGGTCACTGTTGTCATAGCCAAGCAGAGTTATGAGACCACAGGAAAAAGCACTTGGACCACGTAACATTGCTCCAAGAGTATAACTGTCTCCAACCCTGGCTGCTGGAACAAGTGTTGCAACCTGAAACCGGTTTGATCTAATAGCTACAGAAACAACCTGCGGAAATCTAAGACTAGTTTCACCCACTCACCAATCAGAGCTTGCCGGATCCCCAAAACGTTGCTAGTGCTAATGAACTTGCTTTCCTAACAATCCATAACATTTCTCATTTTTATGAAACCTACAACCTTCTCTTTGCTCTTTGGACATACTGAAGACCACCCAGTCTGTGTGTATGCCCCAAACTGAAATTCTTGCTCCCCAAATAAAACATTTTAAACTTAGAGATTTGTCTGTATATTTTATTTGACTTTGACAGCACCAGGGGCTCCGGCACAAATCTCCTCCTTCAAGCCCTTTTCTACACAGTCCCGTGGGTCTACCCTGAAAGAAGCCTGATGACGGCTCAAAGACACAATGTTACTGGGAGGTAAATTCAGGATTACTTGACCGAATGGCCCACCCGAGGTCACGGAGGCTGCTGGAGGAACAGAAAATGGTCTTCACCAAGTGAAGCATTGTCGGTCTTGGCCTGTGTCTGGCTGGAGAATGTTAAAATTCTGGGGACACAACAGAAAAGGCACAGTTGTGGGGACCAGGCCAATGTCAGCGTGAGAACTGGCTCCATCCCCCTCCCATGAACCAGCTCTGCGGCCAAGGCAGGTCTGCATTTCCTGGTCTGTGACACGGAGTCAGTAACATTGCCTACTTCCCGGGGCTATTTCCAGAGAAGTGAGGGAATGGGTGTGGAACGCCTGCCATCTGCGGAGCCCCGCATGAAACGTCTCTGTCTTTCCAGCCAGCCCTGAGCCAGGGAAGGGACTGGAAGCACAGCGGGTGGCTGAGGCGGGCTTTCGGCAGCTTACCCCCAGCCTTGCCCCTCCCCGCCTGCTGAAACACAATCTATGGTTGTCGCCTTCCTGGAGATGTTAGCCGCCCCCTCCAGAGGTGGTTCCAAATCTATTTCTCATTTGGCTGATTTAGGAGAGGCTGCGAATCGGTCGCTATGGTTTCTTTATTTTCTCCTGACAGCTTAGGAATCATTTTTCCAATTATTCCCAGGGGAGGAAAAAGAAGTGGAGGAAGCCAGTGTTTGGAATGAGGGGAAGCTCACGGATCTGAAATGCAACCTCTTCTGCAGGAGACCCGGCACAGCTACCGGGACCCATCACCTCCCTGTAGGAACCCCGCCCAGCCCCCTCCAGCCAGCCCTGCGTGGTTGTGGCCCCACTGCAGAAACGCCTCCGCTTAACACTCCAGCCTCTCTTCTATTCGGTCAGGCCACAGCTGCTGACTTTGTGCCTGCTGTAGCAACCCCGAGCCCCCAAATAAACCCTCCCTCCCAGGGTGGCCTCTCTACGGGGGGAGACAGACGGTGACCAAAAGCTATCAGTTAAATGCACAAACAGGACTTAGAGGGTGGAAAGTGACAAGAAGAGAAATATGGCAGGAAAAAGGGGTGGGGGTGAAATTTTACACAGAGCCATGGGGAAGGCTGCTGAGGAGGACCTGCAGGAGTGGGGGGCTCCCAGACAGGAACTGTGGCCCACTGCACGGATATGGGCAAGTTTGGAAGGGAATGAGCCACTCCAAGCCTCAGCCTTGGCCAGCCATTCTCAGGTCCAGGCAGGAAAGATGCCAGCAGTCCCACATCAGCTGAGGTGTTCAAACACAGTGGTGTCCCCTAAGCAGGGAGACTGCAGAGGGGATTCAAGCCCTGGGCAGGGGGCTAAAGTAGGCCAATCCTGGTTCTGCAACTGTCCCTGGCCCAGCAGCTTGTTGGCTGTGTAGCGTCTCAGGCACTCCCTAAAGGTCAAGGAGTCTTGGCCGAGACTTCGGCTCACCCCAGCCCAGCTTCTGCTCCTGGCCGGGAATGGTGTTTCCTAACCACACGTCCATGGAGCAGGAAGGTACGCCTCCACCCGCTCCCATTCCTTCTCCACAGCTTGCCACAGGGCAGTGCTGGGTTTAGTTCCTCTCCTTATTTAGAGCTGGGGCGTATCAGGTGTGCAGCTGGACAGGTACCAGCCAAGGCAGAGAATGCAAGTCAGCCACGGGTGGCATGTCGGGAAGCACCAGAAGGTGCCAACTTTGGCATCCAGGGCCTTCCTGGACCTGCTGAAATTTGGTCTAAATGTGCTCTTGTACCCGTGTGGAAGGGCTCAGTGCAGCCTGGGTCTGGGATTTCAGGGAGCAGAGTATGATTCTGGATGGGTGATTTAGCCGCAAGTGAGAGTTTTTACTGAGCCCAGCAATGGGCAGAGCATGGTTCTGGGGGTGGCTGGCTTGGGGGCGACACAGACAGGTAAACCAGTTGTCCGTGTGAGTGGAGGGGGCAGAAGTTGATAAGAGCAGGGAGTGACGGGCAGGGGGGTCTGGGAGCTCATTTCTCATAATTAGGTGTTTTCATGGTAGCTTTGTGCTGCCGCCGACAGAACCCCTTGTTGGGATGAACTTGTAGTGGGATGATATTTTAATCTCCCATATTCTGTTAGTTTGCCAGAGCTGCCCTAACAAAGTACCACAAACTAGGTGGCTTGAAACAATAGAAATTCACTGCCTTGCAGTTCTGCAAGCCAAAAGTCTCTGATCAAGGTGTGAGCAGGGATGGTTCCTGCTGGGGCTGTGACGGAGACTCTATTCCAGGCCTCCCCAGCTCTGGGTGGTTTTCTGGCCACCTTTGGCATTCCTGGGCTTCTAGACACGTCACCTCAATCTCTGCCTTCGTGTCCACGTGGCGGTCTCCCTGTGTGTGTGTCTGTGTCAAAATTTCCCCTTTTTATAAGGATACATTCATATTGGATCAGGGCCCACCCTACTCCAGTATGACATCATCTTAACTTATCACATCGGCAATGACCTAGTTCCAAATAAGGGTCCTTCGGAGGCACCGGGGGTTAGGACTTTGTATTCGTTTGCGGGACTGCTATAACAAAGTACTGCAGACCCAGGGGCTTAAACAATAGAAATGCATTTCTGCCAGTTCTGGAAGCTGGAAGTCCACGACCAAGGGGTCCGCAGGGCTGGTTTCTTCCGAGGCTTCTCTCCTTGGCTTGCAGAGGAACGTCTCCTCCCCGTGTCTTCACCTGGCCTTTCCTCCGGGCATGGCTATGTCCATATCTTCCCTTCTCGTAAGGACTCCAGGCAGATGGGATTACAGCCCACCCACATGACCTCATTTTAACTTAATTACACTACTTCTTTAAAGGCCCTTTCTCCAAATGCAGTCACATCCTGAGGTACAGGGGTTAGGGCTTCAACATATGGATTTTGGAGAAACACAATTCAGGTCATAAGACTTCAACATATCTTTTTGGGGGAAACAGTTCAACTCATAACACACACTGTGAAGCAGTTTTATCTCTTGCTGCAAACATTTCCTCAGCTCCCATTCTGTGCTGGGCCCCGTGCTAGAAGCCGGGGGAGCCGTAGCATCACCCTTCCAGGAGCCCCGTCTGCAATGGGTGACAGACCAGTCGTGACTGTAGCTCGTGTGACAGCTGCCAAACTAGAGGCTCAAGGGTGAGGGGCTGGGAGAGCTGAGAGGAGCCACACTCGCTCTGTGGGGAAGTGAGGCAGGAAAAGGTAACTGGACAAGGCTGACTGGGAGGTGGCCAGACCAGCAGGAGGGTGGGGGTGTTTCAGGCAGGGGGGCCACACTTGCAGACGCTCAGAAGCACCAGGGAGCCTGGCACATTCCGGAAACTGCAGCTGCTTCCTCCGAACCTTCTGGGCATCTGCGAGGCCCTCCTGACCTGGATCCCTAGCACCCCGACCCAGTTCTGTGAAGCGTGTCTCTGGGCGCTCCTGAAGGCAGGACTGAGAGCTCCTGTCCCTCCCCTTGCTCCGTTTCCATGTTCTGGGAGGAAAGAATGAATGGAAGTTGCGAGAAACTGGGCTCACATGTTCAGCAGTCGGCATTGACTGAACAGTCCTGTGCCAGGTGCCTCACTTGCCTTGCATTTTTTTTTTCAGTGTAAATCCACCCTTTATTGCCTCCAAAAAGATATTTTCTACAGCTTTACCCAGGTATAACTGACATTTAATGAAGCAGTACAATTTGATGAGTTTGACATGTCTACACCTGTGAAACCGCCCCCTGAAGCCATGTGCCCCTCTGTCGCCCGTCCCTCCTGCCCCTGCCCACCCTCTCTCTCCAGACAGACTCTGATCTGCCTCTGTCACTGTGATGAGTGTGCATTTTCTAGAAACATCTGAATGGAATCATTCTTCACACACTCTTCTCCCATCTAGTATAAGGAGGTGACGTGGAACTTTCTGAGAAATGGTCAAACTGTTTTCCAAGGGGGCTATGCTGTTTTCCGTTCCCGCCAGAGAGGAGTGGGGAGGTCAGGGGGGCAGCTGCCGTTCCGGCCAGCACTGATTGTCTGTCACTGTCGCCGTGGGCGTGTGGTGGCATCTCACTGTGGCTTTCATTTGCATTTCCTGGTGGCGAATGACTCCGAGGTTTGGTTCTCACGGCCTGCCCGTGAGGTAGGAGGTGTTGGCCCAGTTTCCCAGGGAGGAGGCTCAGGAGCAGAGCCATGGGGTAACCTGCCCGAGGCCACCCCGCCCCGAATGGGAGAACCGAAGCTGTCCCTGTTGCTCACCTTCTTCTTTCCTGAGCTGGTAGATCTCTTGTGACCCCATTAACTCTGAGCCCCACCGGGTGTCCGGTCAGGGCAAGGGACAAGCTGAGGGAGGAAGAAGGAGCCGCCAGCTTCCCCGCCCCAGGCTCTCTGTCTTCAAAAGCAGCAAACACGCCCGGCCCTCAGCATGGAGCCTGGCCAGGGGCCCCTTCTTTTCTATCAGCCTCAAGTCACTAGACGCCCATAGCGCGCTCCTCTTCTCTTCTATCAGCAGGAGCAGAGTCCCCCAGCGAAGTCTCCCCGCTCCCCACAGAGCCCCTCCAGCCCGGCTCCCTCATCCCTGGAGAGGATCCCAATCTCCTCAGAACTCACCCTCCCACGGCTGCCTCTGCTGTGGGGACTCCCGAGGCTGTGGACAAGTGGCTGGAGGCACCCCCCGTCGGAGGGGCGGGTGGCAGGAGCGCCTCTGGGGCGGGGCAGCCACCTGGGGAAGAAAAGGGGGGGCCACGGGGCCCTTGGGTGCCCGGCCCGCCCCATACACAAGGCCAGCTTCCCTCTTAGCACACAGGGCTGTGTCCCTGACACAGATTAACCAGACCCCAGAGCGGGGGAGTTGATGGCTCTGAGATAAGCTTGTGCCCCCCACCCCAAGTCATGGTGTCAAATCTAACTTAAGGGGTTTCTCAGCCAAAATGCCGTTTGCCACCAGGACTGTCCCAACAAAGGACTTTCCCTCTCCCCTTGGCTACTCTTTCTCTTGGTCTTGGTCCTTATCGCGATCCTCAGCAGCACAGGCAGGCTGTGTGTGTGTGTGTGTGTGTGTGTGTCTGCACTTGCACACGTGGTGTGCCAGCAGCTGCGGAGTCATTTGGGCCTGAGTTCTACGACTGAATCCTGTTCCCCTGCGAGGCTTTGTCCCGTTAATGAACTCTCTGTGATTCATTTCACTTCTCTGCATAATGGGCATGACACAGCCTGGAAGTTGGGCGTGATAAGTCAGTTAAAGGGGAAGTGTCATGTCCAGAGCCTCTGCCTGAGCCTGCACCAAG
Source organism: Homo sapiens (assembly GCF_000001405.40). NCBI lineage: Eukaryota > Metazoa > Chordata > Mammalia > Primates > Hominidae > Homo > Homo sapiens. The sequence continues at coordinate 9,753,235 of NC_000002.12, read as the reverse complement.
CAGGCACCTCCACAGGTTTTCTCCCCACTTGTGCCCCTTACTTTTGCCCTGGCCTGCGTCCTGAGCCAAGGGACGGAAGGGAAGGTCTGTGGGTCGGTTCCAGGCGGGGGTAGAGCCCTGAGCTGATGAGGGTTCTGAGCCTGGGGTCCACCCTGACAGTGGAGAACCTGCAATGCTGGGCCAGGAGCCTGAACTTCAGGCTGCCAAAAGTAGAGTAACTCAGCAGGGGCGAGTTCCCAGGGCCCGTGTCCCCTTCCTTCTCCTCACCTCCAATAGCAAAGGGAGGGGTCAGCGGCTGCCCGCCTGTGATAAATCCGAGAAGGAGCCCGGCCAGCCCAGATGTAGAAAACGGCCGACTTGCTCTCGGAGTTTTGTAGCTGCTTTGACTAAAAGCAGCATCACCCCCACCACACCCCAGTGCAGAGAAGTGAACCAGCGCTGAGTCACAAAGCACAGCCCCAAACCTGCCCTGGGCCACAGCCCGCCCACCGCACCCCCAGCTTCCTGAGGTTGGGTCATGGGAGCAGAGACCTGAGAGATGAGGAGGTGCATTGAGGTCTGGGAGGAGCATGCTAAGCCCATGGGATGGCAAGAGCAAAGTCCCCCAGCAAAGGACAAGAGAGCGGCCAGGGCAGCCGTGCCCGAGACTGAGCCTGGAGGGTGATGGGCAGCAGGGACTGTCCGGAGCCTTGTTGGCCAAGGATGAGTTCAGTTCTCATCTGAAAGCCACCAGAAGGTTTTAGGCTGGGGAAGGGCAGGATCTCATGCTTTAGAAAGGCACTGCTGGCTGGGCGCCGTGGCTCATGCCTGTAATCTCAGCACTTTGGGAGGCCAAGGCGGGCGGATCACGAGGTCAGGAGTTCGAGACCAGCCTGACCAACATGATGAAATCCCATCTCCACTAAAAATACAAAAAAAATTAGCTGGGCATGGTGGCACGCGCCTGTAATCCCAGCTACTCAAGAGGCTGAGGCAGGAGAATCGCTCGAACACAGGAGGCGGAGGTTGCAGTGAACCAAGATCACACCACTGCACTCCAGCCTGGGTGACAGAGCAAGATTCCGTCTCAGAAAAAAAAAAAGGAAAGAAAGAAAGGAAGGAAGGAAGGCACTGCTGGCTGCGTGGTGGAAACCAGTCTGCTGGAGGGCAAGAGTGGAAGAGGCCATTGCAGTCACTCAGGCCAGCGGAGACGTGGGTCTGGCCGGGCCACGGCAGTGGAGGCGGGAGGAGCGTAGGGTGCAGGGTGCATATTCTGGCTGCAGAGCGGGGTTTCTTGGGGCGCTGCTACCGACATTTTGGACTGGAAGACACTTCACTGTGGGGTCTGGCCTGTGCACTGTAGGGTATTTAGAAGCATCCCTGGCCCCAATCCACTAGAAACCCATAGCCCTACCCACCCCCAATTATGACAATAAAACATGTCTCCAGACATTGCCAAATGTGCCCTGGGGGCCACGGTCCCTCTGGGCTGAGAACCACTGCTGCAGAGCCTGCAGAACTCAGGGCTAGATTGTGCATGGATTTGGAGCGAAAGAGAGAAAACAAGCACCACCAGGGGTTTCTCATCTCAGCAATTAAGTGGGGCAGTTACTGAGTTCAGGAAGCCTTGGAGCCAACGGCCGCTGTCAGGTTGAACACTGGAAAACAACATTGGAAACTACAGTCTGGAGCTCAGGGAGTATCTGGGTTGAAGGGAGAGACGGGAATGTTGCTGGGGTGCAGCTCTCCAGGGACAGAGTGTGGACGGAGAAGAGCCAAAGAGACAGCTCCAATGTCACAGCCTCAGAAAGAGCGGACACCAGGCCAGTGGGCCTCACAGGAGCCAGGGGAGACACTTGCAGGAGCAGGAGCAGGAGCGGTCTGCTGGGTCAGATGCGGGGATGTCTGAGTAGCATGCGGACAGTGAGCTGGGTGAGGAAGGAGGGAAAAGCTAAGCCCCTTCCCAGCTGCAGGCTTCCTACCTGCAGCAAGCTCAAGACAGCAGAGGCAAGAAGACTTCATTTTCACTCAAATTCAGGACGGGACATTTAACCTTCCTGCAGTGAGACAGTTTTTATTAACTAAGAGCAACCAGAAACGTAATAGGATTGCCTGAGTTTGCAGCAGTGGCCGAGAAGAGGTGATTCCCCTGACTAAATCAGGACAGAGGAAGGAGTTGCTTTGTGATTTGATCCTGAAAGTGCTGCTAATTCAACGCATTGGCCACATTTGGTCTGTAGGCACAAGGCCAGGGTTGAGAGAGCTGCTGATGGGGGACCTGTGATGGCCTGGAGCCCAGCCCAGCCTGTCAGCTGTAGGTGGGACTTCCCAGACCCGTCCAACCCAAAGCTCCACCACAGAGAGGAGACAGCCATGAACTTGAGTACAGGTAAAACAAAGCAGAATTAGTGAGTGCTACCATCAACCTACATGCTGAACACTGGGGAGAATAGAGGAGGAAGCCACGAGTCTGACAGGGGTGAGGAAGGGTGGAAACCAAGGAGGGCTGCTCTGAGGAGGTGACACTTAAACTGGGCCTTGAAGGGAGAATTTCAACAAGCAGAGAAAGGAAATCATTTTTTGTGAGTTTTTAGGGTACTCCCTCCAGTAACTCCCCTCTCCCCCAACTCAAATGGACTATTGTGATATGGCCAGAACAAAGCTAGGCACTTTCTTATCTAGATTTTTCCATTTCACATGCAAAAGAGAAAAAAAAAATCACCTCTGATTTTTCTCCTTGGGATGTTTCATTCTAAAAAACTAATTCATTCAACATTTATTTATTAAGCACCAACTACATACCAGGCACGATTAGCATTCTGTGTTTTAACTCACTTATCCTCCGTAGTCCATGGAGGTGCGTACCAGTATTATCCCCATTTTACAGATGAAGCAACTGATGGACAGAGAGATTAAGTAACTTGCCCAAAGTCTCACAGCAAGTACCTGCAGAGCTGGGATTTGGGCCCAACTCTAATAGTTGGGGTCCAGAGTCTGAGAGCTGCACCATTACTGTCCGTGGCCCTTTCTTTCATGGAAAACTCAGGGCGATTGGCCATTTGCAAAGGAGGAAGAAAATGCACCTGCCGCTTCTTTGATCATCTTCCATGAACAGGTGCAATACTTCCCCGGGTCTGAGGCCAGTTCCTCAGTTCATTCATCCCACCTGTTCCATGAACAGGTGCAATACTTCCCCAGTTCATTCCATGCCACCACAACTGGCTTCATGGCTCTAGTTTGTGGTCAAAGCATCTGCTCCCACCACTTCTGGGGCTAAACTGGGAAAAGCGAAAGCCAATGTAGCAGGCCTGGGGCAAGGGCTGATCTCTCCTGGAAACCAGGAGACAGCTTGGAGAGCTTGGGCTCCAGACAGGTATCTATCACAGGCCAGTTGGGCTTCCCTTGCAGAACCTATGGGAACCTGCAGGATGAATTAGCTAAAACTCCCCGTGGCCACTCCAATGCTAAAAGCCATATAGCTGGTCCTCTCAGCCTCCCGTGACTTCTCTCTTGTCCACATGCCCCGCTGGGTCCTCCCAGCCACCCGTGCCCTGCCATGCAATCAGGCGTCCAGCTCCTGCTGACCTTCCTGTCTCCCCTCCATCACCTTATTTCAGGTCCTCAGCATTTCTCACCCAAGCAGTTGCAATAACTTCCTAACCAGTTTCCCAGTCTCCAGGCCTGCCACCCCCTAACTCCCAATTCATTTCTTAAAGTGAAGCTTTATTGTACAGCTTCCCCTCTGAAGAAACTTTGGTGGCTCCCCAATATCCTACTGAAATAAGTATAAACTGCTCAACTTGGCAATCAAGCTCGCGTTCATCCATCCCAGGCCACCAGCCCCCTCTCTTACTGATCCCCTCCACCTCCTCTGATCTGTCCTTACCCATCCCCTTGCTGCCCCTACCCCCCACGATCAGCCCCACAGCTTTCTCTCCACCTCTCCATGTCTGAATCTGTTATGATCCAGCTCAAGAAAGACTTCTTGGACCATCCTAGATGAAAGCAATCACTTGCTTTGAATTTCTGAGGCTCCTTTCATCAGGTATATATTGCCTTGTTTGATTCTCCAGACACCCATGAGTTGCCTAATGCCACCCTGGTGTTCTTCTCCCTGCCCTACATAGGCTGGGCACAGAGGCAGTGAGAACAGCATGACACAGGCTTTGGGACCACCAAGCTCTAGCTCTGTCATTTGCAAACAGCTTTACCTGGAGTAAGTCTTGAAATACCTCCTGTAACATTTCCTCTTCTGTTAAGTAGGAATAGAAAACTACTTCCCACGCTCTACGAGAATTAAATGGGGGCAATGCATGTAAATGCTCAACAAATGACTAGGACGAGAAGGGAAGGCCCAAGGCAGATAACCTCCCCTCTGTTCTTTCACATTCGCATCTATAGTTTCACAGGGTTTTTTTCCTCCTAGTAAAATTAGATCCTGACACATATTCAAGGAACACTCTGCAGCTGTTTCTCCAAGAACAGAGAGCCTGGGGATGCCCCATCTTCAGCCCATCAAGCCCCAAGTGCTTAGTCACCTGCTTAGCCCAGACATGAGGGATGCCATAAAGAAAAGCAAACAATAACACACCCGTGACAAAGCCATTTACTAAATTAGTAGGGGCAGGGAGCATACAACCCTGAAAGAGCGATTAAACCTTGCATTTGCTCCAAGCCTATTCCTTTTCCACATCTGCATTTGCCAGGTCATCTCTTCCTGACAGTCTTATCCTTTTTGTGCCATGGACCCCTTTGGTAGTTTGGTGGCTGCCAATAATGAATCAAATAAAATAATACATAGAATTACTGTCTTAATCTGTATTCTGTTGCTACAACAGAATATCACAGACTGGGTAATTTGTTTTTTTAAAGAAAGGTTATTTAGCTCACCGTTCTGGAGGCTAGGAAGTCCAAGAACATGGCACCAGCCCTTGGCGAGGGCCTTTGTGCTGCATGACGATGCATCCCAGCAAAGGACATGGTGACAGAGCAAGAGCAAGATAGCCAGAGAGCTCCATTTTATAACAAAATCACTCCTGTGATAATGAACCTACTCCTATGATAGTGACATTGATCCATTCATAAAGGCAAAGCCCTCATGAATCCATTAATCCATTCAAGAGGGCAAAGGGATTAGGTTTCTAAAGCCCTAACTTCTGGGGGACACATTCAAAACATAGCAATTATGAAATAAACCAGCTACTATATGTTGAAAGACAGTGGCTCATGCCCTTAATCCCAGCACTTTGGGAACCTGAGGCGAGAGGATCACTTAAGCCCAAGAATTCAAGGTTGCAGTGAGCTGTGATCACACTGCACTCCAGCTGGCAACAAAGTGAGACCCTGTCTCCGTACATACATACATACATACATACATAAAATATATTTCTGAAAAGCTGAGGAGTCTGTGAGAATTGAAATTAAGTAGGCAGGGTTTATCCTCAAGCCTGATGTGACTTCTGTCTGAGTTGTAGAATAAGGGGCCACGTTTAAAACTAAGTAAGAACTAACAGGCAGCTTCATAAACATTTCAGAATCCCGTGACCCATGAAGTGAAGTGAATTGACTCTCTGGGGGTAGGGGAGGGGTCTCTGAAGATGCTGTGACCATCAGCCACATCTTCCCCAGGGCTGGGGGCATGAGCAGCCTTGGCCAAGCGGGGGGACATCCCAGTGCCAGGCCCTGGGATAGAGACACAAACCCACTGTGACACCTTTCACTCCAACAGACCTGCTGCATTCTGTGCTGTGCAGGGCCAGCTTCATGCCCATGTGACCTGCAGAGTTGTACAGAGCCCCGCACTTCCAAGGCTCCTGTAATTAGTTTAATGTTGTCATCATGTTAAAAAAATTTTTTTTATTTTTTGAGATGGGGTCTTTCCGTCGCCCAGGCTGGAGTGCAGTGGTGCAATCATGGCTCACTGCAGCCTCCACCTCCCCAGCTCAAGTAACCCTCCCTCCTCAGCCTCCCAAGTAGCTGGGACTACAGGTACATGCCAACACACCCAGCTAATTTTTAAATTTTTTGTTGAAATGGAGTCTCACTCACTACATCGCCCAGGCTGGTCTCAAACTCCTGGACTCAAGTGATCCTCCCACCTTAGCCTCCCAAAGCACTGAGATTACAGGCATGAGCCACTGAGCCCTGCCAAAATTCCTAATAATTTTTGAACAAGGGGCCACACATTTCATTTGGCACTGGGCCTCCCAAACTGTGTAGCCTGGTCCTGATGCCATGACAGGAGGTTTGCCTTGTGGGTCACAGGAGGAACACTCTGCCTTCCAGAACCCCTGAGATCAGGGGGGGCAGGTTAACATGAGGACGGGTCCTTTGGATAACTGGCTGAGCCTCCCCAGGTGAGAGTTCCACACCAAGGACTTAGGACTAGGCCTAGGACTAAAATGGTAATTAGTACGAGAGCTGTGCTTATTATTAATTTGAGGTTGTTTGTTTGGAAAGCTCATGGTAAAGGCAACAGTAGGGCGATGTCTAGATCAAAGAAGAGGAATGTAATGGCCACCAGGAAAAACTTTATAGAAAAGGGGGGTTGCCTGGATTATCTGGCACTGCCCCAGGAAAAGCTTGGGAGCAGATGGCTCTCCCACCCCCACTCAGAGTAGACGACAACTCCTTGGGCTGCCCAGACTGAGGGAAATGTCACTTAAGAGTGGCCAGGCCTCTCTGCTTGGATTCTATGCTCCAGGGGGGCGCCCAGTGATCCCATTTCCCGGCCCTCACAGCCTGCTCTTGGAGTGTGGACTCAACTCAGTAAATACAGCCACAGTGATGGGATGTCACTTCTGAGGTTAGGTTATAAAGGACACAGCAGCTTCTGTTTTAGTGGCACTGTCACTTGCTCATTACCAAATCACTTACTCTGGGGAGTCAACTGCCCTGGAGACACCTATGTGGAGTCTGGAGGTGGCTGGGGGTCCTTGGGGGCCCTAGCCAACAGCCATCCTGGAACTGAGGACACCAGCCACCAGCCATGGGAGTTCCCCATCTTAGAAATGGATCCTCCGGCCTTCCGGGATTTCAATGATGCAGATCTAGCCAACGACTTGACTGCAGCCTCGCAGGAGAGTCCGAGCCAGAGGTACCAGCTAAGCTGGGCTTCCGACCCTCAGAAATTGTGTAAGATCATAAAGCTGTTGTAAGCTGCTAGGTTTTGGGGTACTCACTATGGGTCCATAGGTAATGCATCAGCCTCCAATTTCTCACTGCCCTACCCCCACCCCCAGCGGTCCTGAGCCCCTAGAAGAAGAGCCGGGACGTGATCCACGTGGTCACTCCAGCATGGCCAAGCACAGGCAAGCATCTGCAGACTTCTGGAAGGAATTGCGGCGAAGCATCTTCGAAGGATGTTAGAGGCCCCCAGGTGAAGATAGAACCAGAGGATAGGATTTGCTTCAGTAAAGGTGATTGGGATCATTGTTTTCTTCTTCAGGTGCTCTGGCCAGGGAAAAGATGAAATTCACACCTGTTATATTCACTTATCAGCTTAATTCTCTCCAGGTAAATATTATGAAGTTGTAATATGATCCTGTGGCCCCTGTTCAAGAATTTCGGCTCATGCCTGTAATCTCAACACTTTGGAAGGCCAAGGTGGCAGGATCACTTGAACGAGACTCTGTCACTATAAAAAAATTTTTAAATTAGGTGGGTGTGATGGTGTGCAGCTATAGTCCCAGCTACTCTGGAGGCTGAGGTGGGAGGATTGCTTGAGCCCAGGAGATCAAGGCTTATCTAATATTTACAAAGCACCTACTAAGTACCATGCACCTAATCCTTATAAAAGCCCTGGGAGGTGAAATTGCCAATCTCATTTTTGGATGAAGAAACTGAAGTCAGAGGACAAGGAAGTTGCCAGGGTTGCAAAGCTAGTGAGTGGTCCAAAAGGAATGCACACCCAATGTGCCCTGATTCCCAGTTCTAGGCCTTTCCATGGCACTGTGCTTCTTCACACAGTGGGTGTGGGGAGGAAAGGGGATGGCGGTAACAGGGGGAGGCACCACTTCTCTAAGGTGGTGGGAAGGGAGAGACATTTCTGGATTCATGAGGACACCTGTTGGCTTTCTCCTTGGACCCTTTCCCCTCCTGCTGCAAAATAGACAGGACACTCACAGGGGACCAAGAGTCAGGGCAGCCACCAGCGCCAATGGTGCTGCCTGCAGAAGGGGCTGAGCTGGGCTAAAGGCCCCACTGAGGTGGCCCAGGGAGTGACCTTGAAGATAGAAGTCGGCAGAAGAGGGGGATGGGGAGGACTGTGGTGGGGAAAAGACAGACCTTTGTTCTCAGGTGCTCCAGGAGGGATAACAGGACTGTGAGGTGCGGTGACAGGAAGGCAGGGTCGCAGGCAGGGTCACAGGCAGCATAGCTGTCGGCTTTCCAAAAATCAGAGCTGCCTGTAGACAGGCTCCCCTGGAGGCGGGAGCTCCTGTGGCAGGTGTGGACTCCAGCTTGCACAGCCTCCTGCCGGGATTGCAGAGGGGTCACCCTCCAGTGGGACAGGCTTCCAACATTCTTCAGACACTTTCTTAACATTTTATGAAACCATTTTATTACAAAGCCTCACATGATCATGATTAGGCTTTTAGTATCCGTAATTGAGAAAATGTGCAAGAATGAAAAGCCACTATAAATTTCACATTGCCTTTCCAAGGATATATTTTATTGAATATGACAGCATCTGCAGATGTGTTTAAAATGGTCATAAGTACAGGGCAAGGCTTGGACTGGGGCCAATCCTCCGTCGGGCAGAGAATCATGGGGCAAAGGACCTGGTGGTGAACACCTCCCCCACTAGACCAGTAGCCGGGTGGCTTGGGGCTGCATCTCTGCTGAGTCCCTGAGCAGATCAAGACCGGCTTCAGTTCCTGTCCCGGTGCCAGAGGACCCCTCCTACAGCAGCCTGCCCCAGGAGAAGAGTTCTTCCTGCAGGAAGTTCATGGTTCCCAGGCAACCCTCAACAAAGCCGGATCCCTGCAGATGACCCCTCTCAGCCTGCCCACCCAGAAAGGGAGCCCACAGCCCCTGGACTGGCCACCCCCACCATCGTCCGACCTGCTGAGGGATGTGATGAGAACAACTGTTTTACACTGAGGCCTTGTCACATGCCAGGTGCCTTGTCAAGCTCTTTGCATGCAGTAGCTGATTTACACCTCCATTACCTGGGTAGGATTATTCACCTCATTCTACCGACATGGAAACTGAGGCACAGAGAGGCTACGTTACCTGCCCAAGGGAATATAACTAATAAATAGCAAAGCTAAGGTTTTCATTCAGACACAGACAACTCTGGAGCCTGTGCTGTTCATCTCTAGGCAGGAATAAACTAAGAATTTGGGGCGTTTTATGCTGCAAGTATTGAAAAGCCTAAAACTCCCCAACCCAGTGGACATTCCCTGTGGCTGCTGTGAGGAGGAACCACAAACTGAATGGCTTAGAACAGCACAAACGTGTCCCCTCACACACTGGAGGCTAGAAATCTGACATAGGAATGTCAACGGGGCTGTGATCCTGCTGAAGGCTCTAGGGGAGGACCCTTCCTGACTTTTGTAGCTTCTGGTGTCATCAGCAGCCGCTGGCATTCCCTGGTTTGCAGGTGCCTCACTTCAGTCTCTGCCTCCCTGTGTGGCTCTCTCCCTGGTGTGTGGTGTCTCTGTCTCTTCTCCTCTTCATATGACATCAATCTTTTTTGGAGTTAGGGTCTGCCTTACTCCAGTATGACTCCATCTTCACTAATCACATCTGCAATGACCCTATTTCCAAATAAGGTCACACTCTGAGGTTCATGAAGAACATGAATTCTGGGGGGACGCTATGCAATCCAATGCACCCAACAATATCATTCAAGATAAAAATAGTCAACAACTTTATAAGAAGTGTAAGAAAAGTCCAGAAGGCTTCTAATTTTTTTCCTATGATGAATTTGATTTTTAAAAACAATTTTTGGTCAGGTGTGGTGGCTCATGCCTGTAATTGCAGCATTTGGGAGGCCGAGGCAGGAGGATCACTTGAGGCCAGGAGTTTGAGACTAGCTGGGGCAACATGGCAAAACCCTGTCTCTACTAAAAATACAAAAATTAGCTGGGCGTGGTGGTGCGCACCTGTAGTCCCAGCTACTCGGGAGGCTGAGACAGGACAATCCCTTGAACCCAGGAGGCGGAGGATGCAGTGAGCCGGGATCTAGCAAATGAACTCCAGTCTGGGTGACAGAACTCCGTCTCAAAAAAACCCAAACAATTTTTGTCAGGAAAAAAAATGTTTTCACTGTTGTTGCTGGCCTTGCTGGTGCCCTAAGCGCATGCTCACTCAGCCTCTTGGAAGCCATCATGGAGGAATGGTGACACTCAAGAAAGTGTGTCCTCTCAGTGAGCAGCCCCAGGCAGGGGCGGTAGAGCAGTTTCCACAGCCCCTCTTCCTGGGACCCCGCTCGTCCCAGCACCACTTGGCCTCATTGAGGACTGCTGTCCTGGCTTTCTCACTGTTCACATGTTGCCAGCAAAGCTGCCAGCTCTCTCAGACCCCACGTGTGGCTGCAGACCCCTGGCCCCAGCTGGACATCTGGAACTTAGGACCAAGACATGTCAGTTCAGTCTTAACTAATAACTTGAATGGAGAAGCTGCATTTTTTTTTTTTTTTTTTTGAGACAGAGTTTCGCTCTTGTCACCCAGGCTGGAGTGCAGTGGTGAGATCTCGGCTCACTGCAACCTCCACTTCCTGGGTTCAAGTGATTCCCCTGCCTCAGCCTCCCGAGTAGCTGGGACTACAGGCGCCTGCCACCATGCCCGGCTAATTTTTTGTATTTTTAGTAGAGACAGCGTTTCACCATGTTGGCCAGGCTGCTCTTGAACTCCTGAAGTCAGGTGATCCACCTGCCTCAGCCTCCCAAAGCGTTGGGATTACGAGAAGCTAAATTTTGGGAGCAGTGGTGACTACATGTCATGCCACATGGACAGAGAAGGAGGAAAATCTCATCTCCAGGAAAAGAAAAATGCAGATTCACAAAGAGAAGCCAGGATGAGACTCAGGTGGAGCCGAACCATGAGTTCCCATTGCTCCTGAAAGCCAGCTCAGTTCTTACCCTCAGATTCTGGGAGACACCCCCAAATCCTTACAAGAATTCCCCTTTGCAGTTTGAAGATGGATTTCTGGAACCTGTAACTAAAATAGTCCCAACAACTGACCCCACCCATAAACCAAGCACAGGTGCAGGCCAGAGGCACAGCTGAGTGCCTCCTCCAAGTGGCATCTCCAGTGACCTTACACTGGTTCCTGAGATGGCCCCAAGTGAAGTACAGCAAAGGAAACCTCAGGACAAGACATGTCCCGATCCATCACTGGAGCCTGAGGTCCTCTTTCTGGTTAAACACGTGAGGCAGGTGCTACTCTTCTCCTTCCTGTATGGATGAGAAGGGCTCAAAGGGTTAAGTAACATGATTGAGGTAACACCAAGGTGAGTACATTTGCCTTAGTCCATTTGCATTGCCATAAAGGATATACCTGAGCCTGGGTAACTTATAAAGAAAAGAGGTTTCTTTGGCTCATGGTTCTGCAGACTGTACAACAAGCATGGTGCCAGCATCTGCCTCTGGTGAGGGCTTCAGGCTGCTTCCACTCATGGCAGAAGGCAAAGGGAAGCCGGTATGTGTAAGAATCACATGGGGAGAGGGAAAGCCAGAGAGAGGAGGAGGAGGTTCCAGGCTCTTTAAACAACCAGCCTTTGAGGGAACTAATAGACCAAGAACCTACTCATTATAACAAGGACAAGGACAGTACCAAGACCTTCATGAGGGATTTGTCCCCATGACCCAAACACCTCCCATAGGCCCCCACCTCCAGTATCGGGGATCAAATTTCAACATGAGGTTTCGGGAGACAAATATCCAAACCACAGTAGCATTACAGCCAGAATTCCAAGTGTGGCTGACTCCAGCCGGTGTATCTGTTGTTGTTCACACGTTACACCCATGAGTCGTCATCCATGCCACCTACTACCAGTGGACAATGACCTCGTGGTGCATGTACCCTCAGTGATCCATCTGGCCACTGCAGAGACAGGTGAGCTTGAAAAGGGGCCACCATGGCCACAAATCAGAAAATGCAGGATCACAAATGGAATTGTGGGATACAATTCTTTGGCATAGAAAGGGCCAGGCAAAATTATGACACAGTGCATTAATAATTAATTAGTGCTTAATCAGGAGCTCTACATAGCAGTTCATTACCCAAGGACACTCCCCATTATAACTGTAGCAAATGGGTCTGGGCAGGCAGCCCTGCCAGCCTCTTTTGAGGCTCACCAGTGACTTTGAGGCTCCCCTTCCAGGGCTGAGGTCACTAACCTCCCCTAGACCTGGCGACCAGTAGCTGGTGTAAGAGGTCCCCAAGAACAGGGGTGATCTGACTCACCCTGGAGAAATTTAAGACACGCTGGGAAGGCAGAGCCCTTGCTTAAAAATAACTCCTCAGATTTCTGCAGTGGCGGTACCATAGCCAATGAGGTTTGCCTGAGACATGATTATTGCTAATTGAAAACTTTTCCCTATAGCTTGTCATGACAACTTGAAATATAATTGGCATCGAGAATTTTTGAGACTCTCTACAGAGGCTGAACAACCAAAAAAACATAAAAATTTAACTCCTCCTCAGCTTCACTTTGGCACAATGCCAGAAGGACCTCTATTAAGTTGTGCACATTTGTGCAGCCCCCCACCCCCCAACTTCAAATACAAATGCCCATCAGGGAGCTAAAACCTTCTGCATTCGTTGGTTGGAGGAGTCCCCACTAGGGTATGAGTGTTGAGGGTGTAGGGGCAGGAACCACATGTGAGTCGTTGTTGTATTTGCCACACTATGTGACAGGTGGGTGGATGGATAGATGGGTGGATGGGTGGGTGGGTGGGTGGGTGGGTGGGTGGATGGGTGAATAGATGGGTGGATGGGTGGGTGGATGGGTGGATGGATGGGTGGATGGATGGGTGGATGGGTGGGTGAATGGATGGGTGGGTGGGTGGGTAGATGGATGGATGGATGGGTGGGTGGATGGATGGGTGGGTGGGTGGGTGGATGGATGAGTGGATGGATGGTAGGATGGATGGATGGGTGGGTGGATGGATGGGTGGGTGGATGGGTAGATGGATGGATGGATGGATGGATGGGTGGGTGGGTGGGTGGATGGATGAGTGGATGAATGGATGGATGGGTGGGTGGGTTGATGGAGAGACAGGAGTGAAAAATACACAACAGAGGGAGAGGAAAATCACAGTCTATCCTTGCTTGTTTCCAGCAAAGAAGAACGTAGCTCCTGACTGGCTGCCACATATGTGTCTGAGCAGCGAGTTCCAGGGACCTTCTCAGTGATGCCGATGGCCTCTCCAGGCAAATAGCGCAGGCCTGGCCGGTATCCAGAAGGAACTCCAGGCTGCCTCTCCTTCCCGGACGCACACCCTCCCCTGGGGAAAGACCCCAGACAGAGCCCGCGGGGCCTACAAATAGCAGAGTCCCTGGCTCTGAGCACAGGCAACGGAGAGGGGACGGGAAACGGGACTCGGGCGCCAAGTCACTCCCCTGCCTCGCCCTGGCGGAAGGGCAGGCGTCACACCTCTAGGAGGAAGGCAGATGTGAGAGGGCTGAGCCCTTCCGGGGGCTCAGAGGATCAAAGGCACTGACATCCTAAGAGAATTGGAAACCAGAAACAGGGCCGGGCGCGGTAGCGCACGCCTGTAATCCCAGCACTTTGGGAGGCCGAGGCGGGCGGATCACGACAGAGCGAGACTCCGTATCAAAAAAAAAAAAAAGAAAAAACAAAATAGAAACCGGAAACAGGATGAGCTGGGTCTGCAGAAGCGGCGTGTGGGACCCATTCCCCGCAAGGGCTTTGTGGATAGGAACCCAGCACAGACTTCCCTCTTATCAACAGGACCGAGGCATGAGAACACGAGGGTCAGCCTGGGCTCCCTGACCGCAGTCTCCTCAGAAGGGAGTCTGGACAGCGAGTCTTGCCTCTGCTGCTCCTCTGGGGCCTCCTGATGCCTGGCAGGGAGAGGAGCCACCGTGTGAGGGTTTCTGAAATTAAACTGTTCTCAGAGTCGCAGCTGTCAGGAAGGGACAGCAAGAGCCAGCTGACAGGAGCCTGAATCTTTCCAACGCAATCCATCTAGGATGGGAAAAGAAAGACCAATTTCCAGCCTTGCCAGACTCCTAGGGATGGGCTGAGCATGCAGACTCTGTCACTCACCAGCCGCTGACCTTGGCCAAGCACCTCATTGTCTCTGAGTCTTGGTTTCCTTATTCATAAAACGATAAAAGTCCTGATCTCACAAGGCTGATGTGGGAGCCAGAAATAGCGATGCTGTGTGACAGGCCCGCAACCCTTCCAGTTCCTCTCCCTCACCAGCAAGCCAGAGGCCTGTTTTATTCAGGGTTTCTGGCAGCCACATGCTTCAGGAGAAGCAGGACTCCCTGGGAGCCTAGCACAGTGTCTTGATTGGTCTAAGCCAGTCACGGTGACCCAGTGATTAGTTTATGAACGGGCGTGTAACTTCATTCTGACTAACAAGACACGAGAGGAAGTGTCTGGATGAATTTGGGGAAAGTTTCCCTTACTCTTAAAAAAAGAGCTATAAAGAAGGGGCTTTCTCTCTTTCTGACCTTTGGGTGTGGTTGGGTGAGAACATGATACTTAGAACTGCTGCAGCCATATTGTGACATAAAGGGATAATACCCAACATAAAAGCCAAGAGGCTAACGATGGCAGAGTGTCGAGATGAAAAGAAGCCAAGTCCTTGGTGACAGCCTTGAGCGGTTGAATTAATTTCCCTTGGGATGTCCCCAACTTGAGACATCTCATTAAGTGAGAGAATGCTGTCCCAAGGTCAGAGACACGGGACAGTGGGGGTCAGGGGCAAAGGCTCTAGAGCTTGACTGCCCAATCCACCACCACTACTACTGAGGACTTTTGGCTTGTTTATTTTCTCTCTCTTCTCAGTTTCCTCATCTGTGAAATGGGGATGGTGATAATAACCGTATCTGGTTTATGAGATCATTGTGAGGATTTAAGGGGTTAATGTGTAGAAAGTATTCAAATCGCGTCTGGCACATGGTAAGTGTCATGTAAGTGTCAGCTATGACTATTGCAAGCCATTTTGACTTTTTCTGTTATTTATATCTCAAAGTATCCTCTTAAAGTCCTCATGGAATAGGTGCTTGGTCAGTAGTAGCTGTGTGTTCACAAGTTTCTGGGCTGAACAACTGTGTGCGCCACTGTATGTGCACAGAGATAGTACTAATGCAAATGTCCCAAGGAGCTTCTCGAGTGGACATCACTGGACTCCTGCACCCCATCCCCAAGGGGAGCTTCTGCAGGAGGGGAATAAGCAGAAAGCAGGAGAAGGCATTCCAAAGTGCCTGGTGGGGACTGGGGGAGTGGAAGTGGGGGGCACTAGGAGGAGTGGGGAGTACCAGAGGAAGTGGGGGGCACTAGGGGGAGTGGGAGGTACTAGGGGGAGTCAGGGGTACTAGAGGGAATGGGGGTACTAGGAGGAGTGGGGGGCACTGGGGGAGTGGGAGGTACTGGGGGAGTAGGGGGCACTAGAAGGAGTGGGGGTTACTAGGACGAGTGGGGGTACTAGAGGGAGTAGGGGGTACTAGGGGGAGTGGGGGATAGTGGGGGAGCCAGGGGTACTAGAGGAAGTGAGGGGTTACTGGGGGAGTGAGGAGTACTAGAGGGAGTAGGGCACTAGGGGGAGTAGGGGGTACTAGAGGAAGTGGGGGGTACTAGGGTGAGTAGGGCACTAGGGGGAGTTGTGGGACATTTGGACAGAGGCCAAATGCACAAAACCTATTCCAGAAAGAGCCAATACACTGGCTCAGCTGAAGAAGAGCCTGGGGATGGAAGAGCAAGGAGAGACAGTCCCGGAAGTGCAGGCAAGGCTGAGAACGGGCCGGCCTCGAATGATGAAGCGTTAGGATTCCGTCTTACAGGGCAGCAACACCAAAGGTTTCTGAGCAGGGCAGCCTCGGCAGTGTGGCTCAGGGGAAGAGCTGCTCACCATCTGCATTCATCTGCTCAGGCTGCCATAATACAACACCACAGGCTGGGAGCTTAGGCAACAGAAATCTATTTCCAAACCAGTCCTATTGGATTAGGTAACTGAGGTCACACTTATAACCGCCATTAACATTAGTTACCTCCATAAAGGCCCTATCTCCAAATACAGTCAGTCCTGGGTAGGATCTTCAATGCGTGCATTTGGGAGACAATTTGGTCCACAGCACCATCACTCTTTGGGATGAGCTCTAGAGGTGGATGTGGGAAACAGACACCGAATAGGAAGCTGCTGTCTTAGCCCAGGTGCAGAAAGAAGGAGGGGGCTTCTGAAGGCAGAAGGCAGCAGTAGACACAGAAAGGAAGGTGAGCATAAGAGCTGCTGAGAGGGAGGAATCTCCTCACACAGTTCAACACAGTAACTGCTATGTGACCCAGCAATTCCACTCCCAAGTATCTACCCAAAAGAATGAAAATTAGGGACCCACACAGGTACTTGTACACTCACGTTCATAGCAGCATTATTGACCATAGCAAAACAACCCAAATGTCCTTCAACAGATGAATGGATACACGAAACGTGGCATATTCACATAATGGAATATCATTCAGCCATAAAAAGGCATGGAATTCTGACACATGCTAGAATGTACATAAACCTTGAAAAGGTAGGGACAGAAAGGGGTGATCCCCTTTCTCCCCATCATAAAGGGTCACAGCCAACACCCCTACAACAAAAAGCATGTTAACAAGAGAAAATCATAACAAAGGTATTATGTGCACAGATGTGCAAGAGTGTTTACAAAACATGAACTCGAAGAGGGACCAGATGGTTGAGGCTTAATGCCCTCTTCATAACAGAGAGGGGAGTGGGGAAATGACTAGGCCCAATGCTCAGACAATGGTTAGTAATTGATTCTCTTTCAGAGCTAGATGGGACAAGTTACAGGAAGGTGAGAGGCAGAGCTGCACAGGAACAAATGTCTTACTGTGCAGATAAAGATCTCCAGGTGATCTCTGGGGTGAGCTTCCTTCCTTGAAGACAAGGACTCAATGTTTTCATTTCTACATCCTCAGAGTTGGTGCAGGTCCTGGCATGGGTGGACCTCTGCAGTTGCTTAATGGATCCATATAATCCAACTAAATTCATACAAGGGCAGGCCCAGCAGGTGTTCCAACAGAGTCAGTAGGGGACGTGCTAGATGAGCATAAGGAAGTTAAAGAAAGTTTCTCCAGAAAAGATAATAGTGACATTGTAGTTTCTTGGAAGAGGTGCCATTTGCCCCAGGCCTTGAAATATGACAGTCATGTGGGATAAAATTATGATACAACATCCCCTATTTAGGGGTCAGGCTTCTTCCCCTAAACTACTTCTGCAGTTTTGCCCCTCAAGCTTGATGATAGGTATTTCTGAAGTTGCAGAGAACTGTTCAGTATTAGAGCAAATCCATCCCACACTTCTTCCCAGAGCACCCAGAAAACAAAGACCGCCTTGGTGGAGGGGAGGTCTAGGAAGAGGGAATGGACAGGGACATGGGTCCCCTAAACAAGGCAGAGTGAGCTTCTGGAAACATGAACCTGCTCACATCACCCCTCTCTTCTCTCCCCCTTGCCTGTGCCTGAGTCATAAACCCTTGGCCTAACATTTGAGGTTCTTTACCATCTGGCTTGTTTTGGCCTCTCCATTCCAGCACCACCCTGCCCCAAACCACAAAGCCCCATCAGACCACTTCCCCACTTTGGCAAACATGCTAAGCTCTTCTGTGTCTCTGCACTTCATCGTGTTATTCCCTTAGCTTACAATGCTTTTCCCCACCTCCTTTACACCTGAAAACCCTACTTGTTCTTCAAGTTCCTCCTCTGTAGTCCTATTTTGATGCCAAGTCCATTCCTGTTTCGTCTGGGCTTCCCCAGGCTTTCTTTACCTCTCTCTAACTCCATTATGACACCTGACATCTATCATTTGATCTGCCATATGAGGCTTAGTTGGTTCCCTGTCTCTGTCCTCACTAGATCCTGAGAACCTTCAGGGAAGGATAATGTTTTCTTCATCTTTTAGTCCCCAGCACAGTACCTGGTACATAGTGGGTGCTCAGTGAAACTGCCAACACATTGAATGGAGCTCCCCCAGACACACAATATGGGAGACAAGCCCTTTGAGAATGCTGCTGGGGGTGTGATTGTAAAAGAATCACACAGGGGGTCTTGGAGTATAATCATTAAGTCTGAAGATAGATAGAATATATTTGAAAGGGTATTCTAGAAAATCAGTAACAGTAGTTGCTGCGGGGAAGGAGAGCTGGTGACCAGGATAAGAGGGAAGTTAATTTTCACTCAATACTTATTTAAATTTTTACCATGTGAGTAGGTTTGTAGTTTATTTTGAATTTTCTTTGAAGACAATTATGTAATTTGTGAATAATGGCAATTTTTTTCTTTCTAGTGTTTACATGTTTTATTTTAATATTTTTATTATACTAAGACTCCATGAAATCCAAAATAGAAATAGTGATAAAGGTCATATTGTCTGTTTTCTCATTTTTAAATAAATATTCTTATCATTTCTTTCGGTTAATATTTTACTTACATCTTTAAACATCCTTTTACTTTTGACTTTGTTCTTATGTTGTTAATAAATCTCTTCTAACCACCATTTTTTCAGCCATTCCAATGATCTTTGTCTTTTATCCAGATAATTTAGTCTGTTTACATTTATTGGGAAATAATTGACATATTTGAATCATTCCTACCATCTTATTTTGTGCTTTCTAATCATCCCACTTATTCTGTTGGGTTTTTTCCCTCTTTCTTACCTTCTTTTGTATTGTATTGATTGATTTTCTTATTCCATTTTTTCCCCTTCTGGTTTGGAAGTTTACACACCAATTATTACCCTTTTGGTACTTATCTAGATATTTTGATATGCATAATTTCTGAAATAGAATCTAAAATTAATCGGCTAGGCACAGTGGCTCATGCCTGTAATCCCAGCACTTTGCGGGGGTGAGGTGAGTGGATCACCTGGGGTCAGGAGTTCCAGACCAGCCTCAGTAACATGGCGAAACCCCGTCTCTCCCAAAAATACAAAAATCAGCCAGGTGTGGTGGTGCACGCCTGTAATCCCAGCTACTCCAGAGGCTGAGGTAGGAGGATCGCTTGAACCTGGGAGGCGGAGGTTGCAGTGAGCTGAGATCATGCCACTGCACTCCAGCCTGGGAGACAGCACAAGGCTCCATCTCAAAAAATAATAATAAATTAATTAATGAAATGAAATGAAATTATTCAACATTTTTATCATCTTCCCAAACAACAAAATAACCTCAGAATGGTTAGAATTTTCTTATTCAGCCTAAATACTATTGCTGAGCAGTATATTAGGCCTATGTTTTTAGTTTTTAAAACTTCACACATTGGATACTATAATAATAATAATTATTATTATTTTGAGAGAGGGTCTCATTCTGTCTCCCAGGTTGGAATGCAGTGGCGCAATCATTGCTCACTGCAACCTCAGGCTCACGCAATCCTTCCATCTCAGCCTCTTGAGTAGCTGGCGCTACAGGTGTGCAACACCATGCCTGGCTAATTTTTGTATTTTTTGTAGAGACGGGATTTTGCCATGTTGCCCAGGCTGGTCTCAAACTCCTGGGCTCAAGTGATCCACCCACCTTGGCCTCCCAAAGTGCTGGGATTACAGGCATGAGCCACCATGCCCTGCCTGGTATTATAATTATGATTTTTAGTCAATATTTGTTTATATTTACCCAAAAGTTTATCATTTTCCTTGTTTTTCACTTCTGCTTGTATCTCAGATCTTCTTTCTGGGATCATTTTCCCTCTCTTAAAGTATATGCCTAGTTTAGAAGTCCTTTTAATGAGAACCGTAATGAACTATTTCCTTTATTCACTGAAATGTAATTATTTTCCTGCTTTCTCAAAAGCTAGGTTCACTGGGCATAATTTCTAGGCTGGCAGTTATTTTCTCTCTGCACTTTAAGATGTATTTTGTTGTCTTCTGGCTTCCACTGTTGCCACTGACATGTCAGCTTTCCATCTAATCATTACTTCTTCGAAGGTAATCTGCTTGCTTTGAAGATCTTGCCTTTGACATCCTGAAACTTTGCGATGATATGTCCAAGAGTGTATTTATTTTTATTTATCTTCATTATTGGATCTAAGGATTTGTGTCTTTCATTACTCCTGGAAAAGTTCTCAGCCCATTGTTTATTTGCTTCTCTTGCCTTCCCTCTATTCTTTCCTGGAACTCCTATTAAATGTGTATTAGACCTGCCGGCTCCATCACTCAAATCTTACTTTCCTTTTCATACCTTTTCCTTTCATTTTTCTCCTCTGGGCTACATTATATCTCTAGTGCTACTCTATAGAGCTCAGATCTATTCTCCTGTTCATAAATTTTCTCGTTACCTGAATCTAACTGCTGATTTCTGTTGAGTTTCTAACTTCAATTCTTATGTTTTTTATTTCTAGAAGTTCTATTTGGTTATTTTTAACATTTTTTGGTAATTATTTATTTATTTTTATTTCTTTAAACACATCAACCATAGGTATGAGCTGAATAAAAGATCAAAATTTTAGAAATAAATAAATAAAAATAAATTCAAACAAAATGGACCAGGCACAGTGGCTCATGCCTGTAATCCTAGCACTTTGGGAGGCCAAGGTGAGCAGACTGCTTAAATCCAGGAGTTCGAGACCAGCCTTGGAGACATGGCAAAAACCTGCCTCTACAAAAATACAAAAATTAGCCAGGCATGGTGGTGTGCACCTGTAGTCCCAGCTACTTGGGAGGCTGAGGTAGGAGGATCACTTGACCCAGGACACAGAGGTTGCAATGAGCCGAGATCACATCACTGCACTCCAGCCTGAGTGACAGAGCAAGACCCTCTCTCTCTCTCTCTCAAAAAACAAACAAACAAACAAAAAAAAACCAAAACACTCAGCGCTACCTGTTTTGTATTCCATGTCTGGTATTTCCAATATGTGCAGTCTTAAGGGTCTGGTTCTGTAACTGACTTTTCTGCTTACTTGTTTGGCATGTGTCTTGGGATTTTTAGTTGACAGCTCATATTCCTTAGAACTTTATCTATGGAAATCCATTGAGGCCTGGCTTTAAGTGCTTTTCCCTCAGATAGGATTCATGTTTGCTTCTGCCAGGCGTTGGAACTCATGCTATCTGTGTGGCCTGAAAAACCCAAAGCCAAACATTCACTTAAAGCAGCAACAGGATTTTTGTTTAAAAGGCAGCTGGGGCCGGGCGCAGTGGCTCATGCCTGTAATCCCAGCACTTTGGGAGGCCGAGGCGGGCAGATCACGACGTCAGGAGATCGAGACCATCCTGGCTAACACGATGAAATCCCGTCTCCACTAAAAATACAAACAATTAGCCGGGTGTGGTGGTGGGCGCCTGTAGTCCCAGCTACTCGGGAGGCTGAGGCAGGAGAATGGCATGAACCTGGGAGGCAGAGCTTGCAGTGAGCAGAGATCGCGCCACTGCACTCCAGCCTGGGCGACAGAGCGAGACTCTGTCTCAAAAAAAAAAAAAAAAAAAAAAAAGGCAGCTAGAAGGAAAAAAAAAAAAGTGGCAGTAGGTTGCTAGAATTCTGGCCCTAAACCTGAGTGAGATTTGGGGCTTATGCTACAAATTTTCAGCAGACAATTTTTCTTTTTTTCCCCTAAAGCCAGAGTCCAGGCACAGACAGGCAAGAGTCCCAAACACCTTTCTTGGAAGTGCTGGTGGTGGCTTTATGCTGGGGGTGGGTCTCCAATGTGACCTTCCACCTCGAATCAGTCTCTGGTATCCCTCCTATGTGACCCAGTATCTGCCCAGGCAAACCCCAGCCTCAGTGACCACTTTTCTCTCTGGATTTCTGTTTTCTTGACTTTCTGGCCTCCAGTGACGTTTTCCACCTTTCTGCCAATTTGGCCCTGCTTTTTCAAGGGTTTCCCCCCAATTTGATCTAGGATTTGTGTGCATTCTGGCATCTAGACTCTCATGTTTGTCTTTAGAAATAAATGGTTTCAGCTGGGCACAGTGGCTCACACCTGTAATCCCGGCACTTTGAGAAGCTGAGGAGGGAGGATCACCTGAGCTCAGGAGTTCGAGATCACCCTGGTCAACATGGTGAAAAACCCCGTCTCTACTAAAAATACAAAAATTTGCCGGGCATGGTGGTGTGTGCTGTAGTCCCAGCTACCTGGGAGGCTGAGGCAGGAGAATTGCTTGAACCTGGGAGGCTATTGCAGTGAGCCGAGATCGCACCGCTGCACTCCAGCCTGGGAGACAGAGTGAGACTCTGAAAAAAAAGAAGGGAAGGAAAGGAAAGGGAAGGGGAGGGGAGGGGAGGGGAGGGGAGGGGAGGGGAGGGAAGGGAAGGGAAGGGAAGGGAAGGGAAGGGAAGGGAAGGGAAGGGAAGGGAAGGGAAGGGAAGGGAAGGGAAGGGAAGGGAAGGGAAGGGAAGGTTTCTAAATCAGGTTGGAAGGGTCTGAGGTAAAAGCCACTAATCCTAAGATTCACGAGCAAGAGTGTATGCCCGGGGGTGGATGCTGGCTGGACGAGCTTCTCCTGAACAGATATCCAGGTGGCTGCGCAGCCTGATCTCTGTGCTCTTCTCCAGCCAGGGCATGGCCTTGGAGGGCCCTGGGAGCCCCAGGGCAGTAGGAGGAGACTTATCTGGAGTTTCAAGGACACTCACATAAGGAAGACTCTCAGAGCCAAGTACCTAACAGAAGGCTGCCTCCATGAAAACAAAGAGGGGGTCAGAATAGGTTACCGTCCAGGCAAAACAGAAGAAGATCTTGGGAGCCAGGGTTGTAAGTGGAGGATTGGAGAGGAAGGGGATCAAAGAAGGAGCCGCTCAGAAGCAACGTGTCAGGAGTATCAGAGAGTGGCCCTGTACCTACCTGTATCAAGAGTGCGCACTGCTGGCCGTGAGTGATTCCGTGGCACGCAGTGCATGGGAGGTCCAGCCTTGTTTAAACGGCCGTGGTCAGACCAGAACCGAGATTGTCATGCAAGCTGGTTCCATTAGCAGATCCAAGGTGCCACAGAACTGGAATGGCGGTAGGATTAGCCAATCCTCAGCTGGAACCAAAATAGGGGACGGAGCCCAAATAAAAAAGGCTTGGTTTCCTGAGGGCCCGGAGCCCCCCGAGAGAACCACTCTAACATTGAAGTGCGAGAGTGGATACACCGGGAGCTGTAAGGGGAGCTGGGAGCAGGGCCCACCCCTGTCCTCCTGTGAGCTGCAGCTGATGAAGCCATGTAGCGTGAAGGGGCCACTGCAAGGGTCCCCAGCAGCCATAGAGTCTGCAGGAGAGGCATGCCTTGTCCAGGAGCCTTCTTAGGCTCACAGAAGACAATGTACGGAGAGGTCCCACAGCAGCACCCCTGGCCAGTCCCCAGCCCTGGACTCAAGACTCGCAAGCATCAAAGTTGCAGACAGGAAGCTTCTGGCAGACTGTCCACCCTGCAGGGAGCCTCAGAGGTTCATTTCTTTGCAAGGCAAAGAAGGAAGAACGTGGCTCTAAGCCTGCTCTGCACCTTTCATTCTCCCCCATCATCCACCGATACATTTATAAGGGATAAAAAAGGCTAAACTGTGATTGACTCTGAAAGTAGAAAATGAAATTTCCTTAAATCCACCTGTATTGCCAGCACTGGAAAGATCAAGCCACATGCAATCAAGGAAATATTACACTAACTTTGCTGGGAAGAAGGGAAGAAGACGATGAAGGGGGATGCCCAGCAACACCTCTTGCAGACTGGGAATCATTCAACAGCAGAACATTTCAGAGGTGATGGAATTTTAGGGCCAGGCTGTTTCTGAGTCACCCAGTTCAATACCTTCGACTGCCATGTGGGAAAAGTGAAGCCCAGAGAAGTGAAGTTTCTCAGTGACTCAAAGTTACTTGGGGGCATCTAGCCCAACCCTTTCATTTCTTAGGCGAGGAAACTGAGGCTGCAAAAGATTTGCCTCAGACAGTTCAGCAGCCTGGGGCACAGCATGACCAGGCCTCCTAATCTGATTCTCTTTCTTCTTTGTGTCCCATCCCAGAATTACCAATCTTCCTGTATGATTGAGACATCAATCCACAAGTGCCTGTGTCTCCTTCTCCACGATATCCAGAGAGTATCACAACCAGTGACATCCAAGACTGTCACAACCAGGAATAACAGCCCCCTCAGTTTTCTGGTGAACTTTTCCATGTTTTCAAAACTCTGCATTGATGCAGTGGTTTTACAACATCAGAATTATATGTTTTCAGGAGCCACTCTTACAAAACATGCAATTTTAAGAGGAACATTGGTTGTAAGCATTAACAATTATCCCCGATCCAATTAGGAAGCAGAGCTTGGCTCCAGGACAAGCCAAGATTGCTAAACCTTCATGACAAATTTGCATAAACACCCTCCTTTTAAATGAAGATGAAAAAGAAAGCCCAGGCTTCACATGGCAGGCTTTGCTTCAACATAAGCCTCACAGAATCTCGGCTCTAATTTGTTTCTCTTCCAGCTATACCAGCTCTTTGCAGAGATCAAGAGGCAGATTTTTGGAGCCAGAGCTGGTTCTTAATGGGTCTCCAATCTCAGATTCAGTCTCAGACCCTGACAGACGCTGTGTGTGTCCCTGGTCCATAATCTGGCCAGTGGTTTCTGGGCAAGGAAGAGCAGGAGGAAACAGCCCATTGCCGGGGACCCAGGCAGTGTACTCCCAGACTCAAGGAAAGGAGCACCTGGGACTAGGACACCAGGGTGGATGATGACCAAATGGCTAATCTGAGCCTATGCAGGAAGGACCCAAACGGAGTTGGCAAAAGACCGGAGCAAGAACATGTTCTTTGGTTTTATGCTGAACTGGGTTCAAATTATTGGCCAAGGCCTGTGTATTGGCCTGTGACCATGGACAAGTTGCCTAACCTCCCTGAGGCCTTATTCGGCTCATCTGTTAATTAGCACTAGCAATAGACACCGCAGGCCTGCTGTAATGATAGAGACAGTAGAGGCCTTGCCACTGGGAGGGTGGACAGAATGACTTAGGGGAGAGTGGGGTGGCTAAATCTCTCCAAGTCTGGAAATTAGTGAACTCAGCTATGGTGACACTAGAATTCTCAACTTGCTCGGCACTTGACCTGGAGTCTGCCTTCCTCACTGGGGCTCTCTGCTCCAAACACATCTGAGCACAACGTCCCCGCCAGCCAGATTTGGCGCTGCTCTGATGGGGATCAAACATCAGACTGTTTTTAGAGGGCAGCAGTGTATTGGATTAGAAAGAGCCCTGAGCTGGACGCAGTGGCTCACGCCTGTAATCCCGGCACTTTGGGAGGCCGAGGTGGGTGGATCACCTGAGGTCAGGAGTTCGAGACCAGCCTGGCCAACATGGTGAAACCCTGTCTCTACTAAAAATACAAAAATTAGCCGGGCGTGGTGGTGGGCACCTGTAATCCCAGCTACTTAGGAGGCTGAGACAGGAGAATAACTTGAACCCGGGAGGCAGAGGTTGCAGTGAGCCGATACCATGTCACTGCACTCCAGCCTGGGTGATAGAATGAGACTCCGTCTCAAAAAAAAAAAAAAAAAAAATTCCTGAAGGTGGGGTTGAAGACCAGGGGTGAGCTCCTCTCTGGTCTTCAGAGCTGTCACTACAGCCTGGCATTTCCCATCTTTGGGGCTCATGCTTAGTTTGTCTAGAACAGTGGTTCTCAGCGCCAGCTGCACGTTAGAATTACTTGAGGAACTTTAGAAGGATGTCCATGTCAGGTCTCACCCCCAGATATTTTGATTTATCTGGTCTGGGGTGGGGTCCAGATGTGGGTATCTCTTCAAAGATTCTCAGGTGATTCTGCAGCCAGCTTAGGGAACCCCAAGACTGAATGTTCTCCAAAGTCTCTGCCTTGCAGGCATCCCCTTCAGTGCTGCTCGGGGGAACCTATGGTCAGAGCACAGGTCATTCCGCTGTCTTGCTGTGCGGCCTTGGAAAGTCATGCCCCCTTTCTGGGCATTAGCTTATCCCATCTGGTAATGGGGAGTGGGGACACTAGGGTCTCTTTCTGATTTCAAATTAGGTGAATCTGAGTCTTGCAGCTTTGTGATCCAGAGACCCAGACACCTGCTACTAGGAAGATTCTCCAGAACTGAGCTCCACGAGGCCCCAGCTCGGTTTCCCTTGGGAACCCAAGCCTGGGAGATTTGGTAGACTCCATACTCTGTGGCTTCTAAGACAGGCTTGAGCAAAGAACTCCAGTTGCTCCTTTCCTTGAGTCTGGGAGGACACTTCCTGGGTCTCTGGCATGGGCTGTTGCATAATAAAGCAGTTTAAGCCATAAACTTCCTTGTGTTCACCTGCCTTTCTTTTTTTCTTTTTCTTTTTTCTTTTTTTTTTGAGACAAGGTCTGGCTCTGTCGCCCAGGCTGGAGTGCAGTGGCACGATCTCGGTTCACTTCAACCTCCACCTCCCAAGCTCAAGGGATCCTCCCATCTCAGCCTCCCGAGTAGCTGGGACTACAGGCTGTGCCACCACACCTGGCTAAGTTTTTGTATTTTTAGTAGAGATGGGGTTTCTCCATGTTGTCCAGGCTGGTCTTGAACTCCTCGGCCAATCTGCCTTGGCCTTCCAAAGTGCTGGGATTATAGGTGTGAGCCACCGTGCCTGGCCTTGTCTGCATTTCCTGATGAGGAAATGAGTATCTCTGAGTACAAATATGAGATACATAGAAGATAAAGAAAATGCTGCTGGAGGACTGACTTGGGCCTTTGGACAACTCACTTCTCTGGGCCCCAGTTTCCCTCTTGACACAACAAAGAGAGATTTCCAGCCACCATGAGGAGGAGGCAATGCATGTAAAGTGCTTGGCACATAACACATGTTCAACTAATACTCACCACTGCAATTTTATGACCGACTGCTATCTCTCAGGGCCAATTGATTGATGGATGGATCTCTTTCTTCTTTTTAATTTATTTATTTATTTATTTATTTATTTATTTATTTATTATACTTTAAGTTTTAGGGTACATGTGCACACTGTGCAGGTTAGTTACATATGTATACATGTGCCATGCTGGTGCGCTGCACCCACTAACTCGTCATCTAGCATTAGGTATATCTCCCAGTGCTATCCCTCCCCCCTTCTTTCTTCTTTTCTTTCATTTACAGCTTTATTGAGATATAATCGATATCAAATAAACTGCACACATTTAAAGTGTACAATTTGATGAGCTTGGGCATATGTGTACACCCATGATCCAGTGATTCTTAAACATTGTTCTTAAAGCCCATTACATGTTTTCAGCATTTGACATTTCCAAGCACGTGTTTATTCTGGAGGTGGCCAGAGTGAACATCCCATCCTAGCGTTAACAGGAAAGTCCTGATCCCAGGCAAGTGGGGACAGCAGGTCACTCAAGGGGCCGAACATGTCTAAGTTGTCACAGAGAAGGAGGCATAAAGTGAGCAGAACCGTAAGGTGTGTGACTCTGGACTATCACTCGCCACTATATGCCTCGGTCTCCCCATCTGTAAAATGAGCGGCCTAGACTAGATAGTCCAGGTCTAACGTCTCTTCCAAGTGTGGCATTCTGTAATCCATTGGAAAGGGATTGCAGGGATGGCCATACCTGGGCATAGGGAGCTGGCTTTCCAGATGAGTACAGTGGCATGAGTGAAGGGGAGCGAGGAACTAGGCATCGGAAAACGCAGCAGGAACTTGTCAAGCATTAGTAACATAGGGCACGCCTCCTGAGAACACTGAGAGGCACGTACCACTAACTGCTCTACAGATGAAGAAACTGAGGCTCAGAGAGGTTGAGTCACTTGGATGCAGCTGTGTTAACTCCGCGTGGAAGCCTTGCACTTTGACCCAGACCCGTTTGCCTGCACTAAGCCAGCGGACCATGCTACAGAAATAATGAGCGACCGTTACCGAGCCCTGCCTTGCTGCAGGAGCCGTTCCAAACAGTTACAGGTGTGAACTCAGCTAATCCTCATAAGCAGTCCTGGGAGGCGAGTGGTATTACTATCCCCATGTTACAGATGAGGAAATGAGCACGGAGAAGTTAAACAGCTTGGCCAAGGCCACACAGCAAGAGAAAGAGCTGGATTCAAACTCCAGCAGGCTGGATTCAGAGCTTGGCCCTCGACTCCTGGCCGCACTGCTTCCCTGGGCAAATGAGAAAGTCCACCCGGCTCTGGAGAAGGCAAAGTGGAAAGGCAGTGAGGCAGGGTGGGTCTTTCGCTCGACAAGGCCTTAGTTCCCTGTGGGGCTGTGCGTGAGGTTTAGAAGTGCTGGAGTAACTCAAAGGTAAGTTAGAAATGGTTTCAAAATGTATCATGAGCAGTGCTGCTGGACGCATTCTTGGACGTGTCTCTTGGTGAACATGCAAGGGTGTTCCTACCGAGTGCAGATGTGGGAGTGGAACAGCTGGGGCGTAGGCACGCACAGGTTCCACTTGGGAGGTGCCTGGGCAAGGCTGCCCTGAAAGGCTGGGGTTTGGGTGGAGGCAGTGAGGGGGCAGCCAGGGAGAGGTCTGGACATCCGCGTGCTCGAGGAAGGGCAAGGTTGCCAGTGTGCCTGCAGGAAATGAAGGGGAGGGGGTTCAAGAGGTGAGGGGTTAAGGTGACTCAAGGTGACTCTAGGCTTTTGGCCTGAGCTTAGTGCAGGAAGGACCTTGTCAGGGTGAGCTCAGTGGTGCAGCTCTAGACGTGGTGAGTTTGAAATGCCTGTTAGACGCCCAGGTCGGGCTCTTGAGGACACTGTTGGAAACATGAGCCTGGCGTTCAGGGAAGGGGCTGGGCTGGGGTCTCTGAGTGCAGATAAAAAAAAAATAACAGCACATGTACATGCAAATGGGAAGAATCCACTCGGTGGGGGAAATGCAGGATGCAGTGGGGAGGGGAGGGACTGGGGGCTGGTACGAATCTGTGTCTTGGGAAGGAGCATGGACAGCCCCTCTGGAGGAAGGAGAGCGTCAGGTGCAGATGCGGGCGAGCGTGAAGACATGCGAGGGGGCCAAGGCCAAGTCACCTAGGGGAGCTGAAGGGCATTAGGGACATGCAGGGCTGCTGGGCAACTCAAGGGTTCAGTGGTTGGGAAGTCAGCTGGAATTTGAGTTCAGTGGTGGTTGCTGTCGCTGGTAATGGCAAGGTTAGGTTTTGATAATGGGAATGGAGACGACAGTGGGGTTCATTCATTCAACAAATACAGATGAAGCATCTTCTATTCATCACACCTCTGCTAGACCCTGGGTTCTAAGTGGGGAACGAAATAGACTTATTAGTTTATTAAGTTCAGAATTTTCTGTTACATAAATTTCCATTAATCACAGGTTAGTATTGTACTAACAACTGCCATTTATCGAATGATTGCCACATGTCAGGTTCTAAGCTAAGCAAATGTTCATGTTCATACTTTATCTCATTTAATTTTTATACCAAAAAGTTTTCACTTTCAAAGTTTTACAACATAGTTGGGCATTTGACTAGGACTACTTAAAGGTGATTTCTAGTTCACCTATTTTTTCAGATAGAAGTGGGAGTGGATTAAAAAGTCAATGAAGGAAGCCAGGTACAGTGCCACACATCAGTAGTACCCTCTATGTCCCGGCTTCTCCAGCCAGGTTCCCGGGCCATCACCCCAAGACTGAGAGCTTCTCTGGTTCTGAGGCTTTGGACTTGCACTGAGCCATGCTGCCAGCATCCCAGGGTCTCCAGCTTGCAGACAGCCTGTCATGGGACTTCTCAGCCTCCATAACTGTGAGGCAATTCCCCTAACAAATCCCTTCCCATCTATCTATCTATCCACCCAGTCATATGTCATTTAACAGGGATACAGTCTGAGAAATGGGTCCTTCAGCGATTTTGTTGTTTGGCGAATGTCAGAGTACACTTACACTTGCCTATAGGGCATAGCCTACTACACACCCAGGCTGTATGGTAGAGCCTGTTTCTCCTAGGCTACAAACCTGTATAGCATGTTATTGTACTGAATACTGTAGCAATTGGAACACCATGAATGGTATTTGTGTATCTAAACACATCTAAACATAGAAAAGGTACAGTAACAATACAGTAATTTTATGGAAGCACTATGATTTTATGGGAGCACCGTCGTATATACAGTCCGTGGTTGACTGAAATACTGGTACGCAACGTATGACTGTATATCCCCTAGGTTCTGTTTCTCGGGAGAACCCTAATACACCCCTGGATTTTTATTTTCCATTCCTCTTACCATCAGTGAAGTGAGCATCTTGTCATATATTTCAAAGCCACCTACGTTCCCTTTGGGGAGAACCATTTGTTAATAACCAGTACCCAATTTCCTATTGGTTGTTAGTGTTTTTCTTAATGAGTTGTAGGGGCTCTTGTGATTATTTATTTTTAGCATTTATTCATTATTTCATCCATTTAGTTACATTTTTCTAAAGCTTTTTTTTTTGGCTGTATATAATAAAAACAAGGCCCTTCATTTTATTGAAAAGTTGAGCCTCAAGTTGCTCGATTGTGTAATGAGGATGGAAGCATGTGGGCTCATGGGCCCAGGGGCATCAGCCTCTTACTCACCTCTGGGTAACAGTTCCTCTCTCCCTTTTGCTCCTCCAATCCTTGCCCCACTCATTTCCATTTTGTCCTTCTTTTTCTTTTTTTTTTTTTAATTTTTGAGATGGAGTTTCGCTCTTGTCACCTGGGCTAGAGTACAGTGGTGCAATCTCGGCTCACTGCAACCTCTGTCGCCCAGGTTCAAGCGATTCTCCTGCCTCAGCCTCCCACATAGCTGGGATTATAGGCATGCACCACCACGCCCGGCTAATTTTTGTATTTTTAGTAGAGACGGGGTTTCACCATGTTGGTCAGGCTGGTCTCAAACTCCTGACCTCAGGTGATCCACCTGCCTCAGCTTCCCAAAGCACTGGGATCACGGGCCTGAGCCACCGCACCCGGCCTCATTTTGTCCTTTTAACCCTTCTGATGCCTTTGTAACCCTCTCCCCATGTTAAACTCCTCCGAAGTGCCTAATGGTTTCTGACTCCCTGGACACTGACAGACACACTCACCATGACCAGAAGGTGCTCTGAGGTTTGGCCCTTGCTTCTGACTTCATCTGCTACCTTTTGGCCCCTTAGTTTAAATACTACCTCCTTTGAGAGGCCAGTCCTTACCATACTACTACCCAGGTAGGTTTACCCCACAGACACATTAATCTCTTACTCTTGTCAAAAGACAAAATTACCATGAATTTAGTGAAAGATCTCAATTGGCTTTATTTGTGATTCTAGAATCAAGCAACACAGTATTCCATGAAACAGAGTACGTGTTCTGATGTGCTGAGTGGAGGTTGGCTTTATAGACAGAAAGGGCTGAAGAAAGCAGACACAGAGGACAAAAAGTGGACTGGTCATTTCAAAGTCCCTGTCCTTGTAAGATGGGGACAGGGAGACAGAACAATAGGAAATTAACTTATTTGTTAACTTCAGCCAGGCTACCTTTTTATGTGTAAGGATTAAAATAGAGGGAACTTTATGATCATGTCAGTGGAAGATTGAAACTAGCCTGTTTGGGAAGTTGGCTGTCACCTCTCTGCTGATTTCTTGAGCGGTCAGATAACAACTTAGTTTCAGTTTGGTGATGCGGGACTTCAGCCTGGGTGACTCCACTTTGATGTTTAGTCTGGCCTGTGGGGTCCTCGTACAGGAGCTTAGTTCAAGTCAATGGCCTTCCATAACTTTTGTTTAGCGCTCCACGCCCTGTGCCTCCCCTTCCCTGCGCATCTTGCAGTTTGTAATATTTTATTTTATCTTTCCTTGGCTTCCTGGCAAACCCTGCATAAACTATAAAGTCCGTGAGAGCAGAGACAATGTCTGTCTGCTTCATCATTGAATCCCTGGGACCTAGAATGACTCCCGACACGCAGTAGGTGTCAGGCAGTCTAATGACTTAGACAAAACGTTCCAGATGGTGAAGATAAATTGAGATCATGGACAGGCAAATCCTGAACATACGCAACAGACCATTTGGATATTTCTTTTATCATCATTATTATTGGTCTTGCTTTATTTCTTTCAAATCTTTCCACGTCCCCACCTTATAAGGACAGTAACTTCGAAATGGCCATGGAAGGATTTGAAAGGAACTAGGTCCTTCCAGACCTAATGACTCCTTCAAAGATTGGAGACATTGGTTTTTTTTTTTTTTCCTAGGGACTTCATTTGCAAGGGAGCACACCTCGTCAGTGCTGAGCAGGGGGAGGCAGCTGCAACCCAGGTTGCTATGGCAATACCTGGCCGATGGAGCGTGGAGCCATGTCTGCCTAGAAACCCAGCCCGCTGGGGTGGGCCGCCCTCATGTCTGTGGCAGCTTTAGGGTAACACAAGGACTTGTCCATATACTTTAGGTGTGGTGAGCCAGGGAGCTGCAAGCTCCCAGGGAAGCCAGGCCCCTGGCCTGTGGTCCTCAAGGCTGTATGTGTGGCTCTCTGACAAACAAGAACAAAACATCTGTGCTTGGCCATTAGCGAACCATGAGCAAATACAGAAGGAAGGTGAAGACCTGAGATCAAATCACTTGCTGAGTACCCAGTTGCCCCAAGGAGAGCAGGCAGTGGCAAATGCCCCAGGCTGAATCCTACCCCCACCTGCTTTTGTAAATAAAGTTTTATTGGAACACAGCCACATCCATTGATCACATATCGTCTCTGACTACTTTTGTGCCACCACAGCAGAGACTGCATGGGCCACAAAACCTAAAAGATTTCCTGTCTAGAGCTTTCCAGGAAAAATTTATGGACCCCTAGTTGTGACGGGTTTTAAAGTGAGGAAAGGGAAGAGACCTGAGATAATTTATATGGCCTTCTACCGGGGCTTGTTTTTCATTTTATATTTTTATTATTTATTATTATTTTTTTGGAGAAGGAGTTTTGCTCTTGTCACCCAGGCTGGAGTGTAATGGCATTATCTCAGCTCACTGCAGCCTCCGCCTCCCGGGTTCAAGCAATTCTCCTGCCTCAGCCTCCTGAGTAGCTGGAATTACAGGCGTCCGCCATCATGCCCAGCTAATTTTTTGTATTTTTAGAAGAGATGAGGTTTCACCATGTTGGCCAGGCTGTTCTTGAACTCCTGACCTCAGGTGACCCACCCGCCTCGCCCTCCCAAAGTACTGGAATCACAGGCATGAGCCACTGTGCCCGGCCTCATTTTTAATTTTTTTAACATTCATCCAGTGCTGCTTTGTGGCAAGTTCTTTTTAACGCATGATCCCATTTACTTTTCACAACCGCTCCATTTTACAGACAAGAATAACTGCAGTTGCCAGAGTTAGCAAATATTGCATGCAACATTCTTATACTAAAAAACTATTTATTGTTTATCTGAAATTCAGATTTTTGTTTGTTTGTTTGTTTTAGGCAGAATCTCGTTCTGTCACCCAGGCGGGAGTGCAGTGTCGTGATCTCGGCTCACTGCAATCTCCACCTCCTGGATCAGGTTATTCTCCTGCCTCAGCCTCCTGAGTAGCTGGGATTACAGGCGCCCGCCACCACGCCCAGCTAATTTTTGCGTTTTTAGTAGAGACGGGGTTTTGCCCTGTTGCCCAGACTGGTCTCGAACTCCTGTCCTCAGGTGATCCACCCACCTCAGCCTCCCAAAGTGCTGGTATTACAGGCGTGAGTACCGCGCCTGGCCTGAAATTCAAATTTAACTAAACATCCTGTATTTGATCTGGCCTCCCTATTAATGACACAATCAAGGTCACACAACCAGTAAGTGGAAAAGCCATCATTACACCCAGGACTTAAAGCCCTTCGTTAAAAATATTACCATAAGCACAGGCAGGCTGTGAAGAAGTCACTAGCTTAGAGGGCAGAATGAGAATGCAGGGTCTACCGTGCAGCAGCTGTGACTGGGGTGGGCAGGGCATCCAGCTTTTCCAAGCTTTGGCATGCGTCACCCATGAAGTGGGATGATCAGCTCCCTCTCCCATATCTCACTGATTAAAAATAATAATAAATCTCGACCAGGTGTGGTGGCTCACACCTGTAATTCCAGCACTTTGGGAGGCCGAGGCGGGCGGATCATCTTAGGTCGGGAGTTCGAGACCAGCCTGACCAATATGGTGAAACCCCGTCTCTACTAAAAATACAAAATTAGCTGGGCGTGGTGGCGCATGCCTGTAATCCCAGCTACTCGGAAGGCTGAGGCAGGAGAATCGCTTAAATCTGGGAGGCGGAGGCTGTGGTGAGCTGAGATTGCGCCATTGCATTCCAGCCTGGGCAAAATCAGAGTGAAACTCCATCTCAAATAATAATAATAATAATAATAATAATAATAATAAACCTCTCTAGCTCTCTGAAGGATGACAGCGTATGAGAGAAAATGTCTGGGGGCCTATGGAGATTTTGCTGAGGAAGTCTCTAGTTATTGAGAAATGGCTCCTATTCTCCAAAAACATCAGGAAAAACTTTTTCTGAGAGAATTCTTCCTCTTTCAAGTCCACAGGGCCAACAGCAGCATCTGCCTGGATAACCACACAGATGTGGGCTCAGCCCTTCTTCCTTGGCTGCTGTCAGATTCTAAGTTAGAAACCCCTCGAGTAGGAAGGCTGGAGCTCCCCGGCCCCAAGGTCACCCCCAGGAGTGGTCCAGGGCCAGAGATGAATTGGAAGGCCTCGCTTCCCTCTTCCCCTCCCTCTGACCTCTGTGGTGGAAAGCTAATATGGTTTGACTGTGTCCCCACCCAAAACTCATCTTGAATTGTAGCTTCCATAATTCCCATGTGTTGTGGGAGGGACCTGGTGGGAGATAATTTGAATCGTGATGGCAGTTTCCCCCATACTGTTCTCATGGACGTGAATAAGTCTCACGAGATCTGATGGCTTTCCTTATCAGGGATTTCTCCTTTTGTATCTTTTCATTTTCTCTTGCCGCCGCCATGTGAGAAGTGCCTTTCACCTCCTGCCATAATTCTGAGGCCTCTCCAGCCATGTGGAACTTTAAGTCCAATTAAACCTCTTTCTCTTCCCAGTCTCAAGTATGTCTTTATCAGCAGTGTGAAAATGGACTAATACAGAAGCCTTCAGGCTCCGCCTTGCCCTCTGCAGCTGGGGCCTCAGAGAACCCTGGTGGGTGCAATGAGTCCCTTGGGATTCTGCTTGGCAAAACCACCAGCGTGGTTTTCCTCCATCATAATCAATCCTAAGCTCCTCAGTGTGGCATCCAAGTCCCTTCAAGACCCTGACCCCACATTGCTTCCCAGGGCCACCTACTGCCACCCACCTCCATTCCAGACAGTCTCCCCAGAGGAGCTGGGGAGGGGTGGGGACCCTTTCACCTTCCTGTATTTTTCTGGGAAATAACTTTCCCACCTTCTCCATTCATCAAAGGCCTCTCTGGACCCCAGCATCCAACCCCTGAGTCCCCCTCTCCCAGCCACTTAAACCCCTTCCTCTCTGCTGTGTACCTTTTGTGTGGGCCTTTGATCATTCTGTCCTATGTGTCTGTCCATCTCCCTCTTTTGTTTTATTTTATTTTAATTGAGACAGAGTCTTGCTCTGTCACCCAGGCTGGAGTGCAATGATGTGATCTCTGCTCACTGCAACCTTCGCCTCCTGGGTTCAAGCAATTCTCCTGCCTCAGCCTTCCAAGTAGCTGGGACTACAGGCACCTGCCACCACGCCCGGCTAATTTGTTTCTATTTTTAGTAGAGACAGGGTTTTGCCATGTTGGCCAGACTGGTCTGGAACTCCTGACCTCAGGTGATCCACCTGCCCCCACCTCCCAAATTGCTGGGATTACAGCCGTGAGCCACCACGCCCAGTCCATCTTCCTCTTTAAACTGCGTGCTGCACAAGGTTGGTTTATCCATCTGTGTGTCCACCCAGAAACTAGCATCCAGGGCCTTGTCCACTGTGAGTGCTGAATGGAACCACCCTGCCAAAGCAACACTCTCTCTCTCAGAAGGGCAGATTTAGCTGAAAACACATCTTCAAGTTAGAATGCCTCCCACAATCCTCAACAAAGCTGGTGGGAGGAGGATGCCCCCTTGGACTGTGGTGCAGAGAGGGTTGTATGGGATTGAGGGTCTGGGCTGGGGCAGACACTTTGCAAACATTATCTCAGGACTCCTCCTAGCAACCCCATTGTCATTACAGTATTATTACCCCATTTTACAGATGAGCCACTGAGGCCATGGAATAAATTACTCCAAGACAGGAGCCCAAAAATTAGGAGAGCCCTAGTCTTGCCTGAGGTTCTCTTGCCCAAGACAGCCACCCTCTCCCTCACAAGGCCCTACAAGGTGGATAAGACCAGAGCTGGTCATGGCATCCCCCACTACCACTTATTTTTTTTGGAGACAGAGTCTAGTTTCATCACCCAGGCTGGAGTGCAGTGGCATGATCATGGCTCACTGCAGCCTTGACCTCCTGGGCTCAAGGGATCCTCCTACCTCAGCCTCCCGAGTAGCTGGGACTACAGGCGCATGCCACCATGCCCAGCTAATTTTTTTCTTCTTTTTTCCTCTTATGTATAGAGACAGGGTCTCACTATGTTACCCAGGCTTGTCTCAAACTCCTGGGTTCAAGCGATCCTCCCACCTTAGCTTTCCAAAGTGCACGCATTTTCATTTTTATGATAAGGAAACTAAGGCTTACAGAGGTGACCTCTGTGCCTCCTCCCATAGCCAGTAAGGGGTGGAGTGAAGACTTACCAGCACCTGGCACAAGATACTTGTCCCAAAACATTGGTGACAGAGACTTAGTGAATGTATAACGAATCAGCTGTGACTTCTGTGCTCTGCCAACATTCCACATCTCGGGGGCTTCTGGTTCATGCAGCCCTCATTCCAGAACTCAGTGCCCTCAGAGCCTGTCAGAAACCCAAGGTGCTAAAGGAAACCATGTCTCCTGGGCTGTGCACCCCAAATCCAACATGCATTTCCCTCAAATCCAGAAAGGCTCTGAGCCAGGCCAGAGTTTCAAGTCAGGGGCCATCGAATCCACAGCCCTGTTGAGGGCCTGCTCTGACTGAGGCAGGGCCAGGTGCTGCTGCTAACAACGGTCTCACCCACCTGCTGGGATGGGCAGAGCATGGACTTGCTTCCACTGGGATGCAGGGAAAGCAATTGAGTCTCCGAGGCATTAAATAACTCAAAGCCCTGCTCCTGGTAAGGGGCAGAGCCTGTGTTCTTTCTTCATGCTGCAACACCGTAGGTGACCAAATAAAATTAGGTTTAAACCCAGTGCCGGGGCACGCAGGACAGGATATCATCAAACATTGCCCGTGTTTGTAACAAACAGAAATCTTCCCACAACCATGGCTGTCTCCCTCATCTCCTTCCCTGGGCTGGAGAGCATCACCAAATAGCCATGCGGTCATCCTATGGACACCTGCACACACATGCAAATGATGATTCAGGAGTTCGATTGCCAACTTGTCCATACTAAATTCTCCTGTTCTGTGCCAAGGATATCACACTGAAGTATTTGGATACCTATCATTGGCCCCCCTAAAAACCCCCACATGTAAGCCGTTCCCCATTCTCTCTCCATAACAGTGCATATCAGGAAATGGTGGGCGAGATAGATACATCACTGGCTTTGCAGTCAAGGACGCTTGTTCAAAGAGAACAAGAAACTTGCATACCAGCCCGAGAAGTTAATTGTGCGAGCACTTTTACATCCACCCTTCCCACAAGTACTGCTGCTTATCACACTCCTAGTGCATTCCTCAAGCAACCCTAGAGGAGGTGGGACAGGAAACACTCTCCCAATCTGGAGGTTGGAGAAACAGACTCAACAAGGCAACCTGATTTTCCCAAAGTCCCTCAGCCAGTAAGGAACGCAGGCAGGGCAGGCTCAAGGCCCTGAATTCCTGCTCTTCCAGTCAGAGCTGCAATCCCTTAAATTCACATGGACCAAACCATGGCTTCCAGAGGCCACGGAGCAGCTAGGAGGATGGGCAGGACGTTGCAGAGCTCTCGACAGCCAGACTGTGTCCAATGAGTCCTAATGAGCCCGGTTTAAATAGCACTCCAGAGAGTGTGGAAGGCCCCTACTCAGAAGCACTCCAGCCCCGGAAGAGACATACCTGGAAGTTCTGGTTCTCTAGGGAACCAGAGAGAACACCCTGTACCAAGCGTACACCACTTCCCATCAGCCACTTACTGGCGCACATCAAGTGCTGAGAGCTTGGGCTTTGGAACCAGGCACATCTGATTCACACCCAGCTCCCCTGGCCAGCCGCGGGCCCCTTTCCCATCACCCGAGCTCTCCCTGCTTCGAGTGAGGACTGAAGAAGAGAGCGTGGCGGAGGCCCCAGTACTGGGAAGCGCTCACCCATGAGAACCTTTACAGACTTTCCCATGACATATGCTTAACATGCTCACTGCAGATAAAGTACAAAATAAAGATAAGGGGAAAAAAGCCATAAAAGTCTTACCACCCATAATCTTACCACCCAGCTGCCCACTTAACATATTTGTGAACATCCTGCTAGACGTGTGTGTGTGCGTGCGTGTGCACTCTCTAACAGCACTGTGGTGATCTTAAGTAATCCCTCAAAAGGTGCCTTGGTTTTTTTGCCCTATAATTCTGTCGGTTATGTTCAATTATTCACTATTACAGACAGAGCTATTAGGAGTGAACAATCTTGTAGCTAAAGCTTTGAGCATTTTCTAATTTCATACATTTTTCTTAGAAATAAAACTTCTGTGGCAAATGTGCTTTTGTGACTTTTGATATATATTGCCGTATTTTCTTTTTTAGAGATAAGGTCTCACTCTCTTGCCCAGGCTGGAGTGCAGTGACACAATCATGGCTCACTGCAGCCTCAAATTCCTGGGCTCAATGATCCTCCTGCCTCAGCCTCCCAAGTAGCTGGGACCACAGGCGTGCACCACCATGCCCAGCTAATTTTTAATTTTTGTAGAGATTCGGGGTGGGGGGTCTCGCTATGTTGCCCATGCTGGTCTCAAACTCCTGAGCTCAGAGGATCCACCGACTTTGGCCTCCCAAAGTGCTGGGATCATAGGCGTGAGCCACCATGCCCGGCCCTATATTGCCATATTTACAGTCTTCTTGATTTCATAGCCAAAGCATTGTGTTTTCCTATTATTTTAACATGAATTTTTAATCATTAATGAGGTTAAGTTTCTGTAGGAATGCTTATTGTATGTTTACACTTTTTTTTTTTTGAGATGGACTCTCGCTCTGTCACCCAAGATGGAGGGCAGTGGCGTGATCTTGGCTTACAGCAACCTCCACTTTCTGGGTTCAAGCGATTCTCCTGCCTCAGCCTCCCAACTAGCTGGGATTACAGGAATACGCCACCACACCCGGTTAATTTTTGTATTTTTTTAGTAAAGATGGGGTTTCACCATGTTGGCCAGGCTGGTCTTGAACTCCTGACCTCAGGTAATCTGCCCACCTTGGCCTCCCAAAGTGCTGGGATTACAGGTGTGAGACACCATGCCCGGCCTATATTTACACTTCTTATCTTGGGTCTGTTGTCCATTTTTTTCTGTTGGAATATTTTTCCTGATTTATTTTTTAGTAAGTGTTCTTTTATATTAAGTATACAAGCCCATTAGCTATTATATGTGAGGCAAATATTCTCCTATTTTTATTTTTAGTGGTAACAATAATAATACCTCTCTCTGTCCAAGAAGCTATGCCTGAAACTAGGATTTTACCTACTGTGTTTGGTAAAGGTAGAATTTGAAATAGCTCATGTGGAATCACAAAGCCCAGTGTTGAGACTTATACTAGGAGCCAAAGACTGGCCAGGCTGTGTGTGTGTGTGTGTGTGTGTGTGTGTGTGTGTGTGTGTGTCTGTGTGTTGTGTGTAGTGTGTGTTGTGTTGTGTGTGTGTGTGTGCTTAAGTCACCAGGTCAGATTATCTAGATTTTATTTTATTTTATTTTATTTTAATTTTTTGTAGAGATGAGGTCTCACTGTGTTGCTCAGGCTCGTCTCGAACTCCTGGGCTCAAGTGATCTTCCCGCCTCAGCCTCCCAAACTGCTGCGATTATTGACATGAGACATAGCTCCTGGCTAAGATTACCTAGATTTCAAAAGATAAACACAAGGTAAGACAGAACTCATCCACCAATGCCCACCGGTTGTTAGATCTCATCATGTCTGCCTCACATGTAAGGTTTTTCCGCCAATTATGTTTTCTTTTGAAGTCATAACTTTGCTGATCACACACGGTAGTCCGGATTTCCTAATCTGACATCTAATTTTGCAAACCTTAACTAAAAATATAAAATAAAATCTGTGTTTGACTTAGGAAATCTTTTTTTACTTAGGAAAGCATTTTATTGCATATATTCTTTTTTGATACAACATCTTAGTGAAGTAACCAGGAAATAAACTATTTGTCCTCATTTTATAGATGGGTAAAATGAGGCTCGGGGAATAGAATTATCAATGCAAGGTCATTA
The DNA here is from genome assembly GCF_000001405.40 of Homo sapiens. Lineage (NCBI taxonomy): Eukaryota > Metazoa > Chordata > Mammalia > Primates > Hominidae > Homo > Homo sapiens. Next base: position 9,712,756 of record NC_000002.12, on the reverse strand, counting down.
AGGGGTGGAGACTACACTCAAACCCTGACATTCTGACTCCAACTCTGAAAGATTCTTCGTGAGCCCACAGTGGTTTGGGGCCCAGGAGCAGAGCCAGAAACACTCGCTGCTTACAACCAGGTGATTGGGCTGCTCAGCGCTGGGGCCTCATTTCTCTGTCTGCATTATCTCTGCAGCATTAGCTAAAGTAAAACACCCACGTGGGCATCAGGGATCAGTGACACTGTGTCACTGCAGTAGGCTTGTCCTGTCCTGGCCAACGCCATCAGTGTGGTAGGGAGTCACCCACTCTTGAGCTAATGGGGCCACATCCCCGAAGTCGGCCTCCGAACGGTCATCCGTGGACACCCATCTCCGCAGCACCTCTCAACAGTGACAGTTCTCATCTCTGTCACAAGTGTCTCTGGATGATTTCCTGTCATTTTCTGCATGAGCGTGTGGGTAAATGCTTCCACTTTCAATCACTTTGAGCTTGTTGACAAGTGGCTTGAATCTTCTTTGTTCATCCATCAAAAAGTTGTCAAACCCTTCCCTGTGCCATGCATTTTGTGGCCTGATGGGGATGGAGAAAAAAAAAAAAAAAGGTGAGAATCCTGGCTCCTCAGGAGCCTTCTGTCTAGCAAAAGACACATATGAGCAGGGTCCCAGGAGAGGAGGGAGCAATCAAGAAAGCTGAGCTTCCCAGCGGTGATGTTGGACTGAGCACTGCAGAATGAATAGGAGCTGGCCAGAGGGAGAAGAGGGAAAGGCTCAAGGGAATGGCCCAGGCAAAAGCATAGTTACAGGAGTGAGGCTTGGTGTGATGGTGGGACGAGCATCCGGCTGGGGGTGAAGCAGGAGCTAGACTGGGGGCTGCAGGTTGTGAAGAGCCCCAGGTGCCAGGCTGGGGAGCTGCTTTTATCCTGTCCTCCCAGTCACTCCTGCATGGGGGGCAGGTCAGATGTGACTTAGCTGCTGACCTCAGGGCACACATAGGACAAGGGAAGGAAAGAGCTGACCACTGGCATCCTCCCATGGTACTGGCATCCAAAATGGATCACTCTGGCTGAGAAATTCCCCTGCTTCTGCAGTCACAGCGGGCGGTGCCAGGGCTCAGGGGTGCTGATGCAGTGGCCCAAACCACCCAACATGGTGGCCGATTCCCATTTTCCCTGGGCCTTCAAGGTATGAGCAGGATGGTGTCTACCTCGCAGGCCGGAAGTCTTCCCCTGTGGGACTAGAAAAGCATCTCTGCTGCCTTGGGGTTGATTTTTTTCCCCTGCTATCTAATCAACTTGCTGCTCCACAACTGATTCAAATTATTTCTCAGCCCTAGGTCAGGCTCTTGCCTCACTTTCAGACCATGGCAGACATTGCTCCACACTCAGGGCTAATCCTAATCTTGCTACCCCACTGTGTGACTGGCTTCCATAATCACAATCGTAATAGCCGTAAGGGTAACACCTGCCTTTCCTGAGGGCTTCCTCTGTGCCAAGCGCCACACTAGAACGGTTCACCGTGCTCGTGGCCACTGTGCTCCCCTGCCTCCCGCTCGTTCTCCCTCCACCCTGGGCTACTGTTACCCAGCAATGGGCTTGCTGCCTGAAGCACACAGAGGCCAATATTATGGCACTGGCTTTTGAGACAAGCAAAAGCTTTATTGTGAGCTGGCTTGCAAGGAGACAGGAGGCAACACCCAAATCTGTCTCCCTGAGCTGGGGTCTGGGGTCGGGATTTATAGGCAGAGAGTAACAGTGAAAGAGAGAGGAAGGTGCAAAGAAGCATGATCTGATAGGTTCATGCAAAGAGGCCGTGACAGGTCCTTGGCTCTTGGCCAGGTGCAGTGGCTCACGCCTGTAATCTCAGCACTTTGGGAGGCTGAGGCGGGCGGATCACTTGAGGTCCGGAGTTTGAAACCAGCCTGGCCAACATGGTGAAACCCAGTCTCTACTAAAAATACAAAAATTATCCAGGCATGCTGGTGGGTGCCTGTAATCCCAGCTACTTGGGAGGCTGAGGCAGGAGGATCGCTTGAACCCAGGAGGCGGAGGCTGAAGTGAGCTAAGCTTGACCCACTGCACTCCAGCACTTCGGCAACAAAGCGAGACTCTGTCTCAAAAAAAAAAAAAAAAGGTTCTCGACTCTTAAGTCTGTGCAGCAACAAAAGAGGGCAGCAACAAAAGAGGGCACGCCGGGCTTCCTCATTCGGTCCCCATTCCTGGATCCTAGTACTTAGTTTCCACCTGTGGTTAACTTTTTCCATTCCAGCCGGCTCTGGGGTCATGAGTCAGGCACACTTAGTTCATCTGGGCATGCTCAGGTTACCTGCCTTGCAACCTGGGGCTGTTTCAACAGAAAAACAACTCATCATTTTGTTACTGATAAAGTTGAGCCAAATTGGACTGGTTCTGCAATTAACCTGCCTTCTACTAATGATGTGGCTTTTGAGGCCCTGTACAATCCAGTGCTTTGTCAACTAAGCCAAAATTCAAATCTGAATCAGTTGAGATATTGGGTTTGGCTGTGTAGGTGTAACAGATGTTCAGAGTACCAGCAATTTAAACAAGATGCAAGACTTTCCCTCCCACATAGAAGTCTAAGAAGGCACGGCGCCTCTGCACTGCAAAGCCAGCAGGGACCCAGCCTCCTTCTGTCTTATTGCTCTGCCACCCCCAAGGTGTCGCCTCCTCACGGAGTCCATGAAGGAGCACTGCCACCACGTCCCTCTGAGGGCATGCAATCCAGGAGTTGCAGGGTTCACTTGCATTCAGATCTTATGGACCAGGCCTAGCAGTGACGCTGCAGCTAGCTGCAAGGGAGCCTGGGAAACGTAGTCTTCATTCCAGGAGACTGGGTAAAATTCCTTCACTGTGGAAGAAACAGCGAACAGATGCTGGGGTTCAGCTAGCAGTCCTTTCACCACTGTTTTTCTGTGTGGGTTGTTTCTGATCTTCCAAAATGCAGACACCCAGATGGCATTGGCCACTTGAGAGATGTGATCAGGGCAAGGCCAGTGAGGAAGAATGCAGCAGGGGTTGGGGGAGGCTGGGAGAGCCATCAGCCCACGATGCGGGCCTGGCCCTGGGTGAAGGAAAGAGGGAAGGAAGGAAGGTTGTGTGCAAGGGTGTCACAGAGCAATGCAGTTCTGAGCTCAGCAAGACAGCCAGGGATCCTCCAGCCAAAGTCTTCCATCACAGCAAGCCTGCATCTCCCACCTTTCCTCCGTGTCTCTGCCAGGCCAAGCCATGGACTAGGAGTAGCCCAGGGGAGGCGTAGCCTCATGGAAATGGGCTTCCAAGGGCAGCAGCAGGGCTGCTGGTCACTGTCGCTCCCACAGTCAGAGTTCTGAGAGGCCTCGCTCACGGCCCCTGCACTGAGTAACCTGGGCCAAGCTGCTTCATTTTTAAGCCTCCTATTTCCTCAACTATAAAGTGGGGGTAGTAATTTCTAACTCACAGTGTGGGCGTTTGAGATCATATCTGTGAGTTTATTTCTATGCCAAGCACACATGAAGCTCTCAAACATTGACTGCTGTTATTATTGTTGTCAATGGTGATGTCATTGTCATTATTGTATATTGAAGGCTCTCAGGCAGTGGACAGGTGTGAGCAGAGCTGTGCATTAGAAACGGTCCCATGGCACTCAACTTGCCTCAGTCTCTTCCCTCGGCCCTCTGGGAGTATCGGTAACTCTCAAAAACAAGTCCCCTCCCTCTTTCTGAAATGACTTGCCAGAAAGGGCCCAGGCAGCAAGATGTATAAAACAGAACTGGAAATGGAAAACTCAAGGCCAGGGGAGGGGGCAGGAGGAGCCACACAGGGTCTCTCAGCTTCAGCAGGCACCAGGCACCGTGGCTCCGTGCGTCCCAGCAGCATCCCAGCCTCCCAGGGGCTGCCTCCTGCCTCAGGCCCTGTGGGAGGGTCACAGGTTTGTGGGAAGTGGTTTCTCTTTCCAAAACTGCTGACTAATAAGGGGCATTAAAAGAAGCGTGGGCCAGGCGCTGTGGCTCACTCCTGTAATCCCAGAACTTTGGGAGGCCAAGGCAGGCGAATCACTTGAGGCCAGGAGTTCGAGACCAGCCTGGCCAACATGGTGAAACCCTGTCTCGACTAAAAACACAAAAATTAGCTGGGCATGGTAGCGCATGCCTGTAGTCCCAGCTACTCGGGAGGCTGAGGCAGCAGAATCACTTGAACCCAGGAAGCAGATGTTGCAGTGAGCCGAGATTGCACCACTGCACTCCAGCCTGGGTGACAGAGCAAGACTCCGTCTCAAATGGTTTTTAATGTCCTTTTTGCCTAAGGAAAAAACATCAAATACTGCAACCATAGAGCAAGACTTTTGTCTCTTGTACGCACTAATTTACTCGTTAAACATTTATTAGTGCCCACTGGATGTCAGGCATGGGGAAAACAGAAAATGCGACACAGCCTCCACTTTGCAAGCTTTGGCCGGGCATGACTCAAGCCCACAGGGGAGCCTCAGCCTGGGTGGTTTCACAGCCAACTCCCATGGAGCCCCTCCACAAGGGCCCTTCAGGGTCTGTCATCCAACCATGTGTTGGTCCTTCCATCACTAGGCCCTCCTGGTCCTGTTCCTTCTCTGTGAGTGAGATGGGCAGCCGTTATTGCAGAGTCTGAGCTTTAAAAGGGTCACTGTGTCTATGATGGGAATAGTCTGGAAGGCAGAGGGGAGGGCAGAGTTAGGAGGTGGTGATCCCAGGGAGGAAGCTAGAGGGAGCAGCATGGAGGTGGAGATGAGGTTGAATCCTAGACACATGCTGAAGGTACAGCCAACAGGGTTACACATCTGTCTTCGAGCTCCCCAGGCCTGCAGACAAAGGCTCGTTCCTGCCACAGAAGGCAGCACTGACGGGGGTGGGGGCACTGCCACGTCCTGAGCCTGCAGCCTCCCCATCATGACACCCCATCATGACAGCCCTCCGGGTGGCCAGAGTGACCCCTTTCATTTGGACTTTGATTTATTGCCCCCTGGAGATAACATCTTCTGCTTAAAAAGGAGATTAATTGGAAATGCTCGTGTTTAGAGTACAAATCTTTTTTTTTTTTTGAGACAGAATCTTGCTCCGTTGCCCAGGCTGGAGTGCAGTGGTGTGATCTCAGCTCACTGCAACCTCCGCCTCCCGGGTTCAAGCAATTCTCCTGTCTCAGCCTCCCAAGTAACTGGGACTACAGGCGCCTGCCACCACACCTGGCTAATTTTGTATTTTAGTAGAGACGGGGGTTTCACCTTGTTGGTCAGGCTGGTCTTGAACTCCTGACCTCAGGAGATCCACCCGCCTCGGCCTCCGAAAGTGCTGGGATTACAGGCATGAGCCACTGTGCCTGGCCGAGTGCAAATCATTTTATTTAAAGACATTCCAGATGAAAGCCAGTGCAGACAACAGTGGTGTTCTTGCCTCAGCTGAGCAGCCTCTGTTCTTTGCAAACAGAGCTGGTTCGGATTTCTCTGGATGTGTTTGGTTTTGCCCGTGCTGACACTTCACCCCTGTGAATCCTGCAGGGCTGCTCCTGAGCCAGCCACCTCCATTTACACAACAGTTCCATGGAAAACCTGAGAGGCGACTGCAAATACACACGCACACACACACACACAAGGTGCAGAATGTTTTCCCTGACTGATCATTAGCTTATTTCTGTGCGTGTGTACACTGTGTTAGAAAAAGCATTTGACTTGATATAACAGCATCTGCTTTTGAATTTTGTCTTTACCATGACCTTTAATGTCTCTGGCGAGACATTAAATTCTCAGAGCCTCAGTTTTTGCAGTTGTCTAGTGGGGCTAGGT